>NC_000005.10:91321928-91624958 GCF_000001405.40 Homo sapiens | reverse complement strand
AAGAGTAAAAATACTCTTATAGAAAGTATTATAGAAATATAGTAGAAAGCTATACCTCATGATAAAAAGAAAACCCTTAGCAAACTAAGAACAGAGTGAGACTTCCGCATCTTGATAAAGAATATCTGGGAAAAGCCTGTAGCTAACATCATATCTAATGGTGAAAAACTAGATGTTTTCCCACTAAGGTCAGAAACAAAGCAAAGATGCTGCTCTCACCATTCCTATTCAATATCATACTCAAAGTCCTAGCTAATGTAGTAAGACAAGAAAAGGAAATAAAAGGCATACAGATTGAGAAGGAAGAAATAAACCTGTCTTTGTTCACAGACAAAATTATTTTCTACGTAGAAAATTCCAAAAAATATCAACAGACTCTTGGAACTAATAAGTGATTATAGTAAGATTGCAGGATACAAGTTGAGTACATGAAAGTCAAAAGCTTTATTTTATGCCAGTAATAAACAATTGGAATATAAAATGTAAAACACAATACCATTACATTTGCACTAAAAAAAGAGAAATACTTAGGTATAAATCTACTAAAGTATGTACAATATGTATATGAGGAAAATACAAAACACTGATAAAAGAAATTAAAGATCTAAATAAAGAGATAGTCTGTGTTCATGGATAGGAAGGCTTCATATTATCAAGATGTCAATTTTTATTTCTTTCTAACTTTTGTTTTAGGTTCAGGGGGTATATATGCATGTTTGTTACATGAGTAAACTGCATGTTATGGAGGTTTGGTGTACAGATTATTTCATCAGTTAGATACTAAGTGTAGTATCCAATAGGTAGTTTTTTGATCCTCTCCCTCTTCCTTCCTTCTTCCCTCAAGTAGTCCCTGGTTTCTGTTGTTTTCTTCTTTGTGTCCATGTGTACTTGAAGTTTAGCTCCAATTTATAAGTGAGAACATGCAGTATTTAGTTTTCTGTTCCTGCATTAATTTGCTAGGATAATGACCTCCAGCCCCATCCATGTTGCTGCAAAGGACATAATCTCATTCTTTTTTATAGCTGCATAGTATTTCATGGTGTATATGTACTACATTTTCTTTATCTAGTTCACCATTGATAGTCATATAGGTTGATTCTATGTCTTTGATACTGTGAATAGTGCTGCAATGAACATCCATGTGCATGTGTCTTTGTGGTAAAATAATTTATATTCCTTTGGGTATATACCCAGTAATGGTAGTTCTGTTTCAAGTCCCTTGAGAAATCTCTAACTGTTTTCCATACTCACTGAACTAATTTACATTCCCACCAGCAGTATGTAAATATTCCCTTTTCTCTGCAACTTTGCCAGCATCTATTAATTTTTGACTTTTTAATAATAGCCAAGATGTCAATTTTTTATAAGTTGGTCTATAGGCTCAACACAATTCAAATCAAAATACAAGCACATTATTTTGTGAACATTGACAAATTGATTCTAAAGTTTATATGGAAAGGCAATAGATCTAGATTAGACAACATAATACTGAAGAAGAACAAAGATAAAAGACTCACACACCTTATTTCAAGACTTACTAAGGTCACAATAACTAGGATACAGTGACATAGTTGAAAAAATAGACACAAACATTAAGAGAACAGAATAGAGAGTCCAGAAATAGATAAACACAAGTGTAGTCAACTGATATTTGACAAAGAAGCAAAGACAATTCTATGGAGAAAGGATAGTCTTTTCAACAAATGGTGCTAAAAAATAGATGTACATATGCAAAAATAAATAAATAAATAACCCTAGACACAAATCTTCCACCTAACACAAAAATGCATTTTAAAAAGGTTTACACAGCTAAATTTTAAATGAAAATTATAAACTTCCAGAAGATAACATAGGAGAAAATCTATGTGATCATGGGTTTGGTAGTGAGTTTTTAGATATGACACCAAAAACACAATTTATAAAAGAAAAATTGATAAATGTAGCTTTATTAAAATTAAATACTTGTGCTCTGCAAAAGACACTGTTAAGAAAATGGAAAGACAAGCAACAAACTAGGAGAGAATATTTTTGAAACATGTCGGATAAAGAACTTGTGTTCAAAATACGAAATAATCTTTTAAAACTCAACAAAAATGAAACAACCCTATTTAAAAATGGTGAAAAGATCTGAATAGACACACATCTCACCACAGGAGATAAACAGATAATAAACAAACTTATGAAAATTTCTCACCATAATTTGTCATCAGAGAGAATTACAAATTAATATAATGAGATACCACTACACAGTTTTAGAATGCCTAAAATCCAAAAATCTGACAATATCAGTGGCTGATGAGGAGCCACAAGACCTCTCATTCCCTGCTGGCAAATATGCATAATGGTAAAGCCACTTTAGAAGGCAGTTTGGCAATTTCTTACAACGTTAAAAAGAGTCTTACCATACAATCTAGCAATTGAAATATTTACCCAAATAATTTGAAAATTTATGTCCACAAAAACCAGCACACAAACATATATAGCAACTCTATTCATAATTGCCAAAACCTGAAAGCAACTAATATGTCCTTCAATAGGCAAATGGATAAACAATGGTACATAAATAAAATAGAATATTAATCAGTAAAAAAAAAAATGAGCTTTTTTATTTTTAACTTTTATGTTCAGGGGTACATGTGCAGGCTGTGCAGGTTTGTTACACTGGCGAACATGTGTCATGGGGGTTGGTTATACAGATTATTTCATCACCCAGGTATCAAGCCTAGTACTTATTAGCTGCATTTCCTGTTTCTTTCCCTCCTTGTAGTGTCCACCCTCTCGTGGGCCCCAGTGTGTGTTGTTCCCCTCTATGTGTCCATGTGTTCTCACCATTTAGCTCCCACTTATAAGTGAGAACATGCAGTATTTGGTTTTCTGTTCCTGCATTAATTTGCTAAGGATAATGGCCTCCAGCTCCATCCACATTCCTGCAAAGGACATGATCTCATTCTTTTTTTTTTGTGGCTGCATAGTATTCCATGGTGTATATGTACCACATTTTCTTTATCCACTTTATCATTGATAGGCAACAAATCAGCTTTTAAGTCACTAAAAGATATAGATGAATCTGAAACACATATTACTAGTGAAAGAAAAAAGCCAAAAAAAAAACAGTCTGATATTACATGGCATTCGGAAATAGCAAGGCTATAAAGTCAGTAAAAAGATCAGTAATTTCCAAAGGTTTGAGGAGAGGGGGTTGAATAGGTGAAGCACAGGAGATATTTTAGGGCAGTAAAATTAATCTGTATGTCACCATAGGGGTGGATACATGACACTATCCACTTGTCCAAACCATAAAATGTATAACACAAACCTAATATATGGAGTTTTGAACCCTAACATATGAGTATTTTTAAAAAATGTTAAGAATTCAAGGGACCCAAGAATGGAATGCAGAATGTACAAACGGAATGCAGAATGTACTACAAATGTATGAAACTACCTCACTGAAGAATTTGGGGGAAAGGATCCTGATCTAAGTGACTTTGGAAATGAGTGGTATCTATAAGACTAAAGATAAACAGAAATAATACATAAGCACCACAATATAGTTGGTAAGGTTTTTCCTAAGGGGATACATGTTTACAGCTCAGATATCACAATACCTGTATAGTGGAAATCAATAATTAATTAACTAAATGAATGGCAGATGAGGGGATCTAGGCTTCTCATTGTAGTAGTGGGAGGTTTCAGAGAAGACAGGGCTAAAATGACCCAGATTGTAATGGATTAAAGTTACAGACATCAGTATGAACTCATGTTTAACTAAATACAGATACAGAGGGTTACATATAGAAATGTTCATAGATAGTGTATACATGATTAGTGTACACACATGTATTTCCTTGCTTTGTCAAGAAAGAGGATCTGGAAGCAAGAACAGATCAGTAGCAATGAGCATACCTATTGCCAAGGTCTTAGTTTCTACTATCATCTTCCACTAAAAGGAACCAGGGCTCCTTGGAAACATAGCTGTTTCCATGACAGGCCAAGAAATAGATGAGTGTGGAGCATCTTGTAGTACCAGAAAGTAAAAAAGTGTTCAAAAAGAAAATCCCACGATGATTCAGGTATCTCAAAGGGACACAAGAGCCAACTGAAAGAGCTTCCAAAGCCAAAGCTGGAGCAATTCAAGTACTATAATAAATAAAGTAGTACTGGATTATAACACAAAATGTAAAATAAATATACTGATATAAATGATTCAATAAATAGATTAAACAAATTTCCCATGCAGAATAATTCCAAATAACTCATGTAGATACTTTTATAAGGGTGAAGCATAACTCCCCATTGCTATATATATATATATATATATATATATATATATATATATATATACTTTAAGTTCTAGGGTACATGTGCACAACGTGCAGGTTACATATGTGTACATGTGCCATGTTGGTTTGCTGCACCCATTAACTCGTCATTTACATTAGGTATTTCTCCTAATGCTATCCCTCCCCCAGCCCCTCATCCCACGACAGGCCCCAGTGTGTGATGTACCCACCGTGTGTCCAGGTGTTCTCATTGTTCAATTCCCACCTATAAGTGAGAACATGCGGTGTTTGGTTTTCTGTCCTTGTGATAGTTTGCTCAGAATGATGGTTTCCGGCTTCATCCATGTCCCTACAAAGGACATGAACTCATCCTTTTTTATGGCTGCATAGTATTCCATAGTGTATATGTGCCACATTTTCTTAATCCAGTCTATTATTGATGGACATTTGGGTTGGTGCAAGCCTTTGCTATTGTGAATAGTGCCACAATAAACATACGTGTGCATGTGTCTTTATAGTAGCATGATTTATAATCCTTTGGATATATACCCAGTAATGGGATGGCTGGGTCAAAAGGTATTTCTAGTTCCAGATCCTTGAGGAATTGCCACACTGTCTTCCACAATGGTTGAACTAGTTTACACTCCCACCAACAGTGTAAAAGCGTTCTTATTTCTCCACATCCTCTCCAGCACCTGTTGTTTCCTGACTTTTTAATGATCATCATTCTAACTGGTGTGAGATGGTATGTCATTGTAGTTTTGATTTGCATTTCTCTGATGACAAGTGATGATGAGCATTTTTTCATGTGTCTGTTGGCTGCATAAATGTCTTCTTTTGAAAAGTGTCTGTTCATATCCTTTGCCCACTTTTTGATGCTCCCCATTCCTTAAATGTGAGCTGTGCATAATAACTTTCTTCCAAAGGATGCAGTTAAAAAAAAAAAAAAAAGCAAGTGGACAGTAGAGTAACTTTACAGTGAAGAAATAAGACAAACACCACCTCAACCAGGTGACTAAGGTGAACTTCAACAGTGATAACTCATATTGATAACATTAAAAGATAAACTCAGGCACATTAAAATGTCAATGAGTTTATTTGAACATTCAGTGATTCACGAATCAGGCAGCACCAGGCCATAGGCAGTTCTATGCTCCACTTGGAGGAGAGGGAAGCAAGAGACAGAAAAATTTTACAAGGTATAATCAAGACAAAGAAATTTGACTGGTTAAAGTGGGATGTCCCTAGTTAGAAGATAGTTGGTAGTTTCTGATTGGTAAAATTTAAGTTTGGTTTTACTGTTTACACTGGGCTTACATTTGCTTACCTAAGAATTCAAGGTGGTGGAGCTGGCCTCCCAATGAAAACTTTTTTTAACAATTGTACATACTCTTGATGTGATATGATGTAATGTAACTGGGACTTTACCTTTCTGATCTGCCTCCCAAAAACATATATCATCAGCTTAATCATGAAAAAAAAATCAGAATTCTCAGGTGAGGGACATGCTACAAAATACCTGACCAGTATTCCTCAAAACTGTTATGGACATCAAAAGCCAGAAAAGTCTTAGAGAGTGTCACAGCCATAAGGAGCCCAAGGAGACACGATGACTAAACATATTGTGACACCCTGAATTACAGCTGGAACAGAAAGAGGAAATTTGAATACAATATAGACTTTAGTTAATAACATCATATAGATATTTGTTCATTAACTGTAACAAATGTACCATGCTAATGTAAGAATTTAATAATAAAGAAAACTGGGCACGGGATATATGGGAACTCTGTGCTATCTCCATAATTTTTCTGCAAATATAAAACTATTATAAAATTTTAAAATTGTTATTTTAAAAAAGGCACGCTTAGCAGTAGGTAAGACTAACTATGCCCTAAGTGTTATCAAACACATTCTTTTAAAAGCACTCTGCTGAACAACGGGAGCAAGCCCAGCCCAGCAAAGATTAGGTGAGGGTCTTGCCACAACATCCTATTGTCCCAATTGGCTTCAAGGTTGTGGCTCCTTAAAAAAGGGAGAAAAGAAGGTCAGAGCATAGAAGCCAACTCCCGAGAGCCAAATTTATCAGGTTTAAAACAACATCCAAACAAGATCTTTAGCTTTGTGTCCTAACAGGTAGAAACATACTGATTTCTTATTCAAGTTTGTAGGGAACTGAACTACTAAACAAACAAGATAGCAAAGAACTGCTTGCAACTGTGCACTCTGTAAAGGAATCCACAGGCCTCCAGATCTGCAGCAGTAGGAAGTGGGATGAAAGATGCACAACCACCCAGGGGACACACTCTCCAAAACTCAGATGTGGCCATCATAAGCATCAAGCTCCTCACACAAAGCAGGACCTACTAGAACAAGAAGCCTCCCTGCTCTTTTCCAAGCACTTTTAAAGGAATGTGCTTGACAATGCATAGGGCATAGTTTCATCTACTGCCAAGCCTTCTTTTTTTTAACAATTTTAAAATTTTACAATAGTTTTATATTTACAACCTCTTCTATATTTACCATCTTGATTTTTGTTACGAACCAGTGACTGCTGTGTGTTTCCCTTGTCTCCTTTTGAATTGGGACTTTTTTAATGTAGTAATTGTGCACTGACTTAAGCCAATGTGGTCATTCACAATTGTTAGATTCTTTTTGTTAAGTTTCTTTGGCCTCCATTGGCTATAAGTACATAAGAACTAAATGTTCATCTCTCACAACTGTGCAAGACTGAGATCAAATTCTGCCAAACATGTATTTTAGTATGTACTTTTTTTTTTTTTTACAACCGTTTCTGTAAAGGCAATGAAGTTTTCGTTCTCATTCCTTTTAGATGTTCTGGCCAAACCATGCATGAAAGGATCAATGGAAATAAATAAATAAATATTCTAGCAGAAATAAATGAATAAATATTCTAGGATTCTGTATACTGCTAGTTGGATTAAGTCAATGAGCTCCACCATGTATGTCTAAACATAGGACTATACAGAATCCAGGGCTTACAATGCCATTCTGAAGGGAAGTGGAAACAAATTAAAAGGAATATACTACTGAGGCCACTAGATTCTTAGACCCTGTTCATGCAAGGCCAGAGGTGAGTGTGTAACATTTCTCGAAAGTGCACATATCTTAAACATCACTTATTTCACGAATGAATAATCATTTCTAAAGTCGATTATCTTAATTAATACATCCTTTGTTGGTGGTGAGATAAAGATAATTGAAGGGCTTATCATAGCTGCAGGAGTGGGAGTGAGTTCTAGCAGAGACAATGCCAAATAGAGTGCTTCAAATGTTAACCGATTACCATAAAATATATATTAAAACTGACATACATATATATATCACCATGCTTTAAATAAAGAATTTTCAGTCAAATTGTATATCTGATTTGTCTTTACCACTGTGTATCGGGCATGTAGGGAACAGATCAGTTTTGGTTTTAGGTAGATCAGTCATGGGGAAAAAAATTTGAAGAAAAGTATTCATCACCTAGAAATCCTAGGCTTAAAATTTGATGCGATAAGAAGAGATTTAGGGACTGTCTCCTTTGGAGAAAAGAGGGGTTCTCTAGTCTCCCAGCATTATTCATTTCTTTAATAGGAGAATAAACCTATAGATAGGGATTCTGTCTTATATCTCAACATTCTGTAGCCAATAAGTGGAATACTACTTTTAGCCAAGGATATTACTTTTCCTAAATGACTTGAGCAGTTGCTTCAGAAGTCTTCTGGCATTCATAAAGGAATAATAGAGCCTAAAGGACAATACACACACAGTCTTGTTGAAACAATTATTAAAATTGGGCTACTAGAAAGACACTTTAACACTAATGTCAATATAATAGCTACATAATGCCAAATACATAACTGCATAAAGGATATTTTATATGTAATTTTAGAAAGTTGTGATTTGCTACCTCACTTCATCCAGGTCTCTACTCAAATGACATCATCTCATTAGGCCTTCCTTGGCCACCTTATCTAAAACATACTGTCCCCAATATTCTCTTTGCCCCTTTTCTACATTATTATTTTCTTAGCACTTATTACTATGTATTACACCATATCACCATATTTTTTAGTTATCAATCTTGTTTATTGTCATATAACTTCCTTGAGAGCAGGACTCTTTGTCTATTGGGTTCACTATTATATTCACAGGGCCATATCAGTGCCTGACACATAGTAGTAGCTACTCAGATATTGAATGAATTAATTACTGTTCATTAAAATTTCACAATATTTTTCTCTTGTGGGTGAAATGATAGAACATCATTGTGACATTATTTATTTCAGTAGAATAAACAGAAAAAATACAAGGATATTTTTAAATTAGAAAAGTCAATATCGTGAAAATTTGCCTAATGGACAAATGGTGATAGACAAGAAAATAAAGATCTGGAGAAAGTATGTTCAGGTATAAAAGTAATGGTGTTACTAACAATAGATTTGTTATTTTTCTCATTTTTCTCTTAAAACAGATATCATTACTCAAATCAAATTAGCTCAATGGTGTACCTTTTATACTAAGAATTGATTTTTTTAATTAAAGAAAATCAAAATAAATCTTAATATATATTAGCTTTATACAATAATTTTTCTTCAATTACATAGGAGTACATTATTAAAAGGGTGCTAATAATTATTCATTTAGCTACTCTCTGTAATAACAAGATACAGACTCAAAGCTCAGAATGCTACAGAAAGGACATTTTTAATAAAATAAGAAAAGAAGATGATATGGTTTGGCTGTGTCCGCACCCAAATCTCATCTCAAATTGTAGTTCCCATAATCCCCACATGTTGTGGGAGGAACCCAGTGGGAAGTAACTGAATCATGGGGGCGGTTTCCCCCATGCTACTCTTGTAATAGTGAGTAAGTTCTCACATGATCTGATGGTTTTATAAGGGGCTTCCCCCTTCACTTGGCTCTCATTCTTCTCCTTCCTCCCACCATGTGAAGAAGGACATGTTTGCTTCCCCTTTTGCCATGATTATAAGTTTCCTGAGCCCTCTCCAGCGCTATGGAACTGGGAGTCACTTAAACCTCTTTTCTTTATAAATTACCTAGTCTCAGGTATGTCCTTATAGCAGCATGAGAACATACTAATACAGATGATAAACTATGGTTTGACCAAAGGCCTAAGTAAACAACATGTTCCAACTCGAGAAATTAAAAAACATTTCTTCTCTCTGTTTCCCACTAATACTCTTATTACTATATGCAGAGTAAGAAAATGTCAACATAAAACATAAACATAGACTCTACTTATGAAACAAACATTTATCTTGATGATAAAAACTGAGAGGGAGGCAATGTAATGTAACTAAGAGTGGAATTACTTTGAAATTATAATGTCAGTTTGTCACTCATTAGCTTCGTAATCTTGGGAATTTTACTTTACATCTTTGAATTAGAGTCTCAGTTTAGTCCTCTGCAAATGGAGAGAAGAGTTTGGATATCATATTTGGCTCTGCAGCTTATTATAAGGACTAATGATATAATGTCCAACAAGTGCTGGGCATGGTGTCTATATACATTATTTCATTAACAAACTGTATCTCTATTTAATCAGTCTGCATCTAAAACACAAATCCTCAAACAAATGCATATCCTTTGCTGTACTGAAGGCATAGGTTAATGAGAAAGTGCTAGAGTTATAGTCAAAAGACTTTCATATTGGTAAATTCTATTACGTGAATAAGATACTTTATGAAAACTTTATTCAACCTATCTATAATAAATCAAGAATGTTCCCTTAATAGCTAGTGGCTTATCCCCAAGGAAAGAAAGAAGTTTATTTTAAAGATAAGAAAATAGAAATGAAAAAATATTTAGAATGCAATAAATTATAGATTGCATAGAAAACAGAAAATAAAAGGTGAGTATCTGTAAAACATGTAGGGACCCTTAAAATGAAACAAAACACAAATACTAGGATCGAGCATTAGTATGCATTCATTTTCTTGGAGGTAGACCTATATAGAGCTATCCTTGTAAAAGTTATCTGACCCCTTTTTATGCAACCTAGAGTCTATATCAAATTTCTCATTCATATTTATTCATTCTTCTTTTTGAAATGTGTCTGATGTGTCTGATATCATATATCATACTGGAAGATTTAATCCCTGATATGGTTTGGATTTGTGTCCTCACCCTCATCTGATGTCATCCCCAGTGTTGGAGGAAAGGCCTGGTGGGCGGTGATTGGATCACGGAGGCAGACTTCCCCCTTGCTGTTCTCATGATAGGGAGTGAGTTCTCATGAGATCTGGTTCTTTAAAAGTGTCTGACGCTTCCCTCTTTGCTCTCTTCCTCCTGCTCCGGCCATATATGTGTTTGCTTCCCCTTCCATTATGATTGAAAGTTTCCTGAGGCCTCCCCAGCCATGTTTCCTGTACAGCCTGCAGAAGCATGAGCTAATTAAACCTCTTTTCTTTACAAATTACCCAGTTTCAGGTATTTCTTTATAGCAGTGCCAGAATGGACTAATACAATACCCAACTAAATAATCCATTTTTGTAGGTAGAATCCTAGGGGCAATTATAACAACATTTTGGTCATGTAAGACTGAACTCATTAAAGGGACACTTTTGTTTTATGTTGTTTTGCTTCTGTTTTTAATGCTTTAACATACAGAGCCCTGTCTACACTACCCTGCAACTATTAAATCTTTATAATAGAGATGCTTCTGCTTTTTTAAAAAAATTCAGACTTTACCTATACAGCAACATTGACTGATGAGATATCTACTTTTTTCTTGTTCCAAGTTCTTTGTATTCTTTCTTACAGATGGAAAGTGTTCCTTGTGCCAGTTGCCACTTGCAAAAAAGAAAAAGGATTCTTAGATCAAAAGCTATTGATCACAATTCCAAAGTCAATGTCACATTTCTCATCCCCTGCACCAAAGAACACTGGCTAATTTGCAAGCAAGTAAACCGGACTCCAAGGCCAAGCTATTATCACAATCAAAAACTGTGTTTAGCATCAACAATAATTCACAAAAGATTTCTTAGTACTGATGATAAATCAGCTCATTTTGGGCAAACACTGTTAATGCCTTAAGGAACACAACTTAACTGACAATTGTAGTTTATGATAATAAATTCCATTATAGCCAAGTACATTTTTAACTTGTGGTGTTTTTTCTTAGTACTAAGCCATTATTCCTTCAGCAAATGTCTTTGAAAAAGGGATTTTAATATGGCTGAGACTTAAGGCTCAAGGACTCTATAAAAGTAGTTAAGAATCATGAGAGGTATTTTAGAAAGGAAAGAAAGTCTCAATCCTACCTCTGCACATTTAAAACAGGTCTAAAGTTCAGGGCTCCCTTTCCCCAATTTGATTGAAGTTTCAGTGCCCCTTCAAAGATGCTGAGAGGTATATACAAGCATCCAATTTCTGAGAGTGAGATTAAAAGTAATGTCAGACTTACTTCTCTTTCCTTTCAACTTTTCTGCTTTCATTGAGTCACAGCCCAGTGGAAGACACAGAAAGCAGTTATAATAAAGTGCTATACGAGCTAAGATGTGGACTACATATCTGGTATAGGGCCCCCTTCAGCGGATAAATCTCAAAGGAGACGAGAATGCCATTTGAGGGTGAGGTTAAAATTTTCTTTCAACATATGGGCTTTCCAAACCCATCTCAAAGGCTGTCTCTCACATAAAATCCCAAGGCTTTTTTTTCTACCTAAAGTTCCTTATAGCATGTTGATAAGCATCAGATAGTTCTTTATTTTGAATATATTGTGGTAACTTCTTTGCCAGGAACCACTTCATTTCCCTTTTCTCTTATGCTCATAACAATAATATATCCCAGAAGTGAATCCTAGAATAGATACCATAAATTAGGAAGGACATTACCTCACATTAATTCTAAATAGATAGCGTTATTGTCCAATTTAATAAAATTTGGTAACCTGATTTGAGAATCATGACCATTCTAAAAATCATAAAAGGAAACTTTTTACCAAACCAGAAAATAAGTGGAATCAAATGACATTAAATACGGTAGCTTGAACAGTGCGGGGACCTCAGTTCTTTGGTGATCAATCACCAGGTCATTTTTCCAGGGAAGACTTTAAGACGATACATTCTCAAGGCTCTTTATTTCACTCTTTTCTGGGTATCAGAAGTCAATCCTCGCATTATGAAATAAAACTTGTTTCCTTAGCTAGAGCCACAGTTGATTGTTGCATAACAGACTAATCTGCTGCTAAAAAATTCATTTGGGCTGATGTATTAGAGCCACTGTTTTGATTCCTGCATAATCTCTAACCTATTTATTGAACTCACCTAGGATAATGGCAAAGTGACTCATCTGCCTTTACTTACACGCAACCAGACCATTTTTATAACCAACAGGCAGTATTTCTTTATATAACAACCTTTATAAACAAGGTTGAATGTTAGAAAGGAAGGATCTGGAGAAAAATGGGAAAGGAATCAAGATTTTTAAAATATTTATTTAACCACACTATTTTATTGTTACTAATTTTAGAATTAGATTAACACGTGAAAGGAAATCATTATGGTCAATGTTAATTCTTATCCACAGCTACCCTGTTGATTAAAGCTGCCATTATGGGTGTGTGTGTTTTCACATAAAAGATGTGTAATGTGAAAAATGGAAAATATTTCATAGTGTTGCTGGACAGATGGATGTGCTAATAATTCGGGTCAGCACACATGCCCTCGTTCAGCAGCTCTGGGTGCACTGTGATGTTTAGGAATGCTGTTTTGAAAGGTGGGGCAAGAGGTCTGCCCTTGCATACATAAAAGTACAGTACCAAGCAACTAAATGATAATTACCCCTTTCCATTCCCATTCCTTATAAAAGAATAAGCTATTTGTTGTAGAAAAATTACCTACATGCATGGAATGTGCAGGGAGAAATGAGTGAGGACCATAAATATTACTAAGTACTTATACTACCCTAGTGTCATAAAATTATAGACATGTATAGTAAAGGCTTAGCATCTGAAACCAGTGCTGCCCACATAAAAGACACCTAACATGGTTTTTGTTTCTATGCATTTGTATAACTTGTTACCTGCATATTGTGTGTAAAGCTTAACTTCATATATACCTGCTCAACAGAGTCTAAGTGATTTGGGAGCATGATGAGATGGAAAGTAAGAGCTGGTAACACTCTATACTAGATCTCATGCCCATACCTTGCTAGTATTCTTGCTGGTTTTTCTGACCAATTTTTAATGTCCTTATGGCCTCTTGTTTCCTATTCTTTTTATTTACCTATCCTAGTTCTATATCTCAGGCAGAAAGTGACATGTTTGTTTTCTAAAAAACAAAAATATTTAAGAGGCTCTCTATAAATACGTGTGTAGCATAGTTGAAAAATTGCATCAATAAATTAAAATGCACTCTTATGAAATTCTTATATTCAAAAAAGAATAAACTTGGGAAAAATAAAAGAGAAAGTCATTTTCAAACTGTTGAGATGTTCTAAAAAAAATTTCTAAAGGTCAACATTGCCGACTCAGTGCATGCTGTCGTTATTTTCTTTTATCTTGCTCTGTGGTAGTTGAGGGTACACATTTTTCTTTCCTTCTTTTAAAGACATTTAAAAAGCAGTGTTCCAGTTTCACAGCCAGCATCTTCACACCATTCAAAAGACATACAGTCAATCATAACCCCAAACAGGAAGGAGAGGGTTAGTTTTCACTTAAGTAAAGTTTAGTGAAAAGCCAACAGATCAGTGTGATTATGGCTAGATCAATGATGCATAGTTCTGAAAGGTTTTACACAAGCAGCAGTCTTAGGATGTAGCTCTAAGGAGCAGGTAGGTCAGGAAAAACATAAACGCAATGCCCCGAGTATGTACCTCCCATTGGGTCCATAAAGAATCTGGCCAGATTGTCTGAAGGGAAGCCATTCTTGCCACAGGGGCAGAGTTGAAGTGTTTCCATTTCCGCTGACTGCATTTCAGCCTTGAGTATGTCAGCCAAGGTTTTCTGCTGGTCAAAGTCACAAAAAGTCTGGTCGATATCTTTTATGAGGAATGACAAATGTAAAAAGATAAACTCTACTGTGTCAGATAAACTATATAGGTTTTTACTAGATCCCAAGCAAGGATTTAACAATGTGTAGTCAATTTCAAAGTCTTCTGCTAATTCAAGGAAACAAAAGTCTCTCCCCAAAAAGGTTCCTTCCAGGCTGGAGTCTGTTATGTTCAGGCTATGGAAACCTTGAAAGCTGTCCTTTTTAGATATAAACTGTTTAAAAAGAAGTTTCTGGTGACTTGTCAGATAAATGGGAACCATGTCAAAGCATTGCTCAGAAAAGTTCAATTTTAAATAATCTACTTATGGCAGAATAATTGTGGAGCTTTTCTTATTGACTTTCCAAAAACCCACCACTTTTTGGAAAGGGAGCTTTGTTTTTAATACAGCAACAATACCAGTTTCAAGAGTAAACTCTAGTGGATCTCATCTGTAATTAGTAGAAAAATTCACTGTTCACTTTACCTTGGTGTGTTCCAAACTATCTCTGGATGGGGGTATTTATTCTAGCAGAAATTTGAATGAGAATCTACTTACTTTGTTTGAACATTAAAAAAATTACAAATTCCCCACCCATGTTAGCAATAAACAACTATTTTTGCATATGTCTTAATTGAGGTTCTTATTTGGTCTTTTCCTTAAAGAGCTATAGTACTGAGCAAAGTGTTTTGTTTTGTTTTGTTTTGTTTTCTCTCTTTTTCTTCTTTCTTTTCCTCTTCTTCTTCCTCTCCTTCCCTTCCTTCTTTCAATACTGAATTTGGAGTTTCAATATTTCTGTTTTCAATAAATTATAATTTCATTGTATTTTGATCACCAACCTCATTTTAAAATAATTTCCATTTGGAATCTACATAAAGACATCAAAAAGATTATGAAAGGGTCTCCAGTACATGCTGCATGAATTCAAATCACAGCTATGTCACTAACTTACTATGTGACCTTACACAGTCACTTCTCTACCGAGTTTGGTTACATCTAAAATACCACAAAAATAACTTGTTTGCTAGTATGAACTGCAGAATAAGTAATAGTTACATTTAGTTGGTACTCAAAGAAACAAATTCTCGTTAAATTTTTTTATTAAGCATAACCTTAGAATATCAGTATTTGTAAGCTGATTATCTTTCTTTTGTTTGGCCTGCACAAAACTAGTTTGTACTGTATTATGTGAGTTAAATAAATT
The DNA here is from genome assembly GCF_000001405.40 of Homo sapiens. NCBI lineage: Eukaryota > Metazoa > Chordata > Mammalia > Primates > Hominidae > Homo > Homo sapiens. The sequence continues at coordinate 91,609,465 of NC_000005.10, read as the reverse complement.
GTACATTGGTACCCCCAAGTGCCAAAGTAAACTTCAAGGTTCTTGTGCATATATAGCCTGCCTGTGCTCAAGATAACAGTAAAACAAAAAATGGCTGCTATACAGGTGTCCTTAGTAATAAAGAAAAAGAAATATGTGATACAAAACCAAAGTAGTCTTTTAAAAGAATGTTTTCCATATTTTCCAAGCTTCAGCAGCTTTCACAGAAAGATTTCAGGGGCTACACACCCCGTAGAATGCATCAAATCAAAAGGATTGACCATTAAGTTTAGCAGCATGATTCATTTTATCAACTTCCCTCAGCCTTCTAATATTCCTTTTCAAAAATTGTGCAAAGTGTGTGAGACTGTGTGGATGTTACTGTATTAAATTACACCATTATACCTTAGAAGGAAGGTTTTCTGTTATTCAAGCAAGGAATCATCTTTGCTCAACCGTGATGGATTCACAACTAGCTAATCTAGAATTCTAAGATTAAACATAAGCCAGTCAAAACCTTTAGTGATGAAAAAATTACGAAGAGTTTTACTGATGTAATATCCTGAGCCCAGAATAATATGAAATTTTGGAAAGAAAAGAAAGACCTTGTAGCTATTTATGTAGTTTCTTGCAATAAAATAATTGCAGTAATATAAAGTTAAGCACATAGAAGCCACTGAAATTTAAAACAAAGACGATTTTCTAATTTGTGGCTAAAATTTTAAAATTTAGCTCTTGTTCCATGAATTAAATTAATTTTAATTATACTCCTGGATAAAGTAGGTCTATAAAGAAGCTGTCAAACTATTGTCAATAGTTTAGGTACATGCAGTAGATCAGAAGATAATCAGCTTAGGACTTCTTATAAAATATTTTAATTTTTATTGTCTTTATGCTCACATGTACTGCTATACTCTCTTCCAAAGCTTTTCCCTTTTATAAAATTGAGAAATTTATTTAGCTGTAATGTTTTTCTTTCCCAAGTAACATAACTCACATATCCTAAGATTGTCTTTTACTGTGATTTCTTCCAATAATGTCGAGTAAAAATTCAACATCGGCAAAAAGAATGGTTAAGTCAAAGAATCCTAGAAAAATCAGATATTTTACTACTGCAGACAAATCAATTGCCAAAATAATGATTCATAAACAAGAAATAATATAAAACAAATTGCTTTTTCAAATAGATATTGAAGTCAGGAAACAATTCATGCTTAGAACTTAGAAATATTAGTCACAACACTGTGACCTCTCACCTTAAGTGATAAAATATACAGGTCAGAATAGACAATATATACTCATGTCTGATCATGGGTGCTATTTATTGATCAAAGGAGGGAAAAAAAAGTACTTTCTAGGAAAAACATTGCTCTGAATTACAAACATCCATTCTCTTGAGACTCAGCAACTCTCTGGGTTTCTCCCTCTGGAACTAGAAGCAAGAAGTGAGTTCAGCCAGCATTTAATATCAAGTGAATGTGTTTAATCAATAGTCTTCTGCTTTGTTCCTCATTGTGGAAAGCAGTGTCTATTCATTCAGCAAAGGTTAATGCCAAGGGTCAAGTGATTTCACACTCTCAGTAGGATCCACAACATTTCAGTAGTTCAGATGCCTTAGACAATGATGACTCAGTTGGACTGATTTATTGCCACTCTAAGGCCCTGCTTAATACTAAAGTGCTCTCTTATGATAATACCTCAGAAAATAGCACTGATAAAAGAGGAGGCAATAATTACCTACATTTTGAGGTAATGTCTTCATTTCTAACATCCTATAAAGATGTAAGGTCCATTTAAAATGATCTGCTTCTTGTATTAGCAAGCCATTTAAACAAGATCTTATCAGCATCTTCTCCTTTATGAAATACACTATGGAAGAAATTTAGTAGCCCTATGAAACAGATGTAAATTATAAGTAATACATGATTTAACATATGTTTTAGATAATACTTTTTAAATATTTCCTTATTGCAGTATTTTTAATATCAGACAAGAAAAAGAAAATAATATTTGCAGATGGGAGGGAAAATATGACTTACTATCGTCATCTCAAACAAGGAAGACACAGTTTACAATTTCATTTCTCTCTCTTTGACCAATTCTAGCACAAGACAGGCAGGCTAAAAAGACATGCCTATATATTCTTTCTAAATGTGATTCACTTAAAGCAGAATTAGTTGAGGTCATTGTTTTAAACCAGAACATATTTGACTATGTCAGGGGTCCAATCTTTAACATGTTCGCATCCATGTTTATTATTCAGCAATGTATCATTCCAGATGTGTTTTATATAATGAAAGAAGTTCAAATGTCACCAGGAAAACAGTGTGAGAAGAATTAATTGGAAAGCTTATCATAGGAAAGTCATTTAGAATCCAGCTTTCACTAATATATCTGTGGATGATGAATATACCAATCAATTAGTAAAATAAAATAAATTCTGTAAATTTATCTAAAGACATCCTATCATAACAACTAGAAGGATATTTAAAACAGTTTATTACATTCCATCCTAGATAATATGTAAAACACTCTAATATGAATTTTCTGCCTTTCACTCCCTTTTTTCACAGTAGGTACAGTATTCAGGAATCTTAATTCAAACTATTTAAAACTGACTAGAATTTTTACTTCACACTATTTTAAACAAACTATTTTAAGCGATCATCAAGGTATATGTAAAATGTTATAGGGGAGTTAACAAGAAACTTTTTTATGTTTATAAAACTCAAAAACTTATTTTTAATTTTCAATGATGAGTTTGCCTTAATAAATAGAATGGGTAACAATCAGTAATTTTGATGTGAACATCAGTTTCATTGCTCAGTGATCACCTATATGATGTCCAAAGGCTTAAATTTACCTTTTAACTATACTTATCTTCAAAAGATAATGACTTTTCTGCAATTCTTTCCCAATGAGAATGATTTTATAGGCTACATATTTTATGACCTATAATTTAAAAGAAGGAAATATAATAACAAAGCTTTTGAAAAAAGGAGCAATTAAACAAACCAAATACATTGGCTTATTCTTAACAAAAATGGTATTCGTGACCTAACTAAAGACAAAATTCTATGAGTTTAGAAGACTGAAAGTTTCAAGAATCTTCCGAAAGTGTTTTTCACAATAACTTTCTCATACAGTCTTTGTCAGTCTACAGATATTTACTGGGAAGTGCAGTTTAATTAATTCAGATGTGGATAAAACAAGTAGCCTAAAATGAAAGTATGTGCATGTCTAATTTTGCACTTCAAAAACTATTAAATAAATTACAACTAATGTGATTTTGAATAACCCATAAAATATTTGCATACCTTGAGTTTTGCAACTGTGTTTAACATGCATATAATGGCCAGAACAAATGTGTTACATTGTTATTTTGTCTGTAATTATAAGGCATAAAATATAGGCAAATATTCAAACATCACTATGACTGAGAAATAATATATTTGAGTTTATTTCTTCCTTCAACAGTAATTATGTCTGCAAATCATGCCAAAGTATAAATAGACAATGTGCATGGTCATTTTTTCGACTCTTCTCCTATGTGTTCATATGTATAGAGAAATAAAAAGAAGATATATATAAATTTCTGTTAATGTAGCTCTTATCTTAGAAATTTAAACACTATTCAGAACTTAAAAAAAAATTAATGTCTTCTTTCAGACTTGCATGCTCATCAGCTGTAATTCAAAATCCTTTAATGCTGATTTCAGTGCCTTATATGGGAATTATCTTGAGTACTGTACTTCTTTCAATAGAAATATCATGTAGGTCAGGATGGCAAGCTTAATGGACTGATTTTTTTTCATAATTGTTGTGGAACATGTCTAACTCCCTTCAATATATCTATTTCAAAATATCTAAATAGAAAAAAGGGAAAAGGACCATCTTTTTCTTCACATTTTTCATGAAATCTTTATTCGAGGACCCAAACCATCATTGTAATGACATTGCCAGATATTCTGATGAAATGAATTTTCTGTGACAAGGGTGACTAAAGAGTCACAAGATGATAAAAAAAGTTTAAGACTTTTTATTCAATACAAAGACACCACAGGTTCACTTTAAAAATTTTTTTTAAATCAGATAAGCAAAAAAGAAAACTAAAAGACATTTCATCTTACTATTTATCCATGCATCCAGTCTTTTATACATGTGTGTAGTCAGCGACAGACATATACATCCTACATATATGTATATGTAGATATATACTAGTATCTAATGTGTTCATAGTGAGGTAAGAGTGGTACATATTATTTTATAATTTAGTTTTTACAATATGCTAGGAATATCTTTACATATTCTTATTTATTATTCTGTATTACATTAATGATTATATCAAATTTCATTTTATTTATCCACCATGGTAATTTAGCCATTTTTCCTCCTAACAACCATTTTTTCTTTTATTACTTTTATAAATTAGCCTTTGGTAAACATGTTTCAACACAATTTATATAGTATATCAAAGAACTCAAAAGTGAAATTTGACAGAATTTACTGTGAAGTAAATTTTATTTATATCCCAACATAATGTTGGTTCATGAGTTTTATTTGCTTTGTTTTAAATCAATAATTATCCAAGCTATATCTAGATATAGCTTAAAAGACTACTGAATTGACCTAACTAAAAGAAAAATAAGATTTATTATGTTTATCTTTAACCTGGTATTACAAATTAGATATTCCATTTACATAGTTGAGTAAATAAAAATGTTTGGGGGTTTAGGAAGAAGCCTAGGCTTTTTAAAAAATAATTTCAACTTTTATTTTAGATTCAGGGGGTACATGTACAGCTTTCTTACACGGGTCAAATTAATGCAGGAACAGAAAAACAAATACCGTATGTCCTCATGTACAAGCAGGAGCTAACCATTGGGTACACATGGATAAAGATGGCATAGGCTTTTAACAGGTAGGATTTTTTTTGGTTCATTAAAAATAAAATGTTGTCACAGCATGGTTTGTCAGGGGCTCTCAGGCCTTTATCTCATAGGCTACGTTTTTTATATATAATCTAAGAATCACAACACAGTGGAATATCCCACCAAAACTGCTTTTAATGCAGCTAAAATGTTTTGACATATACATTTTAAATGATCTTCTTTATCTTATTTTACAGGTATTGCATTCAAAGTAAAACATACATCATTTTGATGACTATATATTAGCGTGGAAAGAAACCCCAAGACACTAAAGAAAAAATACTAAAACTAATCAGAAAACTTGGAGGATATATAGACACCAGAAAATATATGTTTAAAAAGATTTTCTGCTTTACTTAAATTTGGGAATGTGGAAAATGATTTATATAATGCAATATAACTATAAAATTGTCAGAAAAAAATTCACAAGAAAGATGCAAAGACCTATTTGAAGAACACTATGATAGTATATATTATATATTTATGTATTTATTTACTGTTAATTGACAAGTAATTGTATATATAAATGGGGTATAAGTTTTAATATATGCATACATGTGAAATAATTAAATCATGCTGATTAATATATCTATCACCTCACCTATACTTTAGGTTTTTGTGGTAAAAACATTTAAAATCTATTCTTTTAGCCATTTTGAAATATGCAACACAGTATTATCAGATATGATCACCACTGTGATCACTAAACTTACTCTTCCTAACTAAAATCTTGTACCCTTGACCAACATCTCCCATTTCCCCATTGAAAACATAAAATTGATAATGATTGTATAAATTAGGATAAGCAAGTGTGATGGTTAATATTGAGTGTCAACTTGATTGGATTGAAGGATGCAAAGTATTGTTCCTGAGTGTGTCTGTAACAATGTTGCCAAAGGAGATTAACATTTGAGTCAGTGGACTGGGAGAGGCTGACCCACCCTCAGTCTGTGGGGGTACCATCTAATCAGCTGCCAGTGCAGCTAGAATAAAGCAGTCAGGAGAAGACCGAAAAGCAGACTGGCTGAATCTTCCAGCTTTCATCTTTCTCCCATGCTGATGCTTCCTTGGACTCCAAGTTCTTCAGCTTTTGTACTCTTGGACTTACACCAGTGGTTTGCCAGGGGATCTCAGGCCTTCAGCCACAGATTGAAGGCTGCACTGTCGGCTTCCTTACTTTTGAGGTGTTGGAACTCGGACTAGATTCCTTGCTCATCAGCTTGCAGACAGCCTATTGTGGGACTTCATCTTGTGATTGTGTGAGTTGATACTCCTTAATAAACTCCCCTTTATATATACATCTATCCTAGAAATTTCATCTCTCTAGAGAAAGTTGACTAATAAAGCAAGATTATATGTGGGTATATAGAAATAAATAATACCCACATATTAATGGCTTAATAGAACAAAAATTTATTTCTAGCTTACATTACCTGGTCAACAGTGGATAAGATAAGAATTTCTATCATTGTAGAGACCCAAAAATCAGGCTGATGAAAATTATCTGAACACAGGTTTCCAGGATCAGCAGGGCAGAGAGAACAGAATGACAAATCACACACTTCTTTTTACAACGCCCTTGCCAAAGCTGTACTCTACATGCCTAATTTTAAGGGGGCATGAAATAACTGGAAATATTGAGTGACTTGCACTAATTCTACCACAAAAAAAAGCAAGCTTAATAGATGACAAAATACATTTTATCATAATTATCATATCATTATTGGATAAACAATGCCAATAAAAAAGCAATGCATAACAAAAATAGGAAAATCATAAAAATCTCTCAGTATATTTGTATTATTGAGTTATTGGCATATAATAGGCCCTTCTTAAATGGTGAAAAATTAATGAATGAGTGAAAGAATGAGTTTGTTAGCAGGTAAATAATTACAAATCTTTCTCACTGAGAAAAAGACAACGGCATCATGAAAGTAATTCTACTATTGTATGAAAAATTGGCGGGGCAGGAAAATTAATGGAAGATACAAAATTATATATTTACTCACAACAAATTACTTGTTGGCATTATACGGATTAAACTCGGGGGAAAAAGTACTTGCCTAACTCTGTCCTTTTAAGATTATCATGCATTCAATTAAACAAGTTTTCCCTTAGTGCCACTAAACGTGTTATACCATTCTTGATTCTGCAGGGAATTTTTTTTTAAGTATAATGCATATTTAGATATGGCCAGCACTAAGGACCTTTCAGTCAGGATAGTAGAAAAGCTTGAAAACATCCAATCGTAATATGGAGCAAAATGAGATAAATGCAATTACACAGATCTGAATTGTCCCCAAAACATAAATATCTTGTGCCACAGGCATTCTATTTCAGCAGTTGTTCACAGTAAAACTTACATGTTGTGTTAGTCGAAATGAACTGCTGTAAGAAAACATCTTAGACTGGGTTATTTATGAAACAACAGAAATTTATTGCTTATAATTCTGGAGGCTAGGAAGTCCAAGATCAAGATGCCAGAAGATTCGGTGAGGGGTAAAGGCTTATTCTGTACTTCAAAGATGACACTTTCTTATTGTGTTCTTATGTGGCAGAAAAGGGTAAAGGCAACTTCCTTCAACCTCTTTTCAAAGTTTCCAAAGCTCCCACCTCTTAATACTATCATATTAAGATTCCAACATGCAAATTTGGAGAGAACACCAGCATTCAGACCATAGCACATATTTTAGTGAAAACACTGCAGGCCAAGTGTGGTGGCTCATGCCTGTAATCCTAGTAATTTGGCCAAGGTGGGATAATTGCTTGAGCCCAGGAGTTCAAGACTAGCTTGGGCAACATAGGGAGACTCTGTTTCCACAGAAAATTTGAAAATTAGCCAGGTAAGATGGCACATGCACATGGTGCCAGCTACTTGCGGGACTGAGGTGGAAGGATTGCTTGAGCCTGGGAGGTCGAGGCTGCAGTGACCTGTAATCATGCCACTGCACTCCGATCTGGGCAACAGAGTGAGATCCTGTCTCAAAAGAAAGAAAGGAAAAGAAAATAGTGCAGCTGGAATATTTTTTCTGATTATAGAAGGAAAAGTAATCCCAAGTGGTACCCTTTAAAATGCAGCCTTACCATTCCCTATGTAAACCTGAGGAAAATTTTAATTGTTTATAAGAAAAAAATCAGAGATGTTGGCATAGCTTTATGATTATGTTAGTTGGTCTTTCTAAGAGCCTTCAAAGTATATATATATTATATTATATATATAAAAGGTATATATATTATATTATATATAAAAGGTATGTATATTATATTATATATATAAAAGGTATATATAATATATATGTGTGTGTGCATTTGTGTGTGTACACACATAATTAACTTCTTGGACATTTGACAATTTATATAGGGACTAATTTCACTAATTTAAATGTGACTGACACAGGAAAATACGATAATTCCTCCATGTGGCAAATGGACGGTATCAGTTGTTCAGTTATCCTATTCTCAAAGCAATTTCACATTCAGGTTTCTAGTTTTCCTATCTGCATTAACTAAAAAAGAAAAACCATTTAATGTTCTCATTTGCGCATGTAAACTGTAATGACTTATTCTAAAGAACACATTTGTTAATCACCTCATAACTATAAACAACCAGTTCACAAAACAGTGTGAATCATCCTTAAGCATTTTAAGAAAAAAACATTAGGGTAAGGGCTGCTTCCAACACCCAGCTCTTTGAATGTTCCTTAAACCACTTTAAGGAAGGCCTATGTGCCCTTCCAAATATCCTGGCAGGGCAGCTGAAATCTCATTCTGTATATTTCACAGGGCTCCTTTCAACTCTAACATTCCATGGTACTATACCGAATACTGCAGGGATAAAGCTATTCTCTGCCTTAGGCAATTGCAAGCAAGGATTATATAAAAAAGAAAGATAGAATGCTGAAAATACAATATAATATTTAATATTAGGAGAAGGAGACTAGCTGAACTTTGAGTGATATAGAGATCTATATGAAGACTTATTTCTGAGGTCATGCTAAAAACTATCAGCTTAAATTCATATACAGGTTTGAACCGGGTTCAAAATTCAGTAATGAAGCTCTTATTGATTCTGTGGAACATGACTTAAAATCTCAGCAAATACTGAACAAACTATGAGGAGCTCTTAAACTCTGAACATATGTACCTAGACATCTCAATTTAACAACCAGACATACATTAAACAGCATTAATAGCCAGGTACTTAATGGATCAATTCCCACTGTTTGTGTAATGTGGAAATAAAAAAGGCTTATTAAATGACAAGCTTTCCCTGGTTTGTGCTAATTAATTATACACTGCATCTGACTGCTAATTTAGTGGGCAAATGCAGCCCCAAACCATGGTTTCAGCTTGAACTTTGCCTCACCATCACCCAGTTCAGCACAGAGTGCCGCTGCAGCCCGCCTCTGAACGACACCAGTATTAAATTAGAGCACAAGGCCATCAATTTAATAAGCACTGTAGCAGGTAATTTGAATAAGGACATATTAGTATTCTACCAGTGCACAACTAAAAGCAGCTGACCTTTCAGACCAAAGAAGATCCTTGAACACATCCAGCTGAATCTGAGAACACAGTAATAATCTGACAGTGTTAAGAGTGCCAAGAGAGACGTTTACAATCCTGGAGCCATTACTATACATCAGGCTCTCTATAGTATTATACGAACAGTTTATATACCTCTGCCTCTCATTTCGCTCTTGCTCCCTGCCATGAAAGAAAATAGGAATAAAGCTTTTTGAAAAGTATGTTTTCAATGACAGGTTTTGAAACTCTTTTTGTTACTCTGATTTATGGTACAAAGAACACAAAACTAATCAATGCACATGTAAATTAGATGATAAAATCCACATAAGAAATCACCGAATTCCTAAAATAAGGCAAATTTAACATTAAAAAAAACCTTGCATGTATCAAAGCAAAAACCCCTGTGAAACGATTAAGAAACACAGCACATTATTGTGGATAAGAGTTTGGACACAGGACTGAGAACAAAACTGGGTTTGAATTCAGGCTCTGCCATGTGCTCACCGTGGAATCTGCAAGAACCAAATTCACTGAGTTCAGTTCAACAGACATTTATCAGTTCTATCAGGTATTATCAGTGTGGTAAGCCCTAAGGTGATAAAGATGAAAAAGATTTGATCCCTGTTTTCAAGGCAATCAAAATCTCACAATGGTGACAGAAACACACACTATTAATCACAATACAGAGTGAAAAGTGCTTTCAAGTACAGAGAATAGTGATCAATTCTGCCTGGTGGTTTCCAGGAAAGGTTCTCAGACATGGCAATAGCTGTACTGGATGTTGTGAACAGTTCACCAGCAGAGAAGATGGAATGCTATCTGATCGGAAGCATTAATCAAATGGAAAACCTATTGTATTGAAAGAGGAAGATACACTGGGTAAGTTAATAAATACATCAGATGTATTTCGTTGAAGGGTCTGCAAAGTTATAATTATGTGTTCTGCATGCCTGAAAATGTTTTCTATTTGAATAAAAGTAGAATTTATTAGCGGATATAAGAGAAAGATGTCTTGATCAGTAAAATTAGGAGCCTAAATTAGGAAGAACAGGCTAGAGTGTGTTTTCCCAGTCTTAGAAGAATGAGGTGGGCTAAAAGCCCACCTGGGTTTTACCAAATGGAAGAAAATGTGCAACTAAGTCTAGACTGTGCAATCACCATGCTTGCACACTCCCCAGGCTCTCCCTTGAACCCACTTATGTTTTTAATTTGTAAATTTTGACACATTACTTACATTACTTATAAAATATTTGTTCCACATTCCGTAGCCAGCACCAATATTTACACAGTATGCACTGGTGCTGCCTTACTGGTTGTTTACAGCTACAACCTTTCCAATTAGTTGCTGCCCATGCCTTACAGGTTATTGAATATTTTGAGTATCCCCTACACTAGTCATAGTCCCAACAGAAAACAGAGGACATACTCAGATGAAGGAGTTGGGGAGAGGAAATATTTAGAAAACGCAGGTAGGAGTAAAAGAAAAGGGCAACATATAGTGTAGTGCTTGGGGCTAGTAATTGTGTGTCTGCAACCATGCTTCACAATGAAGAGGCAAAAAGAGAAGCCATAGGAGAGGAGCAGAGCCAATGCTTTGGCAATCTGCCAGGACAAAGCCTGGTGAATAAATACCCTGATCTCACTGTACTGTTACCTGTTCATCCTTTGCCTGTCTCTCATTGGCCATGCCCAATCAGAAGCTAAAGAAGAGGAACCCATTGATGTGGAACTAGAGGTTATTTGTGCCTACAGTGCACAGAGCATGGAGACGAGAAATGGAGAGTAGCTCTGAAAGAACAAAGGAAAAATATCCAGCACATTACTTCTGCTTATACTGACTGAGTTATGCCAGCATGTTGCAGTTCACAATGGGGAACTTCTTCCCAAGTCCAAATCAGTTTCTTAGGTGTCTAGGGTCCCATACAGTTAATGTTCTAGAAATCCCATTTCTAATCTGACTTCTCCTGGAAATAGTCCATTCTCAACAGCTTTCTGAAAACCTGAGGTACCTATTAAAACCTTCTATCCCTCTAGGCTACCCTCTCTGTAAATGACAGCTAAAACTAAAAGTGTTCTTTTAAATCAATATCTGTTGATAAATTTATCTGTGCTCTTTTCAGTTAACTTTTGAAAACTGCCTTCTTTGTGATGCAAAGCTGAACCAAAAAAAATGTCAGTAATGAGAGCCTTTTTCAAACCTACAAAATCAGGTAGCAGCTTTCTACTGTAACAAATAAAAGTAAAATGAGCAGCAATGGGAAGTTTGGACTAGGGAAGTGGACTTGGGAGATGATTTGGAGGAAATAACAGATTCACAGATAGGACATCATGACAGTTGAGTTTAGAGGATGTGATAGGGTGATGAGTAACTGGTTTGAGTGACTGACTTGTTGCATGAAAACTCAGTTAACCAAAACCAAGATTAAGGGGAGATGTGTAGCCTTCATACATTTTATGAAGCTTTCAAGAGAAATTCTGGCTCTTACCAAGATTATTCTTTACTTATCCACTAAAAGTCAACAATCAGAAAACAATTAAGTTTTCAGTGATTTTTTTAGTAGTGCATTTTAGCAGAATTGCAAGAGCTAAGCAAAGGACACTTGGGTATCTCTCAAGGAAATGGTATCTTTTGAGTAACGTAAGAACTAAAGACTCTTCAAGATTATTTTCCATATGAGGTATCAGAGTACAAATATCAGGAATCTTAACTGCTATTATCATCCTTAGTTATAAGTTACAAGGTGAGGAAGAAAAGTAAACTCAACTGAGTATTAATTTTCAGTAAGATGCAGAGAAATTAAGGACAAAACAAAAACATTGTTGCAGTAGCATAGATAACAAATATATTCAATGTTATATTTATTTATTTTTAAGCATATCTTGTAACACTTAATATATTATTAAAGTACTTAATTATAGGCAGGAGAAACCAATTGGTTACTTAGGGCAGAGAATAAAATTATTGAAATGATATCAGAGTATAGGGCTGTATTAGTTCGTTTTCACACTGCTATAAAGAACTACCCAAAACTGGGTAATTTATAAAGGAAAGAGGTTAAATTGACTACAGTTCAGCATGGCTGGGGAAGCCTCAGGAAACTTACAATCATGGCAGAACATGAAGGGGAAGAAAGGCACCTTCCTCACAAGGCAGCAGGGAGAAGAATGAATGCAGGAGGAACTACCAAACACGTATAAAACCATCAGCTCTCATGAGAATTCACTATCACAAGAATGGTATGGGAGAAACCTGCCCCCATGATTCAATTACCTCCACCTGGTCTCTCCCTAGACACGTGGGGATTATGGGGATTATGAGGATTACAATTCAATATGAGATTTTGGGTGGGGACACAGCCAAACCATATCAATGGCATAGAACAGAGAGCTCTGCAAGAGCCTCCAGATTGTAACAACAGCAACCACTCCTGAGGGAATGGGGAGTAAAAACAGGTGAGTCTGAGTGTTGCAGCTTGTCATGAGAGGCAGCCCCTAAGGCAGAAGACACCAGAACCATTCCATCATTCCTGCTCTTCTTTGTTCTCTGTGACAGCATTGGTCTCTGTTAGCAGAGAGCTCCAACGTGGGCTATAAAACAAAAAAAGTAGAGACTTGAAAGGGAATGTCATTTATATCCTAACAACAAAAACAAGTGAGATTATCTACAAGATCATAGATCTTTAATGGCCATAAGTGTGCTGAAGATGAAAAGAAGCCAAATGAGTTAAAGTCTAGAAAGCAATGACTCCTCATTAGTGGCTTGAGTCTTTGGTGGAGAAGTGGGAATAGGAGAAAGTCACTTTAGACATAGGTAAGAAGAAAATAGCTAAAATTTTAACTAAGTTTTAAGCACCAACTTGGGGATGGCATGAGACTTTAGAATCCCCAGTGGGACTTAAAAAAAGGTGAGTCTGCACATCTGTTACCTCTTCCACAGGCCTTTATCAAGTGTTAGGGAAGAATATAAAGAGCAGAAGAAGTGAGAAAGACCCACCTCACTCTGAAGCACAGGTGTGCTGGGCCTGCAGAAGGTTGGGGGAGGGCAGGGAAAAGAACTAGAGAAATGCTCTAGGCCCTCTGGGCCCTACATTCATTAACATTGGAATTGAAGCAGAGATATTATAGATCGTAGTGACAGTAAAAGGATAATAATGAGATATGAACAATTTTATGCAAATAAATGTGATAACTTACATAAAATGAATAAATTCTTTGAAAGAAAACTTACATAACGACACAAGAAATAGAAAATCTGAATAGCATTATATCTATTTTAAAAAATGAATTCATCATTCAAAAGTGTTCTATAAGATTTCCATTTCAAACTATCGTAGAATAACAAGGACTATTCCCCACCCCATCCCCAGAAGAGTAGGTGGAATAATTCTCACAGATTGCACAAGGCTGTGAATTGTTCATGTTCCAACCAGTCAAAGCGGAAAGACCTCATAATCCATGGTGTATTGAGTAGCTGCTCAGAATCCTCCTAGAAATAGAACTAAATCAGCCCTAGACTGAAAGGTACTCTGGATCCTCACTAACTATACATAAAAGCAACCCTCAAAAAGAATAAACTGATCCCAAAGAACATGGCTGCATTCCAGAAATTAAAAAAAAAGCTGTTTAAAGGAATGTAACAAAATTCCACACCCTACAACATAAAATTCATAATGTCTAGCATTCACAACTGCATTCCAGAAATTTTTGAAAAACACTATTTAAAGGAATGTAACTAAATTTCACACCCTACAACATTGAATTCATAATGTCTGGCATTCAGTCAAAAATTATCAGTTATATATAAAGAAGATGGAAAATATAACCCAGAACCAAGAGAAACAGATCAATAGAAACAGATCACAAAATAGGAGAGATAATAGAATTGGCAAACAAAGACCTTAAAATAGCTATTGTAAATATCCTCAACCTGTTAAAAAAATGTAGAGAAAAATCTGAGCATGATGAGGAGGGACACAAAAGATACTATCTAACCAAAAAGAAAACAAAACAAACAAAAAACAAATGGAACTCCTGGAGATTAAAACTATAATGTCTGAAATTTTAAAAAATATACAAGATGGGGCTAATAACAGATTGTACACTTCAGAATAAAAAAAATTAGTGAACTTGAAAACATAGCAATAGAAACTATCACATATACAGCACACTATAAAAGCAAACTAAATATGGCCTGGAAAGGGCTTCATACTTCTATGTTTGAGTCCTTGTGGATGAACTGTAACCTAACTTAATAGGTAGACAATATTGAAAACCTAACTTAAGAGTATGCACCTATAACAATAGCTGAGTCTTGGCCAATTGCAGCAGCCATACTTCAACCACTGTTACAGTGCTGAATGCTTGAACTGTGTTCAAATAAGGCAAAGGCCAAGCTGTAAACAATCCAATTGTTTCTGTACCTCACTTCCGACTTATGTAGCTCATTTCCCTTTTGTTGTCTATAAATCATCTTCCACCACGTGGCTGTGGGGGAATCTCTCTGAATCTGTTGTGATTCTGGGGGCTGTCTGATTTGTAAATCATTCATTGCTCAATTAAACTTTAAATTTAATTCAGCTGGAGTTTTTCTTTAACATATGGTGTCAGAAGTGGGACCCAAACTAGAGCTTCTAACGAGCCCCAGGAGCACTGAGTGAACAATCAAGGCACCTGCCAGAACCACTTGTGTCCTTTGATTTCTCAGAGTAACTGGGGATTGTGGATAAGTTCTCTCTCGGATTTCAGAGCTCCACGGATTTGTGTTGTGAGCTCTCTGAGTTTCTTCAAGCAAATTTCTGATCCAAACTGGGTTTGGAAGTCATGACAGGAACTGGACTAGATCCAGGATCAGGTTTGATCTGGTAATTAACTGGCTTGGATCCAGTTAGAGGCCTCATATCTGACTGGGTCAGAAAGAAACTGGTAGTAAACGGTAATATTGCAGGGGTTGTAAAACTTGGCTTTTAAAAATTCACAGGGATTTTCTGTGTTCTGCTCCTTTGTTTCGTTTTTCTTGCATGCTTAGGTAGGAAAAATCATTGGCTAAGTTCAAGGGAACCTAAGAGCAAAGCCAATATTTCAGGTAAAAACGGGATCCTTAATTTCTGGAAAACTGAGTTCCTTTGGCTTATACATTAGGCCCAGGAAGTAGTAAAGTCTTAAAGAAATGACAAAATCTTACTAAAGATAAATTACAGTGGAACATTCTGAATGAACAATGCATGGAAGTGCATTTAGACTCATCCAAGGATGCCTATTAATAAGCAGAAACTTCTAAAAAGGTTTCAATATTTTTACTTAAAGACTTTATGAAATGCAAAAAAAACCTTAAGCGACTGATTTAAAAAATTAAATCTGCTATTTTTAGCTTAGTTACTATCCCAATCCAAAGGAAGTAGACTGCAGCACCAATTGGCTGACTTTGGATAAGTAACGGGGTACATTTTACCTGAGTAAAGCATAGGATTGGGTTAGAGGCCCTTTCCTCAGTAAAGTTCCTTTTGGTTAGAAATGGATTAAAGATGATGAGGCCCAACGGGGGCAAGTTTAAGGCTTGCTGGTTTGATATCAGGTGCCAGGCAGAGTGGCTAATGTCTATGTTTTGTCACACATATTTTGCTCTGGCCAGAATGGAAAATGTTAATTTGGTTACCCCATGCAAACCCTTATTCAGCATCTTGCAAAACTGAGAGGATTTTGCCTGCAGTTCCATGATTTTCCTTACTAATGTAGCTTGGGCCCTGGAGCTATGGTGTGGTGCGCAGGATCACTAGTGCCACTCAGGGAAAGGGAACCCAGAAATCTGACATGCCAGCAAAAGGATAAAACATTCTTACAAGTCAGATTTCTGGCCTCTCTCTCTCTCTGTGTAAACCGGCTGAATGAATGGTAAAAATCAACATTTATCTCTTCTGTAAAGTTTTAACTAATGGGGAAAAAGGATTCGTGAGGCTAGTCTTAAGCTATAGTGACTCTGATGGGCTTTGTGTTATTATTTTGTCATAAAGAGGGGTACTTTAGGATATAATGCAGGCCTAGTAACCCTCTAAGCCCACTGTTCAAGATGGCCCAGCAAACTGGTCAGTAACAAACTTTGCTGCAGGTCTCTGAAACAACAACAAAAACTGCATAAAGTTTCCTTCTCATCTTGTTTCATGTCCTTGGGAGCTTGATCTTGTAACTATGTGGCAGTACTTTCTCTTGGTCTCTATCATCACAATGGCAGCCCTGGTTCAGGGTTCAATTCCTGGCTTAGGGAATGAGTCCTTCCTGGTTTGACATCTGTGTGACCTTTACCATTTGTTGATTCTCTTCCCCTCCATGAAGCATCTTACATTTTCCTTTCTCTGAGCACAGAAATATGGGCTGTTTGGCCTGGCTTAAGTCAGATAATAAAAGATGTAAAAGAACTTTTCTTTCTTTAAAGAGCACTGTGGTTAAAAGTCAGCTTAATTAAAAGTGGGTATTCAAGCTCTAAAAGATTGGGACTCCTTGGGAAAAACAGAGGAGGTGCCACAAACCCTGTTTTGGGAAAAACTTTTGTTTCCTTCATGAAACCCCAGGAATTGAAAGTGAATACATCCCCTCTCAAAATCTAAGGCTCTGTTCCATTTTCCATTGTATTATCTGATGTTTTTTACTTTGGGGTATCAGAGATTACTTCACATTATAAGAGAGCTTTAGTGTGTAATAACTAGGGAGAAAATATACTTTTAGGGATGGGTTAATTGCAAAATGGGTTCATTGGTTTGGGTTGCCATGCAATAAAATGCACAGTAAAAGCATGGCACTATCTTCTCTTGCAGCACTTCTCTTTTTTTGGAGATCTAAGATCTGATATAAAAATGGGATCCTTTCTTTTTTTTTTTTTTTTTCGAGATGGGGTCTCGCTCTGTCACCCAGCACCCAGGCTGGAATGCAGTGGCGCAATCTTGGCTCACTGCAATCTCCACCTCCTGGGCTCAAGCAATTCTTGTGCCTCAGCCTCCCAAGTAGCTGGGATTACAGGTGTGTACCACCACACCCAGCTAATTTTTGTATTTTTAGTAGAGACAGGGTTTTGCCATGTTAACCAGGAAAAATGAGACCCTCAATTTTGGGGATCTGTTTCTGTCTTCCAACTGTGCTTGCTTATTAGGCCCTAGAAACTGTATGTTTTCCTAGCCCTGTTCCTTGAAGGCATCCATGCTGAGGCCGGTAATCCAATTAAGAAACTAGCAAATAAAAAAATATTACAACTACTGGATCTTCTTCTGTCTGTGTAGTTATCTATGTGTTGTGTATGTGATGTTTATATAAAAGAGCTCTAATTAATGGGCTTAAAGAAAAATAAGCACTAATCAAATATTTTGAAAGAAAATTAAGAACTGTAACACCTTTTAGTCCATGTAATTTTAGTAATCTTTGGGAATTAAAAAGTTTTAAAGATTATTGGTAAAATAAAGACATTTGGTCTAAATTAGGAAGGTCAGGTATAAGGCTTACTAAATACTTTAAGGTCGTAAACTGCTTTGACTTTTGAAAATTGTTCAATTTACCTACCATGGAGATTAAGACTCTCAATAAGGCCTGGGGAAACGTGGAATTAGCCATCCCCCTAGCTATGCAAAGGTTATAGAGAAAAAAGATTTTATATAAGAAAGGATCTTCTATGGTAAATTCTTGTCCTAAAGTAAAATAACCATTGTTTAAAAAGAAGGGTGTTTAGGAGAAGTCAGAAAGACCAAGCATGTCATAGATGGTCTGTGTAAGTCATGAAAGGATTTGTGAAAGGAAATTTATGCACCAAAAGTAGAAGTTGCTCAGAGTTACTAATATAACATGTAATTGAGACTACTGAAAAAAATAGTTTTATATGCAAGGTGTGTAAGGAGAATGGAATGTGTTTTTGGTAAGAGATTATAAGAAGGCATAGGAATGTAAATTTTTGCCTTGTTTAGAGGGTTAAAGGATTGTTTTAAATTAGGTAAGATAAACCTAAAGGCTTGAATAAGTTGTGGAAGGGTTGTAAAAATTAATCTTGTAAAAGAAATTATGTGTGTGAATATTTTGACTAAATTTGAAGGGGCATTATTTGGTTTTTCCACAAGCTGAACATCAAAATGAAAGCATAACAAGGTTTTGTTAAAGCACTGACCTGCTCTTTAACAAAAATTTGTAAAGGGTTATAAAAGGTTTAGGAGAATCTCACCATATGGTCAAACTGATTAAAATTGAATAAATTTGTCTATATGGTTTTATTATATATTTAGGTTGACATTAATAGTATTTTAATGCAAGGGTGAAATTTGGTTTTCTCTTTTGAACAAGATTTTCATGTAATATTAAAAGATAATGAAAGATTTTTTTTTTTTGCCTTTTGAATAAACCACCCCAAAAAGGAAGGGAAAGATAAGAGACAGTTTGTTTGGAAAGCTGACTTTCCTCTGTCAATGAGTAAATGTTTCTGCCTTTTTTAAAAAATTTTGAGTCTTTATTTTGGCTAAATGAATGACTTATTGTAACCTGGAATTCTGTTTCATAATATGAAGTTAAATATCAATATGTTAAACCTTTAACATATTCAATAGGCTTACCAAAATCAAATTTCAGCTTCAAAACCGTCTTTTCTGACCTCTTAACTTTGAGATGATACAGAGGGCCGCTGAAGCATCCAAAAAAGAAGTAAACAGGATTATTTGACATGTTAGGTTACATAGGAAGCATTGTCAAAATAAAATAATGTTTAATCTTCTTCAGGTTTTATTTTAGTGAATGATAATATATATTCCAAAATTATATGGGATTTCTAAAATTTTAATATGTCTGAGTATATGCTATCAATCATAATTATGGTTACTATGTTAGGTTATTGTAGACCACAGAAATAACTGATTTCCTTTTCAGTTATTTCTTTAACTATGGCTATTTAAAGTCATTTCCACAGTTAATTGCTTAATGCTGATGCAGTTTCTGAAAACTTCACATGCATGCAAAATCCTAGAATATAGTTTATTTTAGGAGATTCATGAAAGGATGGAAAGGACCCTGAAAAGCACTCTTGAATACAGGTTTCTAATAACTTTAAAATCATATTGTGGAAAAGAATTCCCCATGGACTCCCCAGTTCCCCAAAAATTGGACTGGATAGGAATTCCTGAAACTTTAATGAAAAGACTGACTGATTTATAAAACTTCTAACCCAAGTAGAACAAAAATTAACTGAATACCAAAGAAATACTTTGCTAGTTTTTCATGCTAAATTAGCCAATACATAATGGTTTAGATATACAATTTGAATGAACTCCATGGTCTACATCAAATTACCTATGATAACCCATCAGTTATCAGTGCTATCACCTAATTTGGAGAAACAACTGGTATTTAAGAGGATATAAGTCTAATGTTAATTAAGCATGGACTCATGGAGAACCAGGACAGCCACCTTGTCCTTTCTGAGTTCTTAAAACTTTTGTTATTAAAAGTTCTGCATTCCGTGACTCATCACGGAAAATATAAAATTATCCAAATTAAATATATTGGTATGGTGATTTATAAATTGCTAAAATAGTTTATAACCAATGTTTGGCTTATCAAATCCATATCCCTGGGAAGATAATCAAGGCTTCAGGTACATATGGCTACCTGATGGGCCATTTAAACTTTTATAAAGGGATTTCATTCAATTGTCATTTTCAATGCATGTTATCTGGTTGTAAAAAAACTCTCCCATGCAAGACGGCTGATGTTATAACAGTAGATTATTATGCCACAGTATATTTTCACCAGGTAAAGAAAGCTTTTTATAATTCATGGAGGACAATCAACCCCTTCACAATCTAGAACGCAAAGATTGGATCTTCTGAGAACATCAGAGAAATACTACCCTTGCCATTCACACTGCAACAAAACTTTGAAACCTTGAACTTTGAGTTCATTATCTCACAACTGAAAAGAGTCCCTCCACACTCTTGGAACTGTACATCCATTGAAACCCCTAAGGTAAAGTTAACCAGGAAAGTTTCTCCCCAGAGAAGGTGGCATCCTTGATATGAACAGCATTCCCAAGATCAAGACTTCTCTACTATCATGAGACTTTTATCTTTGAATATTTTTTCCTTGTTTATGCCTCTAGTTTGCTTTTATAGTGTGCTGTATATGTGATAGTTTCTATTGCTATGTTTATAGTCCTAGCTACTCAGGAGGCTGAGGTAGGAGGATCATCTAAGCCTGGGAGGCAGAGGTTGCAGTAAGCCTAGATAGCACCAGTGCACTCCAACGTGGGTGACAGAGTGAGACCCTATGTCAAAAAAAAAAAAAAGGAAAAAAGGATAGCACAACATACCCATTAGAATGGCCAAAATTCAGAATACTGAGAACACCAAATGCTGACAAGGATGTGGAGCAACTAGAACTCACTCACAGAGGATTTTTAGGACTGTGAAAGTATTCTATATAGTACTGTAATGGTGGATACATGTCAATGAACATAGAATGTACATGTCAAAACCTATAGAATATAGAGCATCAGGAATGAGCCCTGGTGTAAACTACAGCTTTGGGTGATAATGATGTGTCACAGAAGTTCATCAGTTGTAATAGATGTACCATTTCAGTACGGGGTGTTGATGTTTGGGGAGGATGAGGTGGGGAATGGGTGGGGAGATATGTGAGAACTCTCTGTACTTTCTCCTCAGTTGTGTGGTGAATCTAAAATTGCTCTAAAAATAAAGTTTATTTAACGAAATAGAAAGATAGTAAACTTAAACCTGATCATATAGGTAATTCTATTAAGTGCAAATTGTCTAAAATTCTAAATTAAAAGTCAGAGTTGTCAGATTAAAAAGCAAGACCCAACTATATACTCTATACAGGGTACTCACTTTAAATATAATGGCACAGATAGGATAAAGGAATGAAAACAAATCATAAGAAAACTAGAGTGGCTACATTCATGTTAGACAAAGTAGTCTCCAGAACAAGAGATATTGCCAGGTATAAAGAAGCATATTTTGTAATGACAAAAGTTCTAGCACTTTGTAATCGCAGCACTTTGGAAGGTTGAGGCAGGTGGATCACTTGAGCCCAGGAGTTGAAGACAAGCCTGGACAACATGACAAAGTCTGTCATTACAAAACAAAAACAAAAACAAAAAGAAAATTATCCGGGTATGGTAGCACACACCTGCAGTCCAAGATTCTCAGGAGGCTGAGGTGGGATGATCATCTGAGCCTGGGGATGTTGAGGCCATAGTGAGCTATAATCACACCACTACACTCCAGCCTGGGCTACAGAATGAGACCCTATCTCAAAAAAAAAAAAAAAAAAAAAGTTGGGGGGGACATGAAGTCAGGAAACTAAATGCATATGGAACTAATAATATAGCTTCAAAATATATGAAGGAAAAATGTATAGAATTGAAAAGAGAAATAAAAAACTCTCAATTATAGTTGGAAATTTCAATACTTCTCTCTCAGCAATCATTAAAACAAATAGAACAATCAACAAGGATATAACCTACTTGACCTAATTTACACTTACTCAAACATTCCACCTCAACACAGAAGAAAACATTATTTCCTAGTGCACATATAGCACCCAACAAGATTGACTATATTCCTGGCTGTAGAACAATTCTCAGACATTTAAAAAGATTGAATCATACAAAGTATGTATGTTCTCTGAGTGTGTATGTGGAATGATAAACACCCAAAAATGCCCATGCTCTAATCCCTGGAGCCTGTGCATTAGGTTACATGGGAAATAGGAATTAATGTTGCAGACAAAATCAAGGTTGCTAATCATTTTACCTTAAAATATAGAGATCATCCTGGATTTTCCAGGTAGACCCAATGTAATCCACAAGGTCCTTAAAAGTGGAAGGACTTCAAAGGTCTTCAGGATCCAAGGGTAGGTGTATAAAATTGTCAAAAATGAACAAATTAAATACATAAGGTGTGTGCAATTTAATGTATATAAAGTATATCTCAATTTTAGATACACACAGAACATTTGCAAGGGCTAAACTCTACAGTTAAAACAAATGTTCACCACTGCTACTTCCACTGAGTACAAGATGCCGCAAGTTAGGCCATACAGTTATCAGTGGGCTGTAGAGGCTGCCACTGGATCCACACGTAGCCTTCTTCTATAAACTAGATACAATAACACAGAAGTAATCATCATCTCCTGAGTGGATTCTACAAGGTCCATCCTTCCTCCTTTCACCAGATTTTTGCCAAGGACTCTGGTGAGGGAATTTGATTGGCAGCACCTAGGTCATGTGTCCATAGAAGGGATGCTCAGGACATGAATATCTGACATTTTCAGGAAGCAAGCTCTACTTCTTACCAGGCATTTTTCACACATAAGTCAAAGCTTCAGACATTGAGAGGTCAAGAAGTCTAACAAATATCCCCAAACTTACTTGTAACTTAGTCATGGTGAAAACACTGACCACTTAAAATTTTAAATTGAGTTTCCAAATAAGAACTTTTTTAGAAATACAATGGTACATGTAAACACTGTTACTGAGAATTTTTGTATCAGACTTACCCATTACCCTGACTCCTGCCTGTGGTGCACTTTGAGCTATTCAGGAGCTGAGGATATGGTTAAACCACTTTTTCTTTGTTTACTTTTCTTTGTTTACTTTCATTTTACCCCACTCAAATCTACCTCACGCTACCAAACCACCTCAGTCAGAGGGAGCAAATTGCTCAGTCTGTCTTTTCATCCTCATTGTTTACAGGTTTTACCTTATTTCTAGCCTCTCGAATATACTGTCCTGCCCAGTCCCTATAACCAATCCTCACCTGAGACGGTGTAAAATTTTACCACACCCACTCTCTGGTGCACAAGTGGATCACACTCTCTGCTAGACATTGTTTTGACTTCATATCCCATATCCAACAGCTGTGCTAAAGACTTTAAAGGAAACTAAGGACACTGTACCTTGAACATGGTTCTGGTAAGTCCATCCATTTTATATCCTTAGGCTAATTTTTCTAGGAACTGGAGTTTTGCTTTGGGTTTGGGACTATGTGCAAAAACTCTTCTGCTTTTAACTACAACCATGAAACACCCATAGCTGCCGAGACTACGTTGAGGACACCATGTAGCTTTTTATAAAGGCAGTTGGGCCTTTCAAATATGAAGCCATTTCCACCTTTTGTTTCCCTTTATGCCTATTCTACAAGGAGACCTCAGCCAAACCTAGTTAGGTTCACAGTCATGATGATTATATGAACTAATCTTGCAATGGCTTTCCCTTAAACTTTTCATTCTTTGAGCATGTTATGGTTCAAATGTGTCTCCCAAAAGGCATGTGTTCAAAACTTAATCCCCAAGGCACAGGTGTTAGAAGGCGGAGCATAATGTGAGGTGTTTAGGTAATGAAGGCTCCAATTACATGAAGGGAATCACGCTGATTATAAAAGGGCTTGAGGCTCTGAGTTCAACCTCTTGTTCGCTCTTGCTTTCTCTTGCCCTTCCACCTTCTGCCATGGGATGATGCAGCAAGAAGGCTCTTGCCACAGATGTGGACTTCTTAACCTTGGATTTCCCAGGCTCCAGAACTGTAAGAAATAAGTCTTTATAAATTACCTAGTCTCTGGTATTCTTTATAGAAGCATAAAGTGGACTAACACAGACCACTTAATGATTTTCATTGTTTCATCACAGCAATGATTTTCCACCAGAGTTGTACTGGGACCACCTTCCCCAAAGGATGTTTGAAAATGGGTGGAGGTATTTATTGATAACACATTGATGGAAGGTGTTCCTATCACTTAGAGAGTAGAACCAGAGATACTAACTGTCCTGCAGTGCTCAGCAAAGAGTTACACAATAAAGAATTGTCCTACCACAGATGCCAAGAATCACAATTTTTAGTCAGAAAAATCCCAAGTCAAGTCTAGCTTCCATCAGATTGAGTCTTGGGAAGGATACTAAATCTCTCTCTGAGTCTTAGTTGTTTTTATAAAACTCTCCTTAAGAATAAAATAATAGTATTTATCTCAGATTTTGGAAGGAAAATTGAACAATTATACGTGCCTTGTTTAGCAGAATGTCCACAATATGGTAAACAGTAAGCATTGATATATTAATTGTAATATTAGGAACATCAGTAGAAGAGAGAGTATTAATTTTAGAGAGTAGATATGAAAAGTATCAAAAGAATATTGCACCTAATATTCAGTTTGGAAATACAGAGGGATTCTGGATGACAAGCATCATATGTATGCTATTCCCATTTGAGAAAAATACAATATAGAGTTTTTTCTTAATCCAGAGTAAACAATAATGTAATCTGAATATTTTCCTTTACGCTTCAAAAATATTCTTTTTTATATTACTTGTTATAATTACAAAAGAGGGTTACTTTTGTCTTTCACAAAACATCCAATATTCATTATAGCATCTCTGGAAAAAAAGAGCTGTAGCTTCTATCGTACTCACCACCTTGTCTATCCAGATTAAGAAAGCAATCAAAATGGTTCAAAACTAGATGAACATCAATCACTGTCATATGCACATACAGAGCTAAGAAAATGCTATACATACTGATTTTTTTAAGTTGACAGTGAATAGGGAATAGCAATAATGAGAGAGGCTGTGCATGTGGAAAATAGGAAATCTCTATTGTTTCCTGTCAATTTCTCTGTGAACCTAAAACTGTTCTAAATAATAAAATATTTTTAAATAAATCTGTTATGTAAAAATATAAAGCTCAATAAAGTTGCTATATCTAAAAATTGAATGCTGCCTTGATGGCATGGGAAACAACTGGAATAAAAAGTGTCTTTTACTAATATAGACACTAATTAATGGTGAAGCATGCTCTTTTCATGTTCTTAAAAGAAAGAAGCATATTACTTGATCTTTCTGTAAAACTTGCATACACTACATTAAAAAGAAACTTGAACCGGGCATGACTTACTTATTATGAATGGCACACTGAGCCTGATTTAGAGTAATAAGCATACTGTCATAGGCATAACTCATTGCCAGAAATATATAAAATTTCCTTTCCTGCAATTATTACAATATATTCTCCAAGCAAATATGGTTTCAAGCATCAAGAATCTTCCCAAATTTCACCATCAAATATTTCACAATTAAAACATTAAATACATTTACTAAAAGAGATCAAGTAGTAGTATAATCCATCCTAATTCTTTTTTTTTTGAGACAGAGTCTTGCTCTGTCACCCAGGCTGGAGTGCAGTGGTGTGGCCTCAGTTCACTGCAACCTCTGCCTCCCATGTTCAAGCAATTCTCCTGCCTCAGCCTCCCCAGTAGCTAGGATGACACGCATGCACTACCTTACCCAGCTAATTTTTGTATTTTTAGTGGAGACAAGATCACCATGTTGGCCATGCTGATCTTGAATTCCTGACCTCAAGTGATCCTCCCGCCTCGGCCTCCTAAAGTGCTGGGATTATAAGCATGAGCCACCTGGCCTGGTCCATTCTAATTTATTATTTTATTTTATTTTATTTTATTTTATTTTATTTTATTTATTTTATTTTGAGACAGAGTTTCACTCTTGTTGCCCAGGCTGGAGTGCAGTGGCGCCATCTCTGCTCACTGCAACCTCTGCCTCCCAGGCTCAAGCCATTCTCCTGCCTCAGTGTCCCAAGTAGCTGAGACAACAGGCACCCACCCCCATGTCTGCTTGAACTCCTGGGGCTCAAGCAATCAGATGCCTTGTCCTCCCAAAACACTGTGTTTATAGGCATGAGACACTTGCACCCGACCCCCTTTCTATTTTTAGAAGGCAGTGTGAAACAGGCTCACCGTACACCAGTATCAGTCCCAGGGGAGGACTCTGCACACCTTGCCAATGCCATGCACTAGTATCAGTCCACTTGCGTGAGACTGGTGAGATAGAGCTCACACAACAAATTAAGCAAAGCAACTTTATTACCCACAGGTAGGCTGCAAGGGACAATAGAAGTCTAGGATTCATGGCAAGCTGGTCCTTTAAGGCTCAGGAAAGCTGCCCAGGGCTGATGGAGTCTCATCTGCACATGCCACATGTGACACTGCAGCTGAAGTGCCCCCTAAAGGCACTTCATTCTGGGTTTTATACTGGGGATCAACTTAACACACTGGGTAAAAAGTGTTGCTGGACATTCTACTCTAGGAAGGACAAGAACAGAGCCCCGCCTGCTCAGTTCCTCTTTATCTCCGGATGTTACATTCCTTGCACATTCTACAGTTCTTCTTGAGAATTAAAACCAAGAAAGGTGGGGAAGAACAGGGTCACCAAGGCCAACTGGGGTCTTGTCCTGCAGGCATATAATTTCAGAAAGTACTACTATTAATATACGCACCCAGGTTAAAATGTAGTACTGCATAATGCTATACCTGCCAATCCTAAATGAACAGACACGGAGGCAGCAGGGACAGAGGGCATAGTACAATTTAAGGCAAAAAATACATATATATCAAACTTCAACATGTGAAATATCTATCTGCATTTATAGAATAAAAAATAGATTAATATTTTTCATGTCAAACATGATGTCTATTTAAAACGAAATAAACTTAGCATCCAGAATATTTAAACATTATTATGATATGAAACACATTTAAATTATCTGCTTTTTTTCTTATTTTCAGTAAGATTTTCATTATGAAAGACAAGGGCTTCATGATACACACTGATATTCATAAATCAGTAATTTACTAGCATCTTGTCCCTTTACTATGTACTTTCCATCTGACACAAATTTTTCAACACCATTGGCTTGTTCTTAATAAGTTTGTAAAATAATATTATTAATAGGGAATAAGTTGATTTTTCATTATATAGTATAAAACACGTATATAAAATATGCACATCCTTGTATATTTTTATCATGTGCTTTATAGAAATATGCAGCTTTAAAATTTCTTTTACAGGAATTTCATTCCCTTTTAGATATTCTGGCAATTTGACACTAATCCTGTACCTTAGAAAGTACAACATAGGCCTGACAAGATTTAATATGATCTAAAGGAATCAAAGCTAAACTCCAAACTCCAAAAACTAGTGGTAAAAAGAGAAAGGTAATAACATATCATGAACTAGAATTGTAAGATAGCTGACGGACCCCTTGCAAAAACACAAGCAATAGAATTTTTTCCTACAGAACATCTGAATAGCAGGCTCAAAAAAAGAAGTTTTGTTTCTTCTCTACTTCTTTTTGTATTCAATCTATTAAATTAAATTACTATTTTTTAATAATTATTATACATTTCCCTGCACACACTGCTATGGTTGCTACAGAGGCTTTTCAAGAGAGAAACTGATTATAACAACATATACAACGACATGAAAAAACTGATGCTCAGAAATGATGCCAATCTAGTAGATAAACCTGCGAACTGAGCACACTGAGTGACTACAAAATCAACCACACTGCTGTGCATTTATTTTAGTATTGCTAAAAGATATATAGACTAGTGTGAAAAATTATTGCTAGTTTCATTATTATCTTTGTTATTTGTATGGAAATATAACAATGCATTATAGTCGCATTTAACACATAGTATTTGGAAGAAAAGAGGAAAAGAAATCAAAGGGCAAGGAAGGAAAGGGGAGGAAAGAAGGCAAAGAAGAGAAGAAAGGCTGGAAGAAACTGAGCATTCCGCAGACATAACCTCCATCCATTCTTATAGGATAAGAAGCCTATAATTGAGAGATATTATTGTCCATATTTTATATATAAGAAAACTGGTTAGGACATATTATCTTTCCCAAAGTAAATATATTACAAAACTGGCATTTAAATCTAGGTTTTTGCTGAATCCAAAGTCCATACTCTTTTCTCATCCCCTGGATACCTCCTCCGGCCACCTACTTTTTGACTTAGGAATAATGTCAATGCATGCGAAAAACCAAGTTCTATCCAGTGGGGAAGATTGAGCTCCTTCTGATAAATTCTGCATTAGGCAGTCAGTTGACTATTGGATGAGTGTCTAACCATTCCACAATGATTTTTTCTCTCTCTGACCACAGCAAGTGACAGAGAGATTTCTCACCTTCTAGTTAGTATCCATTAGCAAGCAACACTCTGGAAGTCTAGTCCTCATGAAACCACAATGCAACAAATGTGTTGAAGATAATGCACAGCCAAGCTTAGAATGCTTCACCTCCTGCCATTTTCTCCCTCTGGGTTCATCACCCATTGTTATCTATTATTTATATTGCATCATAAAGTGTAACTTTATTGACGAGGTAAAGCCTGTGTCAGAAAGGTCACAGACTTAGTTCACTTCCTGTGCCTTCAGCAATTCTTTAATTCATGCGCTTTTTAAAAAATTAATCAATATGTTTTTTGAGTGCCTAATTGAGTGGAAAACCCATCAACATTTAATGAAATTGTTGAACCATTTTCATATACATAAGAAATATATAAACCTAATTAATATTTGGCTAGAGTAATAAACTTTAACTTCTAAAGAACTTTGTCCATTTTAGAAGTAGTCTCCATATTGAAAGATGAGCCGAAGTGTCACCAAGGTGTCACAGACCTCAATAGCAGAAGCAAAAGTCAATTATCATTCAACATTTTGAGTTCAGTTCAGGTGAAACAACACACATTACTAAAAAATAATGCTATTCCCTAATCCTAATATTGACCCCATAAATCAGGGTGGAACTGTCTCCCTAGAAGGCATCCTAAAATGTAGAGGGAATGTGCTATACACAACTAGTGACTGGGGCGTCAGTGAGGGTTGGGAGTGAGGAAAAATGAAAATTATTTGGCAATGTGCAGGACAGTCCTTTACAAGAAAGAATTGCCCACCCAATGTCAATAGCACCCAGTGAAAAATACCACATCGGCCTATTTAAAAAAACAAATAGAACATCATTAGCCCAATCTACATTATATTTGGCTTTCATGATGCCTTAAAATAAATTTAAATAGAGTATGTGCATTTCAGGATGACAGATACTTGTCACTCTATTTTCTTAAACCTATCTTTGTGGCTCAATTAAGTTATTTGTCAGTCCCCTAAATGCATTTAAAGATGAAAACTCCTAAATCCTGATTATTATACCAGTATGTAAATGGATGACTCCATCCAGATTGGGCAAATGATACATTCTTTAAAACTCTCTTAGTTCTGTACATGTAGACCAATCAGAGATCCCAAAATCTTGAGCAGTTCATTTTTCCTCATTAGAACTCAGGAAAGAGAATATAAAATCAACAAAATTATTGAATTATATGCAGATTTAAGAAAGTTTTAAAAATTGAGTTTTTCCAAAGCCTCCAAAAAGTGTTCTACAACTGTTCTACAGCCCCTGAAAGCTCCCTTATAGAGAGAGCTAAAATGTATTAATTTTCTTCTTTGTCAAGTCAGACTTTATATCTACAAATAAAAAAGTATTTTTTATGTGAACTTCAAATACGAGAATTGTTTTGTTAGTGTCAAGTTTTATTGCAAGTTCTCAATTATGTGCTGTAATTTATTGATCTGGATTATAAAATGATTTCTCAAATCTGTGATAATTGCTAAATTCTTTGGTTTAACCTTATTTCATTGTTTTAATTTTAAATTTCAATTGTAAAAGAGGTTCTTTGAGACAAATGAAATGATAAAATCCTAACGTTTAAGATGTTTGTATTATAAAATCCCTTGACAAAGCTAAACCATATCCTTTTTCTGTGACCTTTATAATCACAGTTCCTTACCAATGGTAATCTCTGACTTTTGACAGAATGCAGATCAACTCTGTTCATTTTTTTTAACTTAGAAAGGCATTATATGCTATATACTCTTTGGGGTCTGGATTCTTTTGGTCAATATTATGATAATAAGATTTATCCAAATTGCCAGGAAATTAACTTTTAATACATAATAGAGCTGTCCCATGACCACCTGCATCATAATTATCTGGGAATGCTTCACTTTTAAAAAGGCAGGGACCCAGGTCCCAGCCTAGGCCTAGAGAATCTAAAACTCTGGGAGGAGGAAGGAGATTAAGTCCAAATCTCTACCTTGTATAAGCTCCTCTACTAATAATTTTGCCTATCAAAGCTTTAGATTCTACACTAAAAACTTAATGCTTCTATTCACTTTCTTAATTCTAAGATAATTTTTACCAAAGACTTTTTGTTAGAGAGGCTGTTCTTTTTATGGCATCATAACAATTATAGAGATACTTCAGACCCAAAACTGATTAGTTGTACTTTTAATAGTTTTAACAACCTGCAAAATCCAGTAATAATTTTTTTCCAAATTCAGTATCTTAGCACATGTATTTCTTAAGAGAATCATTCCATAGTCTTAAAAATTTTAGTATCACAAAAAATTAGACAGATTTATTAATTCCACAACATATATATACTTCAAAACTTCATGTATATGATAAATACCTACAATTTTATGTGTCAATTTAAAAAAACAAAAACAAAATTTTACAATATCTGTTTGTGGTGTGTTTTTAATTTTTTCTAAAATGTCTTCTGCCTTTCATTATGCAGTCATTAAGTGCTTGAAATCGAATAGAACCAAGTTAATTGTGATGGTTGTCTTAAACCTACATGTAATATAATGACAGTTTTACTATTTAAGGACCATGCTTTCTAGTAAAATTAGGATGAAAAAACAGTAGAGAAACATGCAATGAACCTAACAGTGATGAAACTTATCTGGGGCTCATTGCTATAGGATGTATTGTCTTTCTCCTAAAAAGAAAAGTGGCAAGAGAAATTGTATTTCAAATATCCCTTGATAATTCAAAAGATGTAAGAACTTGCTGAAATGTCATGGTCATTCGCTTGTGGCTAACATTAGAAGCGTTAAATCACAATTAGATTTAACACATATAATCAGGCTGGAGGAGACTCTAGTAGCCTCCAGTAAAGACTCTCTCTCAGCAAGATCTTGTACAAATATCTCTCTGATGACACCATCGTCATATTAAGTATGAGTGAATTTCAGAAGCTCATTGCTGCCTCTTCAAACAAACTAGTACTTGCCGAATGGTATGAGCTTTTTAAAGATGTCCTTAATCTGTTTCTTTTTCAAGACATGTCAATTTGTTTCTGAGGGAGACTCTTCAATGTGACAGAACCCACATATGGTTCTTTTTATTCCCAGATACTTCATTTATTTATTTGTCTATTTATCTATTTACTTATTTTTATTTCAATAGCTTTAGGGGTACAAATGACTTTTGGTTGAATGGATGTATTATACAGTGGTGAAGTCTGAGCTTTTAGTGTACCCATCACCACCTGAATAGTGTACCTTGTACCCAATAGGTAATTTTCCATCCTTCATCCTCCTCCCTCTCTCTCCCTGTCTGAGTTTCCAATGTCTATTATACTGTATTTCCCTGTGTACTACTCATAGCTTAGCTCCCACTTATAAGTGAGAACAGCAGTATTTCTTTTTTTGTTCCTAAGTTGTTTCACTTGGGATAATGGCCTCCAGTTCCATTCCAGTTGCTGTGAAAGACATTCTTTCATTATTTTTTATGACTGAGTAGTATATCATAATATTTATATACCACATTTTATTTATCCACTCATCAGTTGATGGGCACCTAGGTTGATTCCATATATTTACAATTATGAATTGTGCTGTGATAAATGTATGAGCGCAGGTATATTTTTGATATAATTACTTCTTTTTCTTTGGTTAGATACCCAGTAGTATGATTGCTGGAAGACCCCAAAAGCAATTGCAACAAAAACAAAAATAAATAAATGGGATTTAATTAAACTAAAAAACTTCTGCACAAAAGAAATAATCAATAGAGTACATCGACAACCCTATAGAATGGGAGAAAATAGTCACAAACTCTATATACAATAAAGGACTAATACTCAGAGTCTACAAGGAATTCAAACAAATCAGCAATAAAAAAATGAATAACCCCATTAAAAAGTGGGCAAACGACATGAAGAGATATTTTTCAAAAGAAACTATACAAATGGCCATCAAAGATATGAAAAAAAATGCTTAATATCACTAATCATCAGGAAAATGCATATTAAGGTCACAATGAGATACCACCTTACCCCAGCGAAATGGCCATTTTTTTTTTACTTTTATTTTGACTTCAGGGATACATGTGCAGGTTTGTTATATAGGTGAACTTGTGTCTGCGGAGTTGTTGTGCAGACTATCTCATCACCCAGGTATTAAGCCTAGTACCCATTTCTGATCCTCTTCCTCCTCCCAACCTCCACCATTTGATAGGCCCCAGTGTGTGTTGTTCCCCTCTATGTGCCCAGGTGTTCTCATCATTTAGCTCCCACTTATAAGTGAAAATATGCAGTATTTGCTTTTCTGTTCCTGTGTTAGTTTGCTGACGATAACGGCCTACAGCTCCATCCATTTTCCTGCAAAGGACATGTTCTCACTCTTTTTTATGGTGACATAGTATTTCATGGTGTATATGTACCATACTTTCTTTATTCAGTTTATCACTGATGGGCATTTAGGTCAATTCCATGTCTTTGCTATTGTGAATAGTGCTGCAAAGAACATACACATGCAAGTGTCTTCATAATAGAAGGATTTATATCCCTTGAGGTATATGCCCAGTAAGGGATTGCTGGGTGGTCAAATGGTATTTCTGTTTTTAGGTCTCTGAGGAATTGCCACACTGTCTTCCACAATGGTTGAACTAATTTACACTTCCACCAACAGTGGATAAGCATTCCTTTCTCTCTGCAACTTCACCAGCATCTATTATTTTTTGACTTTTTAATAATAGCCATTCTAACTGGCATGAGATGTTATCTCACTGTGGTTTTTATTTACATTTTTCTAATGATCAGTGATACTAAGCTTTTTTTTAAATGAATGGCCACATGTATGTCTTCTTTTGAATAGTGTTCATATCCTTTGCCTATTTTTAATGGAGTTGGAAAACAGCCATTATTAAAATGTCAAAAAACAATAGATGGCACAGATGTGGTGAAAAGGGAACACTTATACACTGTTGGTAGAAATGTAAATTAGTACAACCTCTATGGAAAACAGTATGATTCTTTAAGACTGCAAATCTCAGTGCTAGTATTATGCAAAATGGATCCTAGTTTACACTCTTAGGTCAATGATACTTTTTTTTTTTTTTGAGATGGAGCCTCACTCTACCGCACAGGCTGGAGTGCAGTGGTGCGATCCCAGCTCACTGCAAACTCCACCTCCTGAGTTGAAGTGATTCTCCTGCCTCAGCCTCCTGAGTAGCTGGAATTACAGGCATGTGCCACCACACCCGGATAATTGTTGTATTTTTGGTAGAGACAGGGTTTCACCATGTTGGCCAGGCTTGTCTCAGACTCCTGGCCTCAAGTGATCTGCCTGCCTCAGCCTCCCAAAGTGCTGGGATTACAGGCATGAGCCACCACATCCAGCCAGGCCAGTGATTCTTGACTGGATAAGTTCATGAGTTTTAGTTTTAAATAGTGAAATAGGGTTGCTAAAGTTCAAAGAAAATTTAAAAATATTTTAGAAATGCCAGATTATTCAGACAGTACAAAAATTTTTTTTTGCATGGAAAGCCACTTAAAATAGCTTAAGATAATAAGCTTAAGTAAGCAAATACAGTGTTTACATTTGTGAATCTCAAAAAAACATTGTGCAGTCTTAGCATCACTGGGCAGAAACAATTTTCAAGGGATTCCCTAACTCATTTTCTTGCTTTCATGCAGCAGGATGATTTTCCTAGTTTTCAAGGTATTCAGAAAGAAAGAACCCACATAATAATTTTTTTAAAGAGTTATTTCTTTCCCTCTAATGTTTATATCTAAGACATACCATTCATGAACCCTCGAGGTGGAGGTTGCCGTGAGCCAAGATTGCACCACTGCACTCCAGGCTGGGCGACAGAGCAAGACTCTGTCTTAAAAAAATTAATTCATTTTTTAAAAAATAAAGACATACCATTCATTACTCCATTTTTTAAGCCTTTAATTCTATAACTTAGAGTTATTGTTATATAGACAAAATTCTTCTCTCCCATTATGTCTTCATCTTGGACCACAGAGAAGATAATGCCATTCTCTTGGAGGAGGAATCTTCTGTACTTCTCTTCAGCCCTTACTCTAGTTATCAATGGAAAAGTAGCTATGAGGGCTAGACTCCCTGTGAGGCATGTCCCACGAATTGGGGGTGAGGTTACTTTGTTTCAAAAGCAGGTTAACAAGTCTCATCATTTTGTCTTTGTTTTACTCAGGAATTTTATTCAGTCTTCATGACAAGCAGGCCACAAAGGAAATGACTCTTCAGGATCAAACAATTCTTTGTCCCTGTTCTTGCAGTGTCTTTATCTGTCACTAAAAGGATAAGTCACTTTACGCTTTTTTTTTTTTTTTGTCTTTTTTTTCCTTTTTGTGGAGAACGGGGTCTCACTATATTGCCCAGGCAGGTGTCAAACTCCTGGGCTCAAGCTATCCTCCCGCCTCTTGCCTCCCTGAGAGCTGGGATTACAGGTGTGAGCCACCATGCCCGGCCGGTAAGTCACTTTAATCTTTTGCAGAAGGGCTCATTATCTTCAAGAGAGGGGGAAGCCTCAAAAATGTGGACCTCAAGTCTTAGTCATCTCAATTATAAATATGGAGATAACAATTCCTTATATGATGAACTGTAGAAAATAAATGAAACCATATAAAGTGTGGTGCAAACAATGAAGCACGATACAAATGCATGTTCCTTGGGAATAATTTCTATCATCTAGAAAATAATGGAGTTAGATTAAATTATTTTTAAGGAATCATTACTTTCTAACATTATCTCTAGTCCAGACCTATCTACTGAGACTCAGACCCTTAATCCAATTGCCTAATTATATTTTTACCTAATGAATACACATTAGGTAACCACATAAATACTTAAACAAGCCACCTGGCTATTTCACAGGTCCAAATTCAGCATGTCCAAAAATAAATTCACATCTTTCTTCCTGGTTTTCGGTCAGTGTTCCCTATTTTCATAAAATGTCATGTCATCTACCTGATGACCCAAGTCAGAAACCAGAAAATTATTCTTGACTCCTTTCTCACACTCAAATCCAATTAATCACCAACTGTTGTGAATTCTTCCTCCTAAACATCTTTCAAATTGGTCCTCAGGTCTCCATGTACACTGCCAGCACCCTAGTTCAAGTCACCATTGTCTCTCACCTGGACTATCGCCATCACTTCTGAAAGAGACTCCACAAGTCCCTATTTTCCCCTCTCTCTAAACTTCATCTCACTGGAGACAGAGTGAGGTGAAGTTTAGAATACAAATCTGGCCATGCCATTCTTCTTAAAACACACACAGTATCCTGTTGTTGTTAAGATAAAGTCCAAGTCCTTAACATATCTAAAAATGTCCCGGCCTGATCCAATACCTGTTTCTTTCTGCAGCCTCTCCTTATACCTTGCCAATGCATGATTGCCATTCTCCAATCATTCTGCCTTTCTAATCCCTTGAGAGTCCTATGTCCCTCTCCCTCACTTATGTGCTTTCACAGCTCATACTCATTCTTTAGTTGTTCACTTCAGTGTTACTCTCTCATAGGAGACTTCCCTAATTCCCTCTCACCGCATTTTCAAGTGAAATTTCTTATTATATGCTCACTTAATATGATGTAGTTCTCCTGTGTGGCATATGTCAGATGTAGTGAGTTATGGGGTTTAATGATAAACTGATTATTAATAATAATTAATATGAATATATATTATTATGAGGTTTACTGATAAACTCAGACTTTGTAGGGAGAAAATGTGTTTATCTCAAAATGGCTGTATCTCAGCCATCCTGTGCTTGCCTGGCACACTTATAGATAGAAAGAATTAAAGGATGGAGTGGGGGATGGAGGGCTAGAGGAAGAGAAATCTCATACATCACATTGAATATAAATTAAACATATATAATCCAAACATAGTACCATCATGTTTCTCATGGTGTTTGCTTTTTTTAGAAATAAGTGTGTACAATACAAATAAAGATCTATGACTTCTGTTTCTACCAAATTTTAAAGTCCCCTTATATGTAAACTCAAGGATTTCCTGATTTTTATTGTTGCCTACCAATAATAGATCTTTAATAACAATAATTGTGTGTCAGTAAAATAAAGCCCTTCAAGAATAAATTTTAAAGCCATAATGGTATTTTTAAGGCCATGTACAGTTTTGATGGATTAGGAATAGCATACTAAAAATTAAGAAGGTCTTATCAATAAATTGTTTGTATTAGTTAGGGTAATACTAGCTGCAGTAACAAACCCAAAAATATATGATGCCTCAAACACAATAGAAATTTATTTCGTTTGTCTAAAGTCCAACTTTTTTTCTGAACACCAAAAGACCCTCATCTAAGTAGCAATTCAGAGAGTAAGGGTCTTTTTTTCTGTGACTCCATATTTCCAATATGTGCCTTCCAAGGCCACTGGGCCCAGCTGTGCCAAGCTGGTGAAAGAAGAAAAAGGTTCAAAGGTTGCTTCAGAGTTCTATAAGCCAAACCTGGAAATGGAACCTGTCACTTCTGCTCACATTGCAATGGATAAATCTCCAGTACATGGCTGCAACTGAGTGCAAGGGAGGCTGGAAAGTACAGGTTAACTCTATGACTAAGGAGAGGAATTGGTTTGAACAGCTGGCCAGTCTCCACCATACCACTGCTTCTCCACTAAGATTTCTCACTGGTCTACTCTCAATACACTCACCTCAATTTATTTTTCCTCAAAGTTTATTCTTCAAAGTTGACAATTATGACCAATAACAGAATATTTAAAGTATAATAACATAATTATTATGTACAGCATACAATCTCAACTTTATAATACTTGTATAATAATTTTCTCTTGAATAATAATTTCATGCAAATGAACTCATATCCTTCCCATTGTTAACTTTCTACTTATAATTCTCCCTTTCTAAAAAATAGGAAAAGGAAATAATCTTCATAGGTATATTTATAAAGAAGTATAAAAACAAAGTTAGTAAGAGAATGACTTTAGCTTAGAAACTATTCATTTTATAACAATTGTATAAAGAAACTTGAACGACACAACTTAATTTATGCACATGCTAAATATGAATAATAAAATTAGCACTTAGTGAATGTCAGCTACACTTATCTGTATAGTAATATTCATTTGCATGAATTGAGAATTCTCCATTATTGATACAAGAAAAAAGTGAAACAAAAAGAAGCTACAGAGACTCATAAGTCTTTCAGAATAACTATAATGGAGGAAACACAGATATTCAACAAAGGCTCGTTGTATCCATCTCACTCTTAAGCCAAATTTGATTGCACTGTAACATTGAAACTTGCTTCAGTGAAACTGCCAAACAAATGTTTTTGACACTTCTCAATCTCCTTGGATTTTTTCACATGCCCTACCCAAATTCCAAAAACCTCTTAAGAACCTGAAGTATCTGGAGGCACTCTGGGATGTGATGTCTTATGATAGTACATGAAAGCAATAGTGAAATGTCTACCCATCTAAAACTTAGGTCATGATCTAAAAAATAAACAATTAAGATATTAAATATTTAAATAAATTCAAAGCTTTAAATCTACACAGTCACACAGAGCAGAAGGGTTTATCTAAGTGCAAGGGTGAATCAAGGTAATGTCTGTGATATGACTGCAAAGATTAGATACACAAAAACACCAATTAAGGGAGGCATACAATGCCAACTGAGTCAATTTGAAACATAAACAATTACTCAGTAGCCTAAGAAAGAATGAGAAAACAGGTTGTTTATAGGTGGTCAACTTTGGAGCACAGATAACACCAGAAGTTAGTTTTTGAGCAAGTACAACATAGAGAGAGGGTGCCCTGAACCATTGACTTATGCATTCTGTTTTCTTGTTTATCACACAATTACTTGTGATAATTCTATCCCCATCAAATTGTCTTCTGATTATAATTTAGTTTCCCACATAGCTCTGCCTAAAACGAGATAATGTGTTAGTCATG
Organism: Homo sapiens; assembly: GCF_000001405.40. Lineage (NCBI taxonomy): Eukaryota > Metazoa > Chordata > Mammalia > Primates > Hominidae > Homo > Homo sapiens. The sequence continues at coordinate 91,571,114 of NC_000005.10, read as the reverse complement.
CTAACATGAATAGGTCAGTCCATTTAACAGTCACATTTCTCATTGTTCATAGATGATTTGTTTCTATGCGCTTGATTACCATAACTCTGCTCCTGAGAAATGGATCTACTCTCAGTTTCCAAGAAAAGCAAATTTCTGATCCTAAAAAATCAAGTCAAAAGACCCTAGACTGTGATTATTGAAACATAGTACATTCCATTTTGAAATCCCCTGGACAGCCTGCCAGGCACATAATCAATATCACTTCATTCCAGTTACAATAATGTGGTGGTACTTGCCAGCCAACAAACAAGTACATGAAAATTAGGGCACTCCCAAACACAAAAAATTAAAAATATATAATTGCTGATGTATACCTCTACTTTGAAAAGGTGGCTCCAAATAAAACTTCTAATAAGATATCTTTTTTATGTTGCCCTTAACTCCTTTTTAAAAATTTTGTATTTCCATAGGTTTTGGGGAAACAGGAGGTATTTGGTTACATAAGTAAGTTCTTTTGTGGTGATTTGTGAGATTTTGGTGCACCCAGCACCCAAGCAGTATACACTGAACCCAATTTGCAGTTTTTATCCCTCACCCCCCTCCCACCCTTTCCCCTGAGTCCCCAAAATCCATTGTATCATTCTTATGCCTTTGCATCCTCATAGCTTAACTCCCACTTAGGAGTGAGAACATATGATTTTTGGTTTTTCATTCCTGAGTTACTTCACTTAGAATAATAGTCTCCAGTTCCAACCAGGTTGCTGCGAATGCCATTAATTTATTCCTCTTTATGGCTGAATAGTATACCATCATATATATGTACCAAAATTTCTTTATCCACTCATTAACTGATGAGCATTTGGCTGGTTCCATATTTTTGCAATTGCAAATTGTGCTGCTATAAACATGTGTGTGCAAGTATCCTTTTTGTATATTGACTTCTTTTCCTGTAGGTAGATACCCAGTAGTGGGATCGCTGGAACAAATGGTATTTCTACTTTTAGTCCTTTAAGGAATCTCCAAACTGTTTCTCACGAAGGTTGTACTAGTTTACATTCCCACCAGCGTGTAGAAGTGTTCCCTTTTCACCCTATCCACACCAACATCTATTTTTTTTTATATTTTGATTATGGTCATTCTTGCAGGACTAAGGTGGTATCACATAGTGGTTTTGATTTGCATTTTCCTTGTAATGAGTGATGTTGAGCATTTTTTCATATGTTTGTTGGCCATTTGTTTATCTTCGTTTGAGAATTGTCTATTCATGTTATTAGTGCACTTTTAGATGCAATCATTTGCTTGTTCGTTTTCTGGTTAATTTGTTTGAGTTCCTTGTAGATTCTGGATATTAGTCCTATGTCAGATGTATAGATTGTGAAGATTTTCTCCCACTCTGTGGATTGTCTGTTTACTCTGCTAACTGTTCCTTTTTACTGTGCAGAAGCTCTTTAGTTTAATTAAGTCCCACTTATTTATCTTTGTTTTTGTTGCATTTGCTTTTGGGTTCTTGGTCATGAAGTCCTCGCCTAAGTCAATGTCTAGAAGGGCTTTTTCAGTGTTATCTTCTAGAATTTTTATAGTTTCAGGTCTTAAATTTAAGTCCTTCATCCATCTTGAGTTGATTTTTGTATAAGGTGAGAGATGAGGATCCAGTTCATTCTCGTACAGGTGGCTTGCCAATTATCCTAGCACCATTTGTTGAATAGGGTTTCCTTTCCCCACTTTATGCTTTTGTTTGCTTTGTCGAAGATCAGTTGGCTGTAAGCACTTGGGTTTTATTTCTGGGTTCTCCATTCTGGTCCATTGGTCTAGGTGCCTATTTTTTATGCCAGTGGCATGCTGTTTTGGTGACTATGGCCTTATAGTATAGTTTGAAATCAGGTAACGTGATGCCTCTAGATTTGTTCTTTTTGCTTAGTCTTGCTTTGGCTATGCAGGCTCTTTTTGGGGTCCATATGAATTTTAGGATTGTTTTTTCTAGTTCTGTGAAGAATGATGGTGGTACTTTGATGGGATGGGAATTGCACTGAATTTGTAGATTGCTTTTGGCAGTGTGATTATTTTCACACTATTGATTCTACCCATCCATGAGCATGGGAGGTGTTTCCATTTTTTGTGTCATCTATGATTTCTTTCAGCAGTGTTTTGTAGTTTTCCTTGTAGAGGTCTTTTACCCCCTTGGTCAGGTATATTCCTAAGTATTTTTTTGCAGCTATTGTAAAAGGGGTTGAGTAGTTGATTTTATTCTCAGCTTGGTCACTGTTGGTGTAAAGAAGAGCTACCAATTTTCATACATTAATCTTGTATCCAGAAACTTTGCTGAATTCTTTTATTAGTTCTAGGAACTCTCTGGAATAATCTTTAAAGTTTTTGAGGTAAACTATCATATCATCAGCAAAAGTGACAATTTGACTTCCTCTTTACTGATTTGGATGCCCTTTATTTATTTCTCATCTGATTGCTCTGGCTAGGACTTCCAGTACTATATTGAAGAGGAATGGCAAGAGTGGACATCCTTGTCTTGTTCCAGTTCTCACAGGGAATGCTTTCAACTTTTCCCCATTCAGTATTATGTTGGTTATGGGTTTGTCATAGATGGCTTTTATTACCTTGAGGTATGTCCTTTGTATGCTGATTTTGCTGAGGGTTTTAATCGTAAAGTAATGCTGGATTTTGTTAAATGCTTTTTCTGCATCTATTGAGATGATTATGTGAATTTTTTTAAAATTCTGTTTATGTGGTGCATCACATTTCTTGACTTGCATATGTTAAACCATCCCTGCATCCCTGGTATGAAACTTGCTTGATCTGGTGTATTATCTTTTTGATATGCTATTAGATTTTTTTAGCTAGTATTTTGTTAAGGATATTTGCATCTATGTTCATCAGAGATATTGGTCTGTAGTTTTCTTTTTTTGTTATGTCCTTTCCTGGTTTTGGTATTAGGGTGATACTGGTTTCATAGAATGATTTAGTGAGAATTCCTTCTTTCTCTATCTTGTAGAATAATGTCAGTAGGATTGGTACCAATTCTTCTTTGAATGTCTGATAGAATTCAGCTGTGAATCCATCTGGTCCTAGAGGGTTTTTTCTTGGTAACTTTTTTATTACCATTTCAATCTTGCAGGTTGTTATTGGTCTATTCAGGGTTTCTAATTCTTCCTGATTTAAGCTAGGAGGGTTGTATATTTCCAGAAATTTATCCGTCTCCTCTAGGTTTTCTGGTTTATGTGCATAAAGATGTTCATAGTAGCCTGGAATAATCTTTTGTATTTCTGCAGTGTAGGTTGTAGTATCTCCCATTTCATTTCTAACTGAGCTCATTCGAATCTTCTCTTTTCTTTTCTTGGTTAATCTTGCTAATGGTTTATCAATTTCATTTATCTTTTCAAAGTACCAGCTTTTTTCAATTTCTCTTTTGTGTTTTTTTGTTTCAACTTCATTTAGTCCTGCTCTAATCTTGGTTATTTCTTTTCTTTTACTGGGTTTGGGTTTGGTTTGTTCTTGTTTCTCTAGTTCCTTGAGGTGAGACCTTAGATTGTCTATTTGTGCTCTTTCAGACTTTTCAATGTAGGCATTTATGACAATAAACTTTCCTCTTAGCACTGCCTTTGCAGTATCCCAGAGGTTTTTATAGATTGTGTCCCTATTGTCATTCAGTTCAAAGAATTTTTTAATTTCCATCTTGATTTCATTGTTGACCCAATTATTCAGGAGCAGGTTATTTAATTTCCATGTATTTGCATGGTTTTGAAGGTTCCTTTTGGAGTTGATTTCCAATTTTATTCTACTGTGGTCTGAGAGAATACTTGATATGATTTCAAATTTCTTAAATTTATTGAGATTTGTTTTGTGGCATATCATATGGTCTATCTTATAGAAAGTTCCATGCACTGATGAATAGAATGTATATTCTGTGGTTGTTGGGTAGAATGTTCTTTAAATATCGGTTAAGTCCATTTGTTCTAGGGTATAGTTTAAATCCATTGTTTCTTTGCTGACTTTCTGTCTTAATCACCTGTCTACTGCTATCAGTGGAGTATTGAAGTCCTCCACTATGTTGTGTTGCTCTCTATCTCATTTCTTAGATCTAGTAGTAATTGTTTTATAAATTTGGAAGTTCTAGTGTTAGGTGTGTATATATTTAGAATCATGATATTTTCCTGTTGGACAAGGCCTTTTATCATTATACAATGTCCCTTTTGTCTTTTTTAACTGCTGTTGCTCTAAAGTTTATTTTGTCTGATATAAGAATGACTGATCCTGCTCGCTTTTGGTGTCCATTAGCATGGAACATCTTTTTTCACCCCTTTACCTTCAGTTCATGTGAGTCCTTATGTGTTAGATGAGTCTCTTAAAGGCAGCAGATATTTGACTGATGAATTCTTATCCATTATTCAATTCTGCATGCTTTACATGGAGCATTTAGGCCACTTACATTCAACATTGTATTGAGATGTGTACTATTCAATTCATTGTGCTATTTGCTGCCTGAATACCTTGTTTTTTAAATTTATTGTATTTTTGTTTTATAGGTTGATATGGTTTTCTGTGTCACCACCCAAATCTTACCTTGAATTGTAATAATCTCCACATGACAAGGGCAGGGCCAGGTGGAGATAATTGAATCATGGGGATAGCTTCCCCCATACTGTTCTCATGGTAGTGAATAACTCTCATGAGTTCTGATGTTTTTATAAACAGCAGTTCCCTGGCACAAGATTTCTCTTGCCTGCTGCCATGTAAGACATGACTTTGCTCCTCTTTGGCTTCCACCATGATTGTGAGGCCTCCCCAGCCATGTGGAACTGTGAGTCAATTAAACCTCTTTCCTTTATAAATTACCTAGTCTTGGGTATGTCTTTATTAGCAGCATGAGAATAGACTAATACAGTAAATTGGTACTAGGAGTGGGGTGCAGATATAAAGATACCCAAAAACGTGGAAGCGACTTTGGAATTGGATAACAGGCAGAGACTGGAAGTTTGGAGGGCTCAGAAGAAGACAGGAAAATGTGGGGAAGTCTGGAAATTCCTAGAGACTTAGAGGGCTCCAAAGAAGACAGAAATATGTGGGAAAGTTTGGAGCTTCTTAGAGACTTGTTGAATGGCTTTGACCAAAATGCTGATGGTGATATGGACAATAAGGTCCAGCCTGAGGTGGTCTCAGATGGAGATGAGAAACTTGTTGGGAACTGGAGTAAAGGTCACTCTTGCTATGCAAAGAGACTGGCATTTTGCCCCTGCCCTAGAAATTTGTGGAACTTTGAACTTGAGAGAGATGATTTAGGGTATCTGGTAGAAGAACTTTCTAAGCAGCAAAGTGTTCAAGAGGAAGCAGAGCACAAAAGTTTGGAAAATTTGTGCCTGACAATGCGATAGAAAAGAAAAACCCATTTTTCTGGAGAGAAATTCAATCTGGCTGCAGAAGTTTACATAAGTAATGAGTAGTTGAATGTTAATCCCCAAAACAACAGAGAAAATGTCTCCAGGGCATGTTACAGACCTTCACAGAAGCCCCTCCTATCACAGACATGGAGGCTTAGTGGGGGAGAATGGTTTTGTGGGCCAGACAACAGGGCTCTCCTGCTCTATGCAGCCTTGGGACGTGGTGCCCTGTGTCCCAGTTGCTTTAGCTCCAGCTGTGACTAAAAGGGGCCAACATACAGCTCAGGTCATTGCTTCAGAGGGTGAAAGCCCCAAGTCTTGGCAGCTTCCACATGTGTTGGTCCTGTGGGTGCACAGAAGTCAAGAATTAATGTTTGGGAACCTCAGCCTAGATTTCAGAGGATGTATGGAAACGCCTGGAAGTCCAGGCAGAAATTGGCTGCATGGGCGGGCTGTTATGAAGAACCTCTGCTAGGGCAGTGCAGAAAGGAAATGTGGGGTCAGAGACCCCACACAGAGTCTCCATGGGGGCACTGCCTCTTGGAGCTGTGAGAGGAGGGCCACCATCCTCCAGATGCCAGAAAGGTAGATCCAGCAACAGCTTGCACTGTGTGCCTGGAAAAGCTGCAGATGCTCAACACTAGCCCATGAAAGCAGCCAGAAGGGAGGCTATATCCTGCAAAGTCACAGGGTTGGAGCTTCCCAAGGCCATCGGAGCCCACCTCTTGCATCAGTGTGACCTGGATGTGAGATATGGAGTCAAAGGAGATCATTTTGGAGCTTTAAGATTTGACTGCCCCATTGGACTTTGGACTTGCATGGGGCCTGTAGCTCTTTCATTTTGGCCAATTTCTCCCATTTAGAATAGGTTTATTTACCCAATGCTCATACCCTCATTTTATCTAGGAAGTAAATGACTTGCTTTTGATTTTACAGGCTCAGAGGCAGAAGGGACTTGCCTTGTCTCAGATGAGACTTTAGACTGTGGACTTTGGAGTAAATGCTGAAATAAGACTTTGGGGGACTGTTGGGAAGGCGTGATTGGTTTTGAAATATGAGGACATGAGATTTGGGAGCGGTCAGGGATGGAATGATATGGTCTGGCTGTGTCCCCACCCAACTCTCACCTTGAATTGTAATAATCCCCACACATCAAGGGCAGGGCCAGGTGGAGATAACTGAATCGTGGGGACGGTTTTCCCCATACTGTTCTCATGGTAGTGAATGAGTCTCATGAGATCTGATGGTTTTATAAAGGGAAGTTCCAAAGCACAAACTCTCTCTTGCCTGCAGCCATGTAACATGTGACTTTGCTCCTCCTTGCCTTCCACCATGATTGTGAGGCCTCCCCAGCCATGTGGAACTGAGTTAATTAAACCTCTTTCCTTTATAAATTATCCAGTCTTGAGTATGTCTGTATTAGCAGCATGAGAACAGATGAATACGTAGGTCCTGTGAGATATATGCTTTAAAGTGGTTCTGTTTTGACATGTTTCCAGAATTTGTTCCAAGATTTAGAGCTCCTTTTAGCAGTTCTTGTAGTGCTGGCTTGGTAATGGCAAATTCTCTCAGCAATTTCTTTGTCTGAAAAGAGACTGTGTCTTTCCTTCATTTATGAAGCTTAGTTTCATTGGATACAAAATTCTTGGCTAATTGTTTTGTTTAAGGAGGGTGAAGATAGGGCCCCAATCCCTTTTAGCTTGTAGGGTATCTGCTGTTAATCTGAAAGGTTTTCCTTTATAGGTTACCTGGTGATTTTGCGTCACATTTCTCAAAGTGTGTCCTTTATTTCCTGAAGTTGTGATTTTTTTTTTAATTTATGCTATTTATTTCACTGAAGATTTCTCTTCTCATGTCTTACATCTTTTTTTATTTCCTTAAGTTTGACTTCACCTTTCTCTGTTGCCTCCTTGATTAGCATAATAATTGACCTTCTGAATTCTTTTTCTGGCAATTCAGGGATTTCTTCTTGTTTTGGATCCATTGATGGTGAGCTAGTGTGATTTTGGTGGGCTACTAAAGAACCTTGTTTTGTCATATTATCAGAATTGTTTTTCTGGTTCCTTCTTATCTGGGTAGGTTATGTCAGAGGGAGGATCTGGCACTCAAGGCTACTGTTCAGATTCTTTTGTCCCACGGGGTGCTCCCTTGATGTAGTACTCTCCCCCTTTTTCTAGGGATGGGGCTTCCTGAGAGCCAAACTGTAGTGATTGTTATTTCTCTTCTGGATGTAGCCACCCAGCAGGGCTACCAGGCTACGGGCTGGCAATGGGGGGCGTCTGTACAGAGTCCTTGATGTAAACCACCTTCAGGTCTCCCAGGCACGGATACCAGTACCTGCTCTGTTGGAGGTGGCAGGGAGTGAAATGGACTCTTTGAAAGTCCTTAGTTGTATTATTATTGTTTATTGCACTATTTTTGTGCTGGTTGGCCTCCTGCCAGGAGGTGATCTTTTCAAGAGAGTATCAGCTGTGGTAGTATAGGGAGGATCAGGCAGTTGGAGGGACCCTGGAACTCCCAAGAGAATATAACCTTTTCTTCAGCTACCAGGGTGGGTAGGGAAGGGCCATCAGGTGGTGGCAAGCTTAGACGTGTCTGAGCTCAGACTCTCCTTGGGCAGGATTTGCTGCTGCTTCTGTAGGGGATGGGAGTGTCATTTCAGGTCAATGGAGTTATGTTTCCAGGAGGATTTTGGCTGCCTCTGCTATGTCATACAGGCTATTAGGAAAGTGGGGGAAAGCCGGCAGTTACAGGCCTCACCCAGGTCCCATACGACCCAAAAGGCCAGTCTCACTCCCACTGTGCCCCACTCCCAAACAGCACCAAGTTTGTTTCCAGGCAGTGGATGAGCAGGGGTGAGAACTTGCCCCAGACTACCAGCCCGATGGCTGAGAAAGCAGCAGGACTCTCACACTTCCCCCTGCCTGTCGAGTCTGCAAACCAGATCACACCCTCTCCCAAGTTCTGGCTAGGAAACTTCATATTCAGCTGGAATTGTTACAGTTCAACTGCAGGGTTCCTTCTCCCTGTGGTCTTTTCCAAGTTTTCTGGCAGTCCTTCCCAAGGACCCCTGTGAGACAAGGCAGAAATGGCTTTCCTGGGGAACAAGAGAGCCCACAGAACTTTTCCCACTGTTTTCTCTAACCATGTATTTTGCCTGACTCTCTAAATTGACTCAGTTCCAGGTAAGGTCAGAATCTTCTCCAGCAATTTGGACCTTCAGGTTCCCCAGTGAGGGTGTGTGTTCTGAGGCAGATGATCCCCCTTTGCCACTTTCACAGTTTGGGCACTCAGTTTTTGGACTGGTCTCCCGGGTCCTGAAAGAGGAATCCATTTCCTTCAAAGGGTCTGCGGATTCTTTCAGCTTTCTTGGTGTATTCCTGAAGTAGCTCTTGGAGCAAAAGTTCACAATGTGAGCCTCCACAGGCTGCTCTGTCCATCAGACGGGGAGCTGCAATTTATTCCTGCATCCTATCCACCATTTTTTCCCTCCCCTTAACTCCATTTGACTAGTCATTTATTCTGGTCCCACTTACTTTGTCTATTTTTGGTGGGGCCCTGAAATATGTCCTTCTTTAAAAATATAATGACGTAGAATATTTTAATTTCTTTTTGGAGAGAGGAACATGTCATAGGCATATCAAGTAATGTTAGCATCAAGTGGTTCCATTATTTTCCTGTGTTTTTCTAACTGACTAGCAGCAACTCCCAGGAAACTGGCCAAGAATACCAGATCAAGCATAGCTGAGGAGGGAACTAAAAACTTACAGAAAATATGGACATTCTGTCTCTGATCTCTTAACTTCAGAGAAGTACACGTTATAGAATATAAGATAAAAATTGATATTGACTCACTATTACTTTATATACTAATGAAAAGAAAAATACTGACCAAACTATGACACACTATTAATTATAAGATGTATCTTCATTTCAGAGAGTTAAAAGGTATACAAAAAATGTGCAACTCAGAATTAGTAAGCTACAGTATTGGCTTTTACTCCTTCTTACTGCGCTCCACATTCACTAAAGTTAACATAACACCCAAGGCACCATTTCTTAAATAGATGTGCTACAGGAAGAGGATTTCAACAGCCCAGAATGAGTCTTAGCCAGCTAGCTCAATGTCCCAACAAGTACTTCTAATCTAGCTGCTTCAAATTATTTAAATGTCCACTCATCCACTGACATTTTTGTCCAGAATTCTTTAAGTTCTTTTTTTTTCAATGTACTTTAAGTTCTAGGGTACATGTGTACAACGTGCAGGTTTGTTACATATGTATACATGTGCCATGTTGGTGTGCTGCACCCATTAACTCATCATTTACATTAGGTATATCTCCTAATGCTATCCCTCCCCCCTCCCTGCACCCCATGACAGGCCCCAGTGTTTCATGTTCCCCACCCTGTGTGCAACTGTCTCATTGTTCAATTCCCACCTATAAGTGAGAACATGCGGTGTTTGGTTTTCTGTCCTTGCGATAGTTTCCTCAGAATGATGGTTTCCGGCTTCATCCATGTCCCTACAAAGGACATGAACTCATCCTTTTTTATGGCTGCATAGTGTCCCATGGTGTATATGTGCCAGATTTTCTTAATCCAGTCTATCACTGATGGACATTTGGGTTGGTTCCAAGTCTTTGCTATTGTGAATAGTGCTGCAATAAACATACGTATGCATGTGTCTTTATAGCAGCATGATTTACAATCCTTTGGATATATACCCAGTAATTGGATGGCTGGGTCAAATGGTATTTCTAGTTCTAAATCCTTGAGTAATCACCACATTGTCTTCCACAATGGTTGAACTACTTTACAGTCCAACCAACAGTGTAGAAGTCTTCCTATTTCTCCACATCCTGTCCAGCACCTGTTGTTTCCTGACTTTTTAATGATCACCATTCTAACTGGTGTGAGATGGTATCTCATTGTGGTTTTGATTTGCTTTTCTCTGATGGCCAGTGATGATGACCATTTTTTCATGTGTCTGTTGGCTGCATAAATGTCTTCTTTTGAGAAGTGTCTGTTCATAACCTTTCCCCACTTTTTGAGGGGTTGTTTGATTTCTTCTTGTAAATTTGTTTAAGTTCTTTATAGATTCTGGATATTAGCCCTTGTCAGATGGGTAGATTGCAAAAATTTTCTCCCATTCTGTAGGTTGCCTGTTCACTCTGATGGTAGTTTCTTTTGCTGTGCAGAAGCTCTTTAGTTTAATTAGATCCCATTTGTCGATTTTGGCTTTTGTTGCCATTGCTTTTGGTGTTTTAGTCATGAAGTCTTTGCCCATGCCTATGTCCTGAATGGTATTGCCTAGGTTTTCTTCTAGGGTTTTTATGGCTTTAGGTCTAACATTCGAGTCTTTAATGCATCTTGAATTAATTTTTATATAAGGTGTAAGGAAGGGATACAGTTTCAGCTTTCCACATAAGGCTAGCCAGTTTTCCAAGCACCATTTATTAAATAGGGAATCCTTTCCCCATTTCTTGTTTTTGTCAGGTTTGCCAAATATCAGATGGTTGTAGATGTGTGGTATTATTTCTGAGGGCTCTGTTCTGTTCCATTGGTCTTTATCTCTATTTTGGTACCAGTACCATGCTGTGGCCTTGTAGTATACTTTGAAGTCAGGTAGCCTGATGCCTCCAGCTTTGTTCTTATGGCTTAAGATTGTCTTGGCAATGTGGGCTCTTTTTTGGTTCCACATGAACTTTAAAGTAGTTTTTTCAATTCTGTGAAGAAAGTCATTGGTAGCTTGATGGGAATGGCATTGAATCCAAAAATTACCTTTGGCAGTATGGCCATTTTCACGATATTGATTCTTCCTGTCCATGAGCATGGAATGTTCTTCCATTTCTTTGTGTCCTCTTTTATTTCATTGAGCAGTGGTTTGTAGTTCTCCAGTTCTCCTTGAAGAGGTCCTTCATATACCTTGTAAGTTGGATTCCTAAGTATTTTATTCTCTTTGAAGCAATTGTGAATGGCAGTTCACTCATGATTTGGCTCTCTGTCTGTTTTTGGTGTATAGGAATGCTTGTGATTTTTCCACATTGATTTTTATCCTGAGGCTTTGCTGAAGTTGCTTATTAGCTTAAGGAGATTTTGGGCTGAGACGATGGGGTTTTCTGAATATGCAATCATGTCATCTGCAAACAGGGACAATTTGACTTCCTCTTTTCCTAGTTGAATGTCCTTTCTTTCTCTCTTTCTTTCTCCTGCCTGATTGCCCTGGCCAGAACTTCCAACACTATGTTGAATAGGAGTGGTGAGAGAGGACAACCCTGTCTTGTGCCAGTTTTCAAAGGGAATCCTTCCAGTTTTTGCCTATTCAGTATGATATTGGCCGTGGATTTGTCATAAATAGCTCTTATTATTTTGAGATACGTCCCATCAATACCTAATTTATTGAGAGATTTTAGCATGAAGGGTTGTTGAATTTTGTCAAAGGCCTTTTCTGCATCTATTGAGATAATCATGTGGTTTTTGTCTTTGGTTCTGTTTGTGTGATGGATTACATTTATTGATTTGTGTATGTTGAACCAGCCTTGCATCCCAGGGATGAAGCCAACTTGATCGTGGTGGATAAGCTTTTTGATGTGCTGCTGGATTTGGTTTGCCAGTATTTTTTTGAGGATTTTTGCATTGATGTTCATCAGGGATATTGGTCTAAAATTCTCTTTTTTTGTGGTGTCTCTGCCAGGCTTTGGTAAAACAGGATGATGCTGTCCTCATAAAATGAGTTAGGGAGGATTCCCTCTTTTTCTGTTGATTTGAATAGTCTCAGAAGGAATTGTGCTAGCTCCTTCTTGTACCTCTGGTAGAATTCGGCTGTGAATCCGTCTGGTCCTGGACTTTTTTTGGCTGGTAGGCTCTTAATTATTGCCTCAATTTCAGAGCCTGTTATTGGTCTATTCAGGGATTCAACTTCTTCCTGGTTTAGTCTTGGGAGGGTGTATGTGTCCAGGAATTTATCCATTTCTTCTAGATTTTCTAGTTTCTTTGCATACAGGTGTTTATAGTATTCTCTGATGGTAGTTTGTATTTCTGTGGGATCGGTGGTGATATCCCCTTTATCATTTTTTATTGCATCTATTTGATTCTTCTCTCTTTTCTTCTTTATTAGTCTTGCTAGTTGTCTATCAATTTTGTTGATCTTTTCAAATAACCAGCTCCTGGATTCATTGATTTTTTGAAGGGTTTTTTGTGTCTTTATCTCCTTCAGTTCTACTCTGATCTTAGTTATTTCTTGCCTTCTGCTAGCTTTTGAATGTGTTTGCTCTTGCTTCTCTAGTTCTTTTAATTGTGATGTTAGGATGTCAATTTTAGATCTTTCCTGCTTTCTCTTGTGGGCATTTAGTGCTATAAATTTCCCTCTACACACTGCTTTAAATGTGTCCCATAGATTCTGGTATGTTGTGTCTTGGTTCTCATTGGTTTCAAAGAACATCTTTATTTCTGCCTTCATTTCATTATGTACCCAGTAGTCATTCAGGAGCAGGTTGTTCAGTTTCCATGTAGTTGAGCACTTTTGAGTGAGTTTCTTAATCCTGAGTTCTAATTTGATTGCACTGTGGTCTGAGAGACAGTTTCTTGTAATTTCTGTTCTTTTACATTTGGCGAGGAGTGCTTTACTTCCAACTATGTGGTCAATTTTGGAATAAGTGTGATGTGGTGCTGAGAAGAATGTATAATCTTTTGATCTGGGGTGGAGAGTTCTGTAAATGTCTATTAGGTCTGCTTGGTGCAAAGCTGAGTTCAATTCCTGGATATTCTTGTTAACTTTCTGTCTCGTTGATCTGTCTAATGTTGACAGTGGGGTGTTAAAATCTCCCATTATTATTGTGTGGGAGTCTAAGTCTCTTTGTAGGTCTCTAAGGGCTTGCTTTATGAATCTTGGTGCTCCTGTATTGGGTGCATTTATATTTAGGACAGTTAGCTCTTCTTGTTGAATTGATCCCTTTACCATTATATAATGGCCGTCTTTGTCTCTTTTGATCTTTGTTGGTTTAAAGTCTGTTTTATCACAGACTAGGATTGCAACACCTGCTGTTTTTTGTTTTCCCTTTGCTTGATAGATCTTCCTCTATCCCTTTATTTTGAGCCTATGTGTGTCTCTGCACCTGAGATGGGTCTCCTGAATACAGCACACTGATGGGTCTTGACTCTTTATCCAATTTGCCAGTCTGTGTCTTTTAATTGGAGTATTTAGCCCATTTACATTTAAGGTTAATATTGTTATGTGAGAATTTGATCCTGTCATTATGATGTTAGCTGGTTATTTTGCTCATTAGTTCATGCAGTTCTTCCTAGCATCGATGGTCTTTATAATTTGGCATGTTTTTGCAGTGGCTGGTACCGGTTGTTCCTTTCCATGTTGAGTGCTTCCTTCAGGAGCTCTTGTAGGGCAGGCCTGGTGGTGACAAAATCTCTCAGCATTTGCTTGTCTGTAAAGTATTTTATTCCTCCTTCACTTATGAAGCTTAGTTTGGCTGGATATGAAATTCTGACTTGAAAATTATTTCTTTAAGAATGTTGAATATTGGCCCCCACTCTCTTCTGGCTTATAGGGTTTCTGCTGAGAGATCTGCTGTTAGTCTGATGGGCTTCCCTTTGTGGATAACCCGACCTTTCTCTCTCGCCACCCTTAACATTTCTTCCTTCATTTCAACTTTGGTGAATCTGACAATTATGTGTCTCGGAGTTGCTCTTTTTGAGGAGTATCTTTGTGGCAGTCTCTGTATTTCCTGAATTTGAATGTTGGGCTGCCTTGCTAGGTTGGGGAAGTTCTCCTGGATAATATCCTGAAGAGTGTTTTCCAACTTGGTTCCATTCTCCCCGTCACTTCCAGGTACACCAGTCAGACATAGATTTGATCTTTTCACATCGTCCCATATTTCTTGGAGGCTTCATTTGTTTCTTTTTACTCCTTTTTCTCTAAACTTCTCTTCTCATTTCATTTCATTCATTTGATCTTCAATCACTGATACCCTTTCTTCCATGTGATCAAATTGGCTACTGAAGCTTGTGCATGTGTCACGTAGTTCTCATGCCATGGTTTTCAGCTCCACCAGGTCATTTAAGGTCTTCTCTACAGTGTTTTTTCTAGTTAGCCATTCGTCTAATCTTTTTCCAAGGTTTTTAGCTTCTTTGCAATGGGTTCGAACATCCTCCTTTGGCTCGGAGAAGTTTGTTAATACTGATCATCTGAAGCCTTCTTCTCTCAACTCATCAAAGTCATTCTCCATCCAGCTTTGTTCCGTTGCTGGCAAGGAGCTGCATTCCTTTGGAGAAGAAGAGGTGCTCTGATTTTTAGAATTTTCCGCTTTTCTGCTCTGGTTTCTCCCCATCTTTGTGGTTTTATCTACCTTTGGTCTTTGATGATGGTAACATACAGATGGGGTTTTGGTGTGGATATCCTTTCTGTTTGTTACTTTTCCTTCTAACAGTCAGGACCCACAGCTGCAGGTCTGTTGGAGTTTGCTGGAGATCCACTCCAGACCCTGTTTTCCTGGGTATCACCAGCGGAGGCTGCAGAACAGCAAATATTGCAAAACGGCAAATGTTACTGCCTGATCCTTCCTCTGGAAGCTTTGTCTCAGAGGGGCACCCGGCTGTATGAGGTGTCAGTCAACCCCTACTGGGAGGTGTCATCCAGTTAGTCTACTTGGGGGTCAGGGACCAACTTGAGGAGGCAGTCTGTCCATTCTCAGATCTCAAACTCCGTGCTGGGAGAACCACTACTCTCTTCAAAGCTGTCAGACAGGGATATTTAAGTCTGCAGAAGTTTCTGCTGCCTTTTGTTCAGCTATGCCCTGCCCCCAGAGATGGAGTCTGCAGAGGCAGGCAGGCCTCCTTGAGCTGCTGTGGGCTCCACCCAGTTCCAGCTTTCCAGCTGCTTTGTTTACCTACTCAAGCCTCAGCAATGGCAGACGCACCCCCCTCCCCCAAGCCTCGCTGCTGCCTTGCAGTTCAATCTCAGACTGCTTTGCTGGCAGTGAGCGAGGGTCCATGGGCATGGGACCCTCTGAGCCAGGCACGGGATATAATCTCCTGGTGTGCCATTTGCTAAGACCATTGGAAAAGTGTAGTATTAGTGTGGGAGTGTCCCGATTTTCCAGGTACCATCTGTCACAGCTTTCCTTGGCTAGGAAAGGGAATTCCTTGACCCCTTGCACTTCCCGGGTGAGGCGATGCCCCGCCCTCCTTCAGCTCACACTCTGTGGGCTGCACCCACTGTCCAACAAGTCCCAGTGAGATGAACCCAGTACCTCAGTTGGAAATGCAGAAATCACCTGTCTTCTGTGTCGCTCATGCTGGGAGCTGTAGACTGGAGCTGTTCCTATTTGGCCATCTTGGAACCTACCCCCAAGGACTCCAGAATTCTTTAAGTTCTAAAGAATCAACCTCTTTGCTAAAACTTCACTTAAATGCAGCCCATCTACATGAGAAAAGTTTTGGGAATGTTGATGGATATATTAAATCTCCTGCTGTGGTGATGGTCCATACCAATGGGTGTAGATATACATCAAAGCTCATCAATTTGTACACTTAAAATATATGCAATTTATTTTATGTCAGCTATATTGTTAAAGCTGTTTTAAAAAATAAATAATATTCAAGACTGGAAGGAAAAAGCAGCCCATATATTCCAATGAACTTCTTTAAGGGATGATAGTCAAGTGTAGAAGACAATCATATAAACAAATATGTACACTGCAATGGAAAGTTTGAAAGAGCACTGGGGAACCAGCCACTACCTGGAAGATAATTATCTGCATGTGGAATTTGAGGAAGTCATCCTGGAAGAAATGATGTCTCTGATATGACTTGAAGTTAGATGGCAATAGAGGTAAGTCACCAAGCAGAAAAGAGGAAGGATGAGCCTCTAAAAATTAGTTTTTGTCGGTTGGCTAGCTCATTGCATTGTTAAAAAGAAATTTTTAATCATGCTTATGCCACTGTAGTTTCTGCTTTTATAAGAGATGGTAAATGACGTATGTCCTTTTCATATGTGTATATGTGTGTATGCATGTATATGTATGTGTGTGTATTTATATACATTCATATTATACATATAAATACATATCATAGTATATATATATGGTATATATATATATGGTATGATACATAAAAATATATATATATATATATATATAAAATCTCCCCTATATGGTATATATCCCCTTTTCTTTTTCCAGGTTTTATTAAGTATTTTTTGCTTTATAGATAAGGTGTACATGAGGATGAACTACATAAATGCATGAAAGCTAGATGACAACATAACAGAAATTTATTAGTATCTTGTGAGTTTTGCAGTGGAAAATTGAGTAGGTACATTTGGGCATGCTTCAAGGAGATACCGGATGTTAATTTTAAAGGTTACTTTATGACTGTGTACTTAGAAGACAACCTTGGCAAAAATTTTTTGAACTGAGTCCAGGGTCCCTTAAAAAGTACTATGTCATAATAACACAATTTCTTAAATACTTGCAAGCATATAGTATTTATATGTAAACCTAGCAACTTGCTAGCAATACTACAGTGTGGATTTAGTCACCAATGCTGTATTTAACATATAAATGTATGATTTCCCTGTAGCTATTCCCTTCATGTTCTCAAAGTACTTCTGAGCTCCAACTTCTGTTTACCTCGTTACTGCTGACAAGTCTGAGGATAAATACCACCTTAGATTCCAAGGGCTGCAGTCACAAAGTATCACAAAGTGGATTAAAATAATAGAAATGTATTCTCTCACAGTTATGAAGGCTAAAAGTCTGAAATTAAGGTTTGAGAGGGTTATGTTTCCTCTGAAGGCTCTAGGGAAGAATTCTTCCTTGTCTTTTCCAGCTTCTGGTGGTTGTCAGTGATCCCTGACATTCCTTGGCTTGTAAATGCATCCCTGTAGTCTCTCCTTCTAGCTTCACATGGACTTGTCCCCTGTGTGTATGTCTCTGCTTCTTCACGTGGACTTCAAATAAGGACATGAGTCAGGGAATTTAGGGTCTACCCTAATTCAGTATGACCTCATCTTAACTAATTACATCTGCCATGACCCCATTTCCAAGAAAGATCATTCCGAAGTTCCAGGTGGACATGAATTTTGGAGGAACACTATTTAATTCAGTTAAGTCTGCCTCTGCCCCCCCAACATTGACATTCATCCCAAATATAAAAAACATTCACCGCTTCTCAAAAGTCTTCAGCCATTCTAGCATTAACCCTAAATCCAAAATTCTGTCTAAATACAAGCATAAAAAGTCCCAAATTAGGTCATCTAAATAATTTAAATCAGGTATGGGTGAGACTTTGGATATGGCTCCTCCTGGGCAAAATTCCTCTTCCTCTGTGAACATGTGAAACTAGAAAATAAATTATCCACTTCCAAAATACAATGGTGGGACAGGCAGAGGATAGATTTTCCATTCCAAAAGAGAGAAATTGGAAGGAATATAGGGGTCACAGATCTCAAGCAAGCCCAAAATCCAGCATTCCACTAGGTTTCAAGGTCCAAGAGTAACACCGTGGTTTGATATTTTGTCCTCTGGGCCCTACAGGGCAGTCCCACCCTCTTGATCATTTATTTGGAAGTCATTTTCTCAATCACAGTTTAAAATTACCAGTTCGGCCAGGCACTGTGTCTCACACCGGTAATCCCAGCACTTTGAGAGGCTGAGGTGGGTGAATCACTTGAGCTCAGAAGTTCAAGACCAGCCTGGGTAACATAATTAAACTCCGTCTCTACCAAAAAAAACAAAAATTAGCTGGGCATGGTGGCACGCACCTGTGGTCCCAGCTTCTCGTGGGGCAGAAGTGGGAGGATCACTTGAGTCTGGGAGGTAGAGGCTGCAGTGAGCCAAGATTGCACCACTTAACTCTAGCCGGGTGACAGAGTGATACTCTGTCTCAAAAAAAATAAATAAATAAAAACACAAATACCAATTAGACAAATAATAATTTAATATTCTTTAAAAAGTACTTCATTTGTGTAGTTTTAAATATGATTCACTTGATAGAATCTACATCAATGTAATATAGCCTATATCTTCGTAAATATGTTGTAATTTAAAAAAGACAGAAAATTATAGAAATACTTAGAAAGTTTAATCTTCTATACTAATATATTTCTATTATTTTTCAGCACTATAAGGAAACTTGTAAAAGCCCATATCTTCCTAATTTAAACATCTGGTATCTCTTTTTTTAAAAAAAATCTAATTAATTTCAAAACTTGCTGTCACCTTCTAATATTCTGAGAATATATGTCTAATTATGTCACTTAAGTCTAAAATAAAAGTAACAATTGTTAAAGGCAAATTTAATGAACTTCAGTATTAACATAAAATAGCACTTAAAGTTGTGATGTCCATTGAAATTGAAAATAACTTACTCATAGCTCTGCTTAGAGGAACTTGGGTCACAAACTAATAAACATTGGTACACTATATACATTCCCTATAAAGCACACCTTAAAAATAAATTACAGTATATACAGTTGAGTTTATGTAGACATTAGATATAGTATATATGTTATTCATAATCCAATATTTTATATTACTTTTCTTAGAATTTATTTATTTCTTAGTCTATCTTTACATCTACAAATGAGGGTCTTAATCAAAACAGAATAATTTCGTGTTTTGTTTTCTTCCAATGTGTTATATAACTTTTTAAATGTCATTTAATTTAGCTGAGTACTTTAGTTCTTTTCCTATCTATGGAAGTTGATTAGCTAATGCCTAAAATTTCTTAACAATATGCTACATTGTTATGTAAAGCAATCATTAACTAGTTTGTGTCAAATTGTCATTATTGATTGACCAGAATACTAGTTGATTAAATGTCATAGTGTGATGGTTGATTTTGTATGTCAACTTGACTAGGCCAAGGGGAACCCAGATGTTGGTTCAAACATTATTTTAGGTGTTTCTCTAAGGTTGTTTTGGATGAGATTAACACTGATAGACTGAGTGAAGAAATCCAAAAGTGGGTAGCACTCAACCAATCAGTTGAAGGCCTGAATAGAACAAAAAGGTATACCCTCCCCTGAGTATGGGAGAATTCTTCCTAGCCTGACAAACTTCAAACTGGGACAAGAAAACTTTTTTTATATAAATCTATGAGGTACAAGTGCAATTTTGTTGCATGCATAGAACATTAGAGTCAAATCAAGGGTTTTAGAGTATCCATCACTCAAAAAAAATGCACATTGTACCGATTAAGTAATTTTTCACCATTCATCCCCTCCCACTCCCACACCCTTCCAAGTCTCCACTGTTCATTGTTCCACTCTCTACATCCATGTGTGCACATTGTTTAGCACTCCTTTATCAGTGAGAACAAGCAATATTTGACTTCCTATGTCTGCCTTGATTCACTTAAGATAATGATCTCCAATTCCATCCATGTTGCTGCAAAATACATGACTTTATTCTTTTTTATGGCTGAATTGTATTCCATTCTGTATACATACCACATTTTCTTTATCTGGTCATCCACTGATGGACACCAAGGTGTATTCCATATCTTTGCTATTGAGTATAGTGTTGGTAAACATACAAGTGCAGTTATCTTTTTGATATATTGATTTCTTTACCTTTGGGTAGATACCCAGTAGTGGGTTTGCTAGATCAAATGGTAGTTCTATTTTTAATTCTTTAAGAAATATCTATACTTTTTTCCATAGAGGCTGTACTAATTTACATTCCCACCAACAGTGTATAAGAGTTCTCTTTTCTCTGTATCCTCACTGATATGTTTGTTTTGTTTTGTTTTTGTCTTTTTAATAATAGCCATTCTTACTAGGGTAAGATAAGCTCTCATTGTAATTTTAATTTGCATTTTTCTGATGATTACTGATGTTGAGCATTTTTTCATATACCTTATGGCCACTTCTATGCCTTTTTTTAAAAAATGTCTGTTCATGTCTGATATGGTTTGAATGTTTGTCCCCTCCAAATTTCATGTTGAAATGTGATTCCCAGTGTTGGAAGTGGGCCCTAGTGGTAAGTAATTGAATCATGGGGGTGGATCTCTCATGAATGGTTTAACACCATACCCTTAGTGATAAGTTGAGTTCTCACTCTAAATCCACACAAGATCTGATTGTTTAAAAGTACCTGGCACCTCCCCACCACCTTGCTTCTACTCTCACCATATGAGATACCTGCTCCTCCTTTGCCTTCTGCCTTGATTGTAAGTTTCCTGAGGTCCTTAACAGAAGCCAAGCAGATGTTGATGCCATATTTGTGCAGCCTGCAGAAGCATGAGCTAATTAAACCTCCTTTATTTATAAATTACCGAGCCAGGTGCTGGTATCCACAGCTGGGAGACCTGAAGACAGATCACATCACAGGACTCTTTGTAGATGTTCCCCAGCACCATCACAGAGCCTGGTAGCCCCACTGGATGGCTGGACCCAGAAGGGCAATAACAATCACTGCAGTCTGCCTCTCAAGAAGTCCCATACATAGGAGAAGAGGGGAGAGCACCACACCAAGCGATCGCCCCATAGGACAAAAGTATCTGAATAGGAGCCCTTCAGTTCCAGACCTTTGCACTGAAATGGGCTACCCAAATAAGAAGAAACTAAAAAAGTAATTCTGGTAATATGACAAAACAAGATTCTATAACAACCCCAGAAGATAACACTGGTTCTCCAGCAATGAATCCAAATGAAGAAGATCTCTGAATTGCCAGATAAAGAAATCAGAAAGTTGATTACTAGGCCACTCAAATGCTTTTCCTGTGTTTATTGAGATGCTCATATAATTATGTCCTTAATTCTGTTTATGTGATGTATCACATTTATTGATTTGCATAACATTTATTGATCTGCATATGTTGAACCATCCTTGCATTCTGGGTGTAGCACTCAACTTGATCACAGTGTATTATCTTTTTGATGTGCTGTTGGATATGGTTGCTAGTATTTGCTGAGGAATTTTGCATCTATGTTCATAAGGAATACTGGTTTACAGTTTTCTTTTTTTGTTGTGCCTTTGCCAGGTTTTGACATCAGGGTAATACTGGCTTCAAAGAATGAGTTAGAGAGAATTTCTTCTCCTCAATGTTTTGGAACAGTTTTAGGAGGAATTTTGTAAATTGTGACAGATAAGAATCCACCTTCAATTTTCCCAGCACCATTTATTGACAAGTATTTCCTTACCTCAGGGTATGTTCTCATTGGCTCTGTCAAAGATCAGTTCACTTTAAATATGTGGCTATGTTACAGGCACTCTATTCTCTTCCACCAACCTATGTGTTAATTTTTATACCAGTACCATGCTATTTTGATTACTATAACCTTATAGTATAATTTAAACTCAGGATATGTAATG
This sequence comes from Homo sapiens, assembly GCF_000001405.40. Taxonomy (NCBI): domain Eukaryota; kingdom Metazoa; phylum Chordata; class Mammalia; order Primates; family Hominidae; genus Homo; species Homo sapiens. Next base: position 91,549,414 of record NC_000005.10, on the reverse strand, counting down.
GCTCCAGCTATGTTCTTTTTGCTTAGGATTGCTTTGGCTACTCAGGTTCCTTTTGGCTTCCATATGAATTTAAAAATTGTTTTGCTAATTCTGTGAAAAAATGACATTTCTTGACGTATCTGAAGTATTTTGATAGTAATTGCATTGAATCTGTAGATTGCTTTGGGCAGTACGGTCATTTTAATGGTATTAATACGCTGGTTCATGAGCATGGGATGTTTTTCCATTTGTTTGTGTCATCTATGATATTTTTCATCATGTTTTATAGTTTTCTTTATAGAGAGCATTCACCTCCTTGGTTAAATATATCTGTAGAAATTTTAAATTTACTTGTAGCTATTGTACATGAGATTGCATTCTTGATTTGATTTTCAGCTTGATCATCATTGCTGTATAGAAATCGAACTGATTTTTGAATGTTGATTTTGTAGCCTACAACTTTATTAAATTCATTTATCAAATAAGAGTTTTTTAGTAGAGTCTTTAAGTTTTTCTAGGTATAAGATTATATCATCAGCAAACAGGGATAATTTGACTTCCTATTTTCCAATTTGGATGCCTTTTATTTATCTTTACAGAATTCACTAAGAAAAGTCATTAAACAAATAAGCAACAAAACCAACAATAAATCCTGGAGAGAATCTGATTTTTGAGTCACTACATTATATTATTTTAGATGTCTAGTTTTCAACAGAAAATTATAAGCCATGCAAAGAAGCAAGAGAGCATAGTACATATACCATGGGGGATGTGCAGGGAGAAGTGGCCAATTGAAACTATCCCTGAGAAAGCCAAAACGCTGGACTAACTTGAAAAATATATTATATCAGCTATTTTAAATACTACTCAGCACTAGCTCTGAACAGACAGAAGAAAGAATCTGTGAACTTAAAGACAGGTCAATTAATATTATTCAATACAACGGCCAGAATTTTTTTAAATGAATAAAAATGAACAGAACCTCAGAGATCTGTGGGACATGATCAAGCATACTAACATACACTTAATGGGAATCTTTGAAGGAAAGGAGAAACAACAGGCAGAAAAATGTTCAAAAAATTCACAAACATTCCCAAATTTGATGAAAAGCATAAATCTTAACATTTATCCAAGAACCTCCACAAAACCCAAGCAGGATAAATTCAAAGAGATTCACATCTTAGACACATATTGAAAGTCAAAGACAAAAAAAACAAAAAAAAAATTGAAATCACCAACAGAGAAGTGAATCTTCACATACAGGGATCTTCAAAAAGTTAACAGTCAATTTCTCATCAGAAACCATGGAGGCAAAAAAGCAGTAGGATGATATATTTGAAGTGCAGAAAGAAAGACTATCAACCAAAAATTCTACATCCACTAAAACTAATTGAAAAATTAAGGAGAAATTAAGATGTTCGCAGATAGACAATATCTGAGAGAATCTGTTTCTAGCAGACCTGACCTATAAGAAATACAAAAGGGTGTTCTTCAGGCTGAAATGAAAGGACACTGTTGAACCTGTAAGAAACACAAAAGAGAATTCAGGCTGAAATGAAAGGACACTCTATAGTTAACAAATTTGCATAAAGAAATAAAAAGCACTGGTAAAGGTAACAACATAAGTAAATATAAAAGTATAATTGTATTTCTGTCTGTAACTATTTTTACCTCATATGATTTAAAAGTTTACAGCATAAAACAAGGATTATTAATCTGAATCTGGGGGCATACAATTTATTAAGATGAAATTTGTTTGACAATAACAGCACAAAGGAAGGAGAGAGAAAGTAGCCACACAGAAAGAAATTTTTTTATATATTTTGATTAAATTGGTATTAATATGGACTAGATTACAGTAAATTAAGATTTTAATTGTAATTCCCAGTTATTGCTGAGAAAATAAAAAGTATAGTAAAAGAAACGAAAATCAAAATGGTTCAGTAAAGAACAACTTTTGACACAAAAAAAGGCAGAAATGGAGGAATAGAGGAACAGATATAAGACATATTCTTAAAAAGTAGCAAAATGGCAAATGTAAATCCTACCTTATCAGTAACTATATTAAAAATGAATGGATTAAATTATCCAATTAAAAGAAAGAAACTAGCAGAATAAACTGCTTTTAAAAAAACATGATCCACCCAGATATTTTCTACAAGAAATATCTATAATTTATAGATTCAATGCTATCCCCATCAAGCTAACACTGACTTCCTTCAAAGAATTGGAAAACAAAAAAACTTTAAATTTCGTATAGAACCAAAAAAGAGGTCATATAGCCAAGACAATCCTAAGCAAAAAAAAAAAACAAAGCTGGAGGCATCACTCTGCCTGACTTCAAACTATACTATAAGGCTACAGTAACTGAAACAGTATGGTGCTGGTACCAAAACAGAGATATAGACCAATGGAACAGAACAGAGCCCTCAGAAATAACACCACACATCTACAACCATCTGATCTTTGGCAAACCTAACAAAAACAAGAAATAGGGAAATGATTCCCTATTTAAAAAATGGTGTTGGGAAAACTGCCTAGTCATATGTAGAAAGCTGAAACTGGATCCCTTCCTTACACCTTATACAAAAATTAACTCAAGATGGATTAAAGACTTAAACCTTAGATCTAAAACCATAAAAACCATAGAAGAAAACCTAGGCAATACCATTCAGGACATAGGCATGGGCAAAGACTTCATGACTAAAACACCAAATGCAATGGCAACAAAAGCCAAAATAGACAAATGGGATCTAATTAAACTAAAGAGCTTCTGCACAGCAAAAGAAACTATCAGCAGAGTGAACAGCAACCTACAGAATGGGAGAAAATTTTTGCAATCTATCCATCTGACAAAGGGCTAATATCCAGAATCTACAAATAACTTAAACAAATTTACAAGAAAAAAACAAACCCATCAAAAAGTGGGTGAAGGATATGAACAGATACTTCTCAAAAGAAGACATTTATGCAGCCAATAAACTTATGAAAAAATGCTCATCATCACTGGTCATCAGAGAAATGCAAATCAAAACCACAATGAGATACCATCTGATGCCAGTTAGAAAGGTGATCAATAAAAAGTCAGGAAACAACAGATGCTGGAGAGGATGTGGAGAAATAGGAACACTTTTACACTGTTGATGGGAGTGTAAATTAGTTCAACCATCGTGGAAGACAGTGTGGTGACTCCTCAAGGATCTAGAACTAGAAATACCATTTGACCCAGCAATCCCATTACTGGGTATATACCTAAAGGATTATAAATCATGCTACTACAAAGACACATGCACACATATGTTTCTTGCAGCACTGTTCACAATAGTAAAGACTTGGAACCAGCCCAAATGCCCATCAATGATAGACTGGATAAAGAAAATGTGGCACATATACACCATGGAACACTATGCAGCCATAAAAAAGGGTGAGTTCATGTCCTTTGCAGGGACATGGATGAAACTGGAAACCATCATTCTCAGCAAAGTAACACAAGAAGAGAAAAACCAAACATTGCGTGTTCTCACTCATAAGTGGGAATTGAACAATGAGAACATATGGACACAGGGAGGGGAACATCACACACCGTGGTCTTTCAGGGGGTGGAGGATGGGGGAGGGATAGCATTAGGAGAAATACCTAATATAAATGATGAATTGATAAGTGCAGCAAACCAACATGGCACATGTATACCTATGTAACAAACCTGCACGTTGTGCCGATGTACCCCAGAACTTAAAGTATAATAATAATAAAAAAAGAGATAACACTTTAGATTCATAGACACAAATATATTGAAAGTAAGGAGATAGAAGAAAATATACCATGCAAACAATAATTGAAGGAGGTTAGAGAGCTATAGTGGCTATATTAATATCATACAAAATACATTTTTAACACAAAATTGTTGCCTGAGACAAAAAGAGACATGTTATAATGATAAATGCATCAATAAATCAAGAAGATATAGCAATTATAAACATATATGCATGCTATTGTTTGAATGTTTCTTCTATCTGAATCTCATATTGAAATTTGATCCCCAGTGTTGAAGGTGGTGCCAAATGGGAGGTGTTTGGATTGTAGGGGCAGATCCCTCATGAATAGATAAATTTCCTCCCTTAGAAGTGAGCAGGTTCTCACTCTACCATTCCTCCCAGATCTGGTTGTTAAAAAAAGCCTGGCATCTTCCAGCTCTCTCCTGCTTCCTCTCTCACCATGTGATCCCTGCACACACCAACTCATCTTTGTCTTTGTTTTCTTCCATTTGTGGAAGCAGTCTGAGGTTTTCACCAGATGCCCAGTCTTCTAGCCAGCAGAATCATGAACCAAATAAACTTTTTTTTTTTTTTTGGTAAATTACCCAGTCTCAGGCCTTCCATTATAGCAACACAAAATGGACTCAGACAATGCACTTAACAACAGAGCTCCAAATACATGAAGAAAAAAATGACAGAGTTGAAGCAAGAAATAGATAATTCAACAATAACAGTGGGAGACTTCCATTACTACTTTCAACAATGGATAGAACAACTAGACATAAGATCAATCAAAATATAAAAGATCTGAACAGAACTTATACTAACTAGACTTAACAGAAGTTATAGAACATTCCACACAAAAATAGAAGAATCAAGTGCCCACAAGACATTCTCCAGAATACACAATATAGCAGGTCATAGACAAGCTTCAATAAATTTAAAATGATTAAAGTTATACAACATACGTTCTCTGACAGCATAAAATGAGACATCAATAACTGAAGGAAATTTAGGAAATCCACAAATTTGAGGAAATTAAACAATACACTCCTAAATAACCAATGAGTCAAAGAGGTCACAAGAGAAATTAAAAATGAAATGTTGAAAATGAAAACACTACATAACATACTGTATGGTTTGCAGATAAAGCAGTGAATATAGGGAAATGTATAGCTCCAAACACCTATATTAATAAAAAAAGTCTCTAATCAATAGCCAAATCTTCCACTGTAAGAAACTATAAAAAGAAAGGCAAACTAAGCCCAAATAAAGAACAAGTAATAAAGATTAAAGAGGAAATCAGTAGAGAATAGAGAAACAATAAGAAAGGCAAGATTTGGTTTTTGGAAAAGATTTTTTAAAATTTACAACCCTCTAGAATGATTGACCAAGAAATAAGAAAAGTTTCAAATTACTAAAGTCAGGAACAAAAAAAAAGGGATCATCATAACTGACCTTAAAGAAATAAAAAGATTTATTAAGGTATAATTTGAATAATTGCCTACCAACAAATTAGATAACCTAGATGAAATGGATAAATATCTAAAATGATATAAACTACCAAAACTTACTCAAGAAGCAATGGAAGGCTGGGCAGCATAGTGAGATCCTGTCTCTAAAAAAAAAAAAAAAAAAAAAAAATAGGTAAAAAAATCACCAGGTATGGTGACATGTGCATGTAGTACTAGCTATTCGGAGGCAGAAGGCTGAGTTGAGAAGATTGTATGAGGATGGTTGAGCCTACAGTGAGCTATGATTTTGCCACTGCACTCCAGCCTGGTGACAGAGTGATAGAGCGAGACTCTATCCAAAAAAAAAAAAAGAAGAAGGAGGAGGAGGAAGAAGAAGAGCAGGAGGAGGAGAAGGAGGAGGAGGAGGAAAGAAGAAAGAACAAGAAGAAAATGAATTAGTAATCAGAAAACTTTCCACAAAGAAAATCCTAGGACCAGATGTCGTTAGTGGTATTTCTTCCAAATGCTTAAAAAACAATTAACCAATAACCAATCCTTTACAAATTCTTTCCCCTCCCCCAAAAAATACAGAAAAGGAGTTAACACATTGCAATTCACTCTACAAAGCCAAAATTACACTGATATGAAAAGCAGACAAAGTTATTATAAGAAAACTACTCAACATACTTCATGAATATAGGCACAAAAATCTTCAACAAAATACAAGCAAACCAAATCCAGTGGCTCATGAAAATAATTATACACTATGACCAAGTAGTATTTATTCAAGGAAAGCAAAGATGTGTTCAACATATGAAAATCAATCAATGTTATATACCACGTTGACAAGTAAAGGGCAAAAAAAGATAATCTCTGAAAAGGCACTTGGCAAAATCCAACACTCTTTCATGATAAAAACACTCAGCAACCTGGGAGCAGAAGAGAAATTCCTCAACTGTAAGTGATAAAGGGCAGGGTCCTCCTCCTTATTTTCACTCAGCACCTAGAAGTGTGCCTACCATATAAAAGCTTTTAAAGAAGTATTTGCTGAATGAATGACTTAAAACCTGTCTCAACACAATCTTGAAAATTATTCTTATCACCGACCCATTAGTATATTAGGAATTCTTTGGATGGACTTTCTCAGGCCTCTGAAAAGACATAAAACTAATTAGTTTTAGTCCTCACATCTTTTAACTCCACTTCTTCCTTCCTTTAAATGAAGTATTTGGGGGTTTTGCCTCTCTAACAAAAACATTCCTAATCAAATGGTTAAGTGGAAAAAACTTACAATAAAATAACCCTGGGATTTCCAGTTTTGTAATTTCCCTTAAGTATGTTTGTTGAAAAAGCACCAAACATACACACAAAGCTTGATAACACAGAATATTTCCTTGGAGAAATATTATTTTCAATAGTGTTTTTAAACATGTGTGTAAAAGATTAATAAAGCAAACCACTTCACCAGCCACATGACATTATTCCTAAAGTGCATCTCCAGAAAAAGAGAGATGATCGTTTCTAATAGAAGCATAAGCATTTTATACTGGTATTTTGAACATGACATCTCTCTCTGTAAAATGATTTTCCAGTTTATTAGGGAATTGGATGCAAACACATACATTAAGTGAAGCAGAGTAAAATGCACCACTGTATATATAGATTTCCAATCAAAACGAGCAGTCTCTTATCTCTCAGTGGGAAATGTGTGAGATGAATTTCTCACTTACCCAATTAATTTATACTTTAGTCACCAGTGCTGGAAGGTAGCTTGGCCTACTTAGTGGTCTAAGGCTAGAATGAATAATAATAATTCACATTTATGAAGGGCTCCAGAATATTAATTATTTAATCCACACTATATCACTGCATGATAATTCAGAATTATTGTATGTGCTTTTTAGGCTAGAGAAACTGATCTAAATCAATTAAAATCCATGCTAAAAGCAGAGTTCCTGGCCTTCAAGTTGGTACTCAGTCTATTTTTGCATTGCCACTTCAGCCCTTTGGACTCTACGATGGGTTAATTAACCTCTCTTGCTTTGAATTTGTCCATAAAGTGGTAATAATAAGACTAACCTTATAGTAGTATATTGTGCAAATTAATTGATTTTTGGAAAGCACTTTCAGATCTATGGAAGAAAAGAATTAATTGTAAATATCTCAATTGATTTCAATCATAAATGATCATTTTTCATATCATTTATCAACAGAAATAGTGACAGAGATATTGAATAATATATAAAATGATGAAAAATTACTTCCATCACTCAAAGAAAGAGCACTTGAAACTCCCACCTCCAGTCAGCCAACCATGACTCATTCATTGGAAGAGAAGCTATGATTCATTCCTTTCCACAACTACCCAGGCTAACATACATTTCCCAGTACAATGAGAATACTGGCTATTCCTAACAATATAGTCTGTCATTATGGGTTGTATTTTAGATGATATTCCAAATTCTTTGCAGTTTGGAATGTAAGTTAAGACAACATTTATTTTATTTATATTTTGCAGTGCACTGAATAGCGGTGCAAAACTTCTTTCTGGAAATATCTTATTAACACATTTACTTTTAACTAAACATTGTATGGCTTCTATGAAGATGCTATCAACATTGTAGATCTTAAAGAAGAATTATTTCATTTTTATATATACTTTTTAAAGAGAGTTTTTCTACATAATAGTTCTATAAACATGCTGAACTTGATTCTGAAAAAAATACAACTAAGTTATTTCATCTTAAAACTGCAAATAAATAATTTAAGGACTTTTATTTCAGACATGAACCCAAAGTTGAAGCTCCAAAGCCATATAAACCTAGAATTATATGGTGATAAAATGTTGGTGCTTAGTGCAAAAAATGAAATACTGAACCTTAAAATGTGTCTAAAGGATGGTTTGTAGCCATCTTCAATCAAAACTCAATACTCATTGATTTTTTTCCCAAAATGGGAGGCCCCATTCTCCTCTGAGTGGAGCTCTCCCCTCAATACTGTCTCCACATTTCCACCAACCAGAAGTATACACTTAACACAGAACGATCTTTTAAAAGACACAAACTCTAATCAAATCAAGAGGCACATTTAGGTCCTGGTTTGGAAAGGAAATAACCATAATTAGAATGTGCAAGTAGACCTACTCCTATCTGTTAACCCAGTCCAGAATGTCAGTGAATCCTTAGTAAAAACAAATCCTGAAATCCAGAGTCAACCAGGGTATCCCAGATCTTGATACCGATCAGGATCTCATTTAATCTGTCCATATTAAATGCAATAGCCTCCTCAGTATAAAGATGTGTGTGTATATGAAATGCATATGTCGTGTGTGTGTGTGTGTGTGTGTGTGTGTACATATATATAGGATAAAGGTTCCGACAGCTATATAAAATCCTATTTCAACCTACTTAACAGACACACAACATCGTAAACAAGAAACAACAGAAATGCCCTGAATTAAAACCTTATTTCACCTTTCTTCATGTAGTTATGAATTTATTGCTACCTTTATTTTATGTATTAAGACAACACTGCTTTTCCATGTAAGCTGTCACAAAGGGTTAAACATCGTTTATATGTGCCTTTGGCATCATTTTTAAGTAAAGAAACTTTCCTATTCAGAGTCAAGGAAGTTATCCAAACAAATAAAAATAATGGGACAATTCAAATTAAGATCATTCAAAATTGCAACTTTGTGACAATTTACATAAAATTAGTAAATAAAAAATTTGTATGTGATTACTTAAAGTATCTATTTGGTTTAACAAAAGCTCAAGATTAACATCCACTAAGAGGGTTATTATCAAAAAATAGGAAATATCAAGTGTTGGCAAAGATATTGAGAAATTGGAGCCCTCACGCACTGCTGGTAAAAATGTAAAATGGAGTAGCTACCATGAAAAACAGTTTGTCAGTGCTCAAAAGGCTAAAATTAGAATTACTATATGATCCAGAAATTCCACATTTCTGTATATACCCATAAGCAGGGACTAAAACAAATACATGTATATCAATGTTCATATCAAAATTATTAACAATATCTATAAGGTACTGTATTAGTCTGTACTCATGCCGCTAATAAAGACACACCCGAGACTGGGTAATTTAAAAAGGAAAGATGTTTAATTGACTCACAGTTCCACAGGGCTGGGGAGACCTCAGGAAACTTACAATCATGGCAAAAGAGGAAGCGAACATGTCCTTCTTCACATGGTGGCAGCAAGAAGAATGAGAGCTGAGCTAAGGGGAAAGCCCCTTATAAAACCATTGGATCTTGTGAGAACTTATTCACTATCACAAGAATAGCATGAGGGAAACTGCCCCCATGATTCAGTTACTTCCTGCTGGGTCACTCCTACAACACATGGGGATCATGGGAACTACAATTCCAGATGAGACTTGGGTGGGAACACAGCCAAACCATATCAGGTACCAATGCCTATCCCAATGTCGATTCCAATATCCATCAATAGAAGAATGAAGAAACAATATGTGGTATCTGCCTACAATGGAATATTAGCCAGCCATAAAAAGGAATGAAATTCTAATATATGGATAAACCCTGAAAACATTTTGCTAAGTGCAATAATTACACTAAATGAAATAAGCCAGACACAAAGGGACAAATATTGTATGATTCCACTTACATGAGTGTCTTAGTTTGTTCCTTCTGCTATAACGAAATACTTTAGGCTGGATTATTGATAGATAATGTAAATTTATTCCTCACCCTTACAGAGGCTGAAAAGTCAAAGATGAAGGGACTAGGAAATCTGGTGTCTGGTGAGGGCTTGGTCTCTGTTTCAAAGAAGGCAACTTCTTACGGCACCCCCACACGGAGAAAAGGCAAAAAGAGATGAAATTCTTCCCTCAAGCCCTTTTATAAGGCCACTAATCCCCTTTATGAGAGAAGAGCTTTTTTGATCTAAACAAAGGTTCCAATTCTTAATACTATTGCACTGAGGATTAAATTTCAACATGAACTTTGGAGGGACACAAACAGACAAACTATAGCAATAAGATACCGAGAAGAGGCAAATTCATAGAGACAGAAAATGGATGTTACCAGGGGATGAGATGGAGAGGAAAATGGGAGTTACTGTTTAATGGGTACAGGGTTTCTGTTTGAGAAAATGAAAGTGTCCTGGAAGAAGACTCTCAGACCATAACTTCAGGACTACACTAAACTCCTGTCAGCCTAAATGAGTTACAAAAGTATCTGCCCTGCCTGCATTCCCTTCAAAGCAAGGAAAAATAGCCATGATGGCTGCACAAGACTATGAAATTAATGCCACTGCACTGTATACTTAAAAGAGTTAAAATGATAAATATTATGTAATGCCATATATATTTTATCACAAGAAAGAGCTCAAGACTAACAGGAATTATTTTAGTATATTTGTTCAGAATTATTTGGTATCACTTGACCCATTATATTTTCATAGTAACTAGGGGTCTTTAATTTGTTCCCAATAGTAGTGTGTGTGTGTGTGTGTGTGTGTGTGTGTGTGTGTGTGTGTGTGCATGCACGGGCACATATGCTAGCGTATATACCTGTCTACAAGTTACAGTTTCTATGGAAAAAGGTATACTCAGAGTTCTAATTTATTAGATGAGGAAATAAACATAAAATTTCCCTTTGCAATTTTGCTGACGTTTACAGCAAAATATCCTTCTTGAGGTTTATTAAACTCTAATCGTTTTCCTGAAAGATTAACAACAATTATCATTAAAGTTTAAGCATTTAACTGTGACTACTGCAATAAATCTTATTAAAATAACTGAAACATACTTTTTTCGCATGTGGCAACCTGTCTCTGAATCACAACCATCTGTAAGTGGTGATTGCCTGGTGCACACAGATGGGAGTAAAACAACTATAAAGCTATACCATTCTTTAATCATCAGTTGGTACCAAACAAACTGAAATCTGAGTCAGATTATTTGCATTTGAAAGATTATATGATCGCTGTAATTAATAAATGCTCATCAGATTTCTGATATAAAATGTGTTATAGCTACCTGATTGAAAATAACACTTGAACTATGCAGCCCCTCTTTCTAATCTCTGACAGCCTATAAAAAAATCATATATTAACAATAGAAGAGCAAGTTTCAAGTTTTTATAGCACACAATCCTTTACAGATTTAAAATGACAGAAAAGGGGAAGAGAATAATTTATTCTTTCTGGCTTGCAACACAGAATCAGGAAGACTCTTGGTCCATAACTTCACGGCTACACTAAACTCCTGTCAGCCTAAATCAGCTACAAGGGTGAGTATCTGCCCTGCCTGCATTTCCTTCAAAGCAAGGAAAAAACAGACCCAAGTTACTCACAAAGCCCAAATCATTAAATAAGAATAAAGCAAGCCGAAAATCAAGGAGATTAATATCTTTCCACGTGTCACCACATGTTAGCTATTAAGATCGACGTCTATTGTGTTAGTAATCAGAAAATAGAGAAAGGTTTTATCACTGTATCATGACAAAAAGCACTGAGTATGGAGTTGGACAAGCTTTACTATCAATTGTGCATGCTAATCACTGGGCCAAATTACTTAACTTTTTTTTTTTTTTTTTGAGTTGGAGTCTCGCTCTGTCACCCAGGCTGGAGTGCAGTGGTGTGATTTTGGCTTACTGCAACCTCTGCCTCCTGAGTTCAAGCGATTCTCCTGCCTCAGCCTCCCGAGTAGCTGGGACTACAGGCGCGTGCCACCATGCCCGACTAACTTTTGTATTTTTAGTAGAAACGAGGTTTCACCATGATGGCCAGGCTGGTCTCGAACTTCTGACCTCAAGTGATCCACCCACCACAGCCTCCCAAACTGCTGGGATTACAGGCATGAGCCACCGTGCCCAGCCTACTTAACCTTTTGAAGGCTCAGTTTCCTCATCTGTAAAACAGAGAGAATAAGATTCACACACATACACACACACACACACACACACACACACACACACAGAGGATTCCTGTAAGGTAATCTAAGAAGGTACTTAGCACAATTGCACATAAGATGCATTCAATGCATTTTTGTTAAATGAATAAGTACTACGACAAGAGGTAATGGCTACCTTAACATCTAAGTGAGTAATTTTCTCTATAGGTCTTTTTCAATCTTGATTGATTTCAGAGAATTTATTACTTTGACAAGAGTTAATTTAATAATTAAAAACGTCTATTGAGATAGAGTCAGACTGCCTAGGTTTAAATCCTGCTTCTGCTATCTACTAGCTGTGTGACTTTGGCAAGTTACCTAACTTTTCTGTGCTTCTTTTTACTCATGTATAAAGTGGAGATAATAGTAATCCACTCATAATACTGTTGGGAGTATTAAATGAGTCAATATATCTAAGTTGTTTAGAACAGTGCCAGGCATCTCTTAACTGTTTAATAAATATCAATTCGCTGCTATTCATATATGTGCTGATCACTGGGTATATAACAGAGGACAGGCATAGTCTTTGACCTCATGGAGCTTACAGACTGCTGGGGACACAGACATTAAAAAACAATTGCAAATTGAAAGAAAAGGGAATAAAAGAGAAACCTGAATACAATCAGGGCTGACCTAATTTAAACTTATTATTTCATGCCAGGTTTTTCATCCATAAAATCTCAAAATGTTATCTACATGACAGTTATCTATATGAGAATTGTAGGAAATATATAAGTATCATCATGTGATGCCCCCTAGTAAAAGAAAAACCTCCATACGTTAGTTTCTTTCTTCCCATCTTTCCATGGTGTCTGACTGTTTTGATAAGAACTTGCCTTTTTCACTGTTTGTCTGAAGATCATTATTATTATTATTATTTCTAGGGAAAAGTTTCTTAACCTCAAATGACCCCATTCTTTGAGACGCCAGATGCTGAAGAATATTAAAATTATATTTAAAGCAGTGTTACATTCAAATTAAGATGTATTTTCTGCTAGATTACATTTTTAAAAGACAGTCATCACATATTATATACACTTAGATATGAAATGACTGCATTTACATTTGAACCAAAATAAAAGATGAAAGTGGTTAATGAAGTTCTAATTCATTGCCTTGAATGTTTTTAGCCTACTACATCCAAATTATTTTTTTAAAATAACTATCACTAGAAAGGCTAATGCAGAGCAGATGACACCCCAAATATTTGCAATAGGTCACATGAACACCGCTGCGACATCTCAACAATTGACTATAATAGATTTAAGGAGGAATGATAGGCTGTCTTGACATTTAAATAGACAATATTTTCTATTAAATCTTTTTTTAAAAAACCTTGATTAACACCAGAAATATTTCTCACTTTACCAAAAGAAACCCTCATTAAGGAAATTTTCACTGAGTTACATACAATATGCTCATCTGTGCACCATGAACTTGTTTTTACTCTATATTCAAAGCTGTATGTTTATTTCTCTGTTCTAGTTCAGTTCTAAAAGCCAAAAATACGAAACAGATGTGGTGACTTTCTGTGTACTGTGAAGCACAATTATGCTTCTTTGAATTGCTTAGGCTAAACAGTTGCCCTCCCTAGAGCATATCGAAACTGCTTGAGATTCTTTACAGCCAAGAATCCAGCTTGCTACCTGTCAGGAACTAGAATTGGCAGGCCACAGCTGGTTGATTGCAGTGGAGGCTCTGTACTGTCCTCCTAACTGAAGCCTATGAAACATAAAAAACATATATGTGTGTGTATATATATATACATATATATATATGAAAAAGTTCAGCTACATGTTGTCTTATCCTTAAGTAGTTGAGCTTTTTAATAGTGCATTTCAAGATTCCCCTTGTGCATCAATTTATCTTCACAAAAAAAAAAATTCAATTTGTCCTGCTTCTGAGTTCACAGACAACATGGGCTAAGAGCATACAATGAAAATCTTCCAAGTCACTTGTTTCAGCCATGACTCTTTCAAACTGATGTCTACCAGATTAGCCTATGTTTCAAAAGCACATAATGTTGATTTTTCTTTTGCTGAGAATAGTTTTAAAACATGTGGAAATTGCTATAATTGAAGAGAAAGCTTTAAACAAATGGTAATTTTGCTCTCAAAAAGGAAACTTTCTTCAGGCTGTGGGAGGTGAGGAAAGGAAGTTTCCTTTTCTTCTAAAATGAGTGAATGCTGAAAATAATGGCATTCATAGACTCCATTGATTTGTCAGTTTACAACTTCAAAAGGATTTTGAACAAAAGTTAAAGGTGGACACATTCATGTAGGAACATTTCCAGAGTGCCATGCTCATGGAGGTTATAAATTTAATACAAATAAGCAGACCAGCAGTCCCATAAGACGCATGTTTTTCATCAAAGGAAACAATGCAACACCATTCATTCATTCGCATGCATTTATTTAATGCAGACCTAGGCATTATGTTCTAAGGGACGCTGAAGATACCGAAATGAAAATACTAAGTATGGGCATCAAAATGTTCATATGGAAAGGGGAAAAAGACATTTAAAAGACATGTAACACACAAATACAATATTCTTACCACTAATGAGGACTCATTTCCCTCCGTAGTCAGGCCTCTGGGTCTTAGGATAATAGAAATGAAGATCGGGAAGGCAGAGACATGTGGCCTACATAATCTTAGAAGATTTTATTATCATTTATATCTAAGAGTCAGGCCACGTTTTCAGACCAATTGCCAAATTGCAATGACTTCTCTAGTCTCCTCCCACCAATTTCATCATTCTCTCAACATACTACTCATGCAAAACTGAGAGGGTGAGAGGAAATATACTCAGGAGGGCTTGCTACTTTTGCTCTTTATCCCATGAGGTGTCTGATCCTATCTGGTCATTTCCAGTTTTATTGACATATTATGATACTTTTTAAGCACCTAGCAACATTGAAGGGATAATCTGGTGTTCTTCCCCCTCAACATCACTGCTGGATATTGTACAGGCTATTGTTCCTGTATCCCAGACCCACCCTCTATTCTGGAGGCTTTCTAGTGTTCTGGGCCCTTAAAGAGAGGTCTCTTGTTCATGTGGTTTGACTCAGATTTGGTTGTGCATGCTCAGAGCATAGGAGACACCAATACACAATGTGGTGGCTGTATCCTGTGGCCAGTCACGGCCTACATCAAGGAAAAGGACAGCTGCCATAATTCAGGTTTTAGATTGTTGCATCCCAAGCAGAAAATGGAATCATTTCAGTACTGACTCTGCACGAACTCAGCTCTTATCTTCAGCAGGGGCAGATACTTTGCAGCAGGATACAGAAAGACTGATTCCAGCCTCCCTCCAATCACATCACCTCAAATTTTTCTGTCTTACACCTACACCAAGTCCTTGAACTTAGATACAAATAATTAATGCATCTGTCCTGTGGTTGCATATTATGGGTTAAAGTAGAATATTATTTGATAGAAAGTCCTTGAAGTACAAGTGAGTGAATCACAAAGGAGTCAATGGATCCCAATCAATAAAACTGTAAAACTCTGCTTGTTTAAAGTAAGCACTGTAAAAGACTTCTGAGTTTGGAAGCATATTCATTGCACAATGTATTCTACTTCCACCAGTTGAGGAAAAAAATAATGACTCCTTAATCAAAGCCATCCTGCCTTAAGATTCAGCAAAGTAAGAATGGAGAAAATTTGCCTCTGTTCATAGTCTACCATATTAATATTACTTTCAACAAATATGAATACTGTACTATAATTACTATGTAATCATACACTAAAAGTATGCCAGGAACAAAGAGGAAAAGAGCACCTAAGAAAAATTTATTTAAAGACTTACACTGTTTCTAACAAGAAATAGATTCTACTTAGGGCAGTTGATAAAGGCTCCAGCTAAGATTATGCTACACTTCATCTGAGACAAGTTTGCCAGGGACAAAAGCAGGCAGAGAGAACACTGTTGGCTGAGACAACAGCCTGTGCAAAAGCCCAGCAACCTGAAACTACCTGAGAGCCTGGGATACGTTACCGGGATTTGAATCAAGGAATACAAGAGATAAGGCGTATTAGCATGTATGGGGTTTGAACTTATTCAGACAACGCAGTGTCATTCATGGTTTTAAGCAGTGGTGTAATGTGATCAGATAGGAAGCAGATAGGAAGCAGATGATAGGAAGAATCATTTTCATACACAAGTGCCACTACGAATAATTCTCTATGTGTATAAATATATAATCCTGTATATGCATAATTTGCATCACAAGCTGTTAGGTGCATTTCTCTTGGAGAAGTTTGGAAACAGTAACTTACCAATTGAATAGACAAGGTAGAGAGACTATGGAAATATGCTGAATAGCTTCTACAGAAATCTCCAATTACAATGAACTTTAATTATTCAAGAATAAAAAATGTTATTTGAATTGCAGGATTCTGAACTGTAGAACTTTCAATGTCACTGCTACATAAGCTGAAAAAGGGTAGTGTTTTTAAAATAGAAAAGGAAAAACATTCTTTCAAATAGTAAAAATGATAATTATTTAGCATAATGTTTCCCACCCCCATAATAGTTTCTCCTAAAATGTGCAATTGCATAGAATAATTTATATACAAATATGTAGATGTATACAAACTAAAATGGCAAACATTGAAAAGAAACTCAAATGAGTGGGCATTTACATATGGAATAGAACTTATAAGAAACTGTATTTTTGTGATAATGAGATGTTTTCCAAGCTCTCCTTCATTCTGGAAATTTACTCAGAGACAAGTCCATATTTCCATAAGACAACAGAGAAATGCAAAAAGCAGACTTACAAATCTGAAAAGACAAGAGCTCACTTAAGAAATGGCCCTTGTGCAACCTCAAGTTCAGTGATGGGTCAAAGAGTGGGATGAAAATTCTCACGACACAGAAAGCAGAAAATCCTTCAGTAAAGATTTGGCTGATTTAGATTATATATTATATCAAGCCCCATGAAACTTTAAATGGATTTAGACAAGTTTCCTGTTTGGGAACATTCTAAGAAAATCATTAACTATCTACTGCAATCACAGAAAATAAGGAGAAAGAAAAAAGTTATTTCTCCATAATATTTAAGAAATAAGTGCTTATGATCTACAGAGCCTGAGTAACAACAAGGTAATTAATGTATTTTCCAATTTTTCTAGGTACTACCACATTTTTAAAAATCAAGATGTAGCCAGCTGCATTGTTGGAAAGACGATGTCTTCGTTTATTTATTTTTTTTTAGATGGAGTCTCGCTCTGTCGCCAGGCTAGAGTGCAGTGGCACAATCTTGGCACACTGCAACCTCTGCCTCCTGGGTTCAAGCGACTCTCCTGCCTCATCCATCCAAGTAGCTGGGACTATAGGTGCACACTACCATGCACAGCTAATTTTTGTATTTTTAGTGGAGACAAGGTTTCACCATGTTGGCCAGGATGGCCTCGATCTCTTGACCTCATGATCCACCTGCCTCAGCCTCCCAAAGTGCTGGGATTACAGGTGTGAGCCACCACGCCTGAGTCTTCCTCTGTCGCCCAGGAGTGCAATGACGCCATCTCAGCTCACTGCAACCTCCGCCTCCCAGGCTCAAGCAATTCTCCTTCCTCAGCCCCCCGAGTAGCTGGGATTACAGGTGCCCACCACCACGCCTGGCTAATTTTTGTATTTTTAGTAGAGACGGAGTTTTGCCATGTTGGCCAGGCTCGTCTCAGACTCCTGACCTTAAGCAATCCTCCCATCTCGGCCTCCCAAAGTGCTGGGATTACAGGAGTGAGCCACCGCACCCAGTGAAAGATGATGTCTTCTCAGGAGGATGTCACATTATATAAGGAAAACAAGAAAAATTGATGTAAAGCCTTACACTATTTCCAACAAGAAAAGTAAGCATATCAATTACAAAACTATTTAATTTATATCTAAAAGCTATATGCAAATTCCTGACTTAATTAGCCAAGCTCCTTTCAGTTACAGGGGACAAAAACCTAACTCAAACCAGCATAAAACAAAAAAGAACTCATTTCCTCAGTTACAGGGGACAAAAACCTAACTCAAACCAGCATAAAACAAAAAAGAACTCATTTCCTCACATGACTAAATTGGGTGTTGAATCAATTTGCTCTAATAAATTCATCAGAACACTGTTTCTCCACGTCTTAAATCTGTTTTCTTCTGTATCAGCTTTATTGTCAAATATGCCTTCCCGATGCAGAGGGTAGGAACGGCCATTAATAACTCAAAGAGTTTATCAGTTACTTTCTATCAGTTCAGTAACTCAAATGGAAAGGAAATGCCTCTTTCCCAGTAATTTTTGCTAAATTCTCAAAACTGACTTAGATTTGGCAAGCTTGAGTAATATGCTCACCTCTGAATCAAGTGATCCCTCCAAGGATGTCTAATAATAATTAGCAAAATTTGGATCACATGCCCACCCCTGGAGCCATGGTTACTTTAGTGCTTTTGGGCATACTGACCAAGAATGAAGGATGGGTAGTTCCCCCAAAGAAGTAATCAGCAGACAAATAAATGCTTGTACTCCACAGACAAAATATGATCATGTATTTCTGAGTTATTTTGTATATTCACTTTTAATAAAATAATGTTTCATAGTTTAAATAAATTGCCTTATCTCTAGGGGCAAGTACTCTATGTTCTAGCCAATGCCCTAAAGCCAAGGGAACTATGGCAACTCTTACTTTACTGGCAAAAATTATCAAGTATTTCTTGGCCCCAGACAATTCCATGTATTTCCGTCTTTCTTTATATTTGGATCTTATCAGCTTAAAATATCCTTTTGAGACACTCTATTTTAGTGGAGTGAAGAGCAGAGTTACTTACAGGTAACTACAGATAGGTTACTACAGGTATTTCGAAAATCTGCATAATAGCAGGAAATAAGAGTCCTGGGATAAAGCCCAGTAAAGCAAAAAACTAGATAGATAATATAAATCTAAAAATCCTAGGAAGTCAATAAAGTCAGGAAAGTAAAACTAGAAATTCAGGGCCCAGGATCCAGGAATTCAGAGGTTTAACAAGGACCAGTATAGGAAGCAGAAAACTGTGGCTCTTAGGAAGAGGATATTCTTCACAGTCTTTTAAAATTGCTGTTGAATAGTGAATATTCAAAGACAAGGTCTCACCAACTAGAAGTATGTTTCCATTCAGAAGTATGAATAGAGTCCCCATGTGCCTTTTGATCCTATTTGAAGAAAAAGAACTAGGGCTTTGCAAGCTTCAAATAGCTGAGACAAGGTGGCCTAAACAAGTCAATCCTAATCATCATGCCTCAAATTTTTAAAAAATTCCCCTTTTAACACATTTCTATTTCCAGTACATAGAAAGACATGACTGGAGGCCACATTGATTGTTACTGCCCTAAATCACAGGAATGTGTAGCATGGCCAAGGTTACTGGCAGACCCCCAATTGGTTCAATCACAGGTCTTCTCAGTAATCACCCTTTCTAGGAGGTCATGTGACTTGGGAGTGGGTCACAGTTAAACTCTAGCACTAAATATTGTTGCCTCTTATATCAGAAATTGAGTGTAGGGGAAATAAGTAAAGAAATAGAATTAAAAAGTAAGAATTCTATTTAAACCTCTAACTGTCTTAAATAAAGGCCTAGGATAGCTGTACAAGTACTACTAATGATGACGAGTTAATGACAATACCAATTGATATGGTTTGGCTGTGCCCCCACCCAAATCTCATCTTGAATTATAGCTCCCATAATTTCCGTATGTTGTGGGAGGGATGCAGTGGGAGATAACTGAATCATGGGGGCAGTTTCCCCCATGCTGTTCTGATGGCAATGAATAAGTCTCATGAGATCTGATGGTTTTATAAGGGCTTTCCGCTTTCACTTGGTTTTCATTCTCTCTTGCCTGCCACCATGTAAGATGTGCCTTTTTCACCTTCCGCCATGATTGTGAGGCCTCCTCAGGAACGTGGAACTGTGTGAGTCCATTAAACCTCTTTTTCTTTATAAATTGCCCAGTCTTGGGTATGTCTTTATCAGCAGTGTGAGAAAAGACTAATACACCAATTTAAGGTCATTTATTAATTTTATAAACTTTTGCTGAGCATCTATAATGTTCCAGGTACTGTGCTAAGTGCTAACATAATGTACATACATACAAACTGGCAAATGATATCATCAGTGTTATTCATAAAAGCATGAAAAATATAATAACTACAAAGGAACATAGGAGAATCCTTGCCAACATTTGAGCCAAGTATAAGGACAAGTAGGTATTTGTCCACTTGGAAGAAATAAGAGATAAGCACTGCTGGCGGAAGAAACAGCACTCATAAAGGCACACAAGGCATAATATATTTGGTAAATAAATAGAGTTCAGTGTTACTGGAGCACAAGTGGGAGGTGACAGGTGAGCTGTAGAAGCTGATAAATCCAGATTGCAAGGAGCAGTGCATATCAAATTACGGTTGTTTGAATTTTGCACTTGCAGTGAGCCAGGAGGTTTTTTTCTTAACACAAGTGAAGTAAGATTATGTTTTTGAGTAATATAACAGTTTCAACAGTGTGGAGAAAGCCCAGGGTGGATAGAGGGTAGGAATGAGGCAATCAATCACACAAGAAATAATGAAATGGTGGAACAGAGAGAAACTCAATTAGAAAGATAGAATCGGTGGGATTTGGTAACCAATTGAGAATAATGGTAGAAAGAACAGAAATAATTGATAATTTATCCAAGACTTCTGACTTTGAAAAGTAAGAAAACAAAGGGAAATGAGTAACCAGGCTTAAGGTCATAGAAGGTAGATCTCTGTGTCTAAGGCAGGTTCCCATCCACTGAATCCATGCGCCCCTTCTGCCTCAGCATGCCGGTAGACTGCATTTCCCAAATCCCTCTAGTTAGCTGAGTCCTAAAACAAGCAGAATTTTGAACCATCTCTCAGATTTTAAGACAGTTGAATAGGCATTTTGACTTAGAAATTTGAAGCTCAAAAGAAATGTCAGGTTTGCAGATGGGATTGAGGACTAAACGTATGATTGGAACTATGAGAATGAGTGGAGAACTCCTGCTAGCCCACCACACCAGACCAATCCATTGTAAGGCACCAAATGTTTATTTGATGATATTATTCCCATAAGATTTATACATAAGATTAAGGAACATTGAAAATATAACTGGATACATGACACTGAAAAAACAACAGGCCAGGTGTGTTGGCATATGCCTGTGATCCAAGAATTTTGGGAGGTGAAGGCGGGCGGATTGCTTGACCGCAGGAGTTCAAGATCAGCTGGGCAACATGAGGAGACCCCATCTCTACAAAATAATAATAATAATTCAAAAATTAGCCTGGTGTGGCCATGTGCACCTGTACTCCCAGTTACTCGGGAAGCTGAGGTGGAAGGATAGATTGAGCCCAGGAGGTCAAGGCTGCAGTGAGCTGTGACAGTGAAATGCTGTCTCAAAAAAAAAAAAGGAAAAAAAAACAGCAAGAAAAATGAAACACTGTCATTTCTCTATCATCTGTGATCAGATGCAGGCAATGTAAAACGCAAGATGGAAGTAGCTAATGTTGCTTTATTCCAATCTATGATCACATAGCACATATGTACAGCTTATTTTCTTTATTATAATGACCTACTAAATAAAAGCTCAAATACTATCATAGTTATTTCTTTATACTCTACAACTCTGCAAAAAGAGTTTGAAGCAACCTAAACACTACATTCTGCAACTTATGAAAATCTTACCCAACTGTTGAAGAACTATATTTGTACCTATATAAAAACATGTAAGTAAACAGTGCATACAAATAGTACTTTTATATTTTAAATGTTTGGAATATGCATTAATCTACTTTCTTATTCCTCTGAGACTTGTGAACAGAATAAGAGAAAATGAAAAATATATATGCTGAAATGGAATTTCTGGGAAAAAAATGTGACATTCTGCTAACATTTAGAAATGTTTCCTTTAATTCCTAGCAGGTTATTTTAGTCAAACTTTAAAGGTTAAATAAGTTTGTGCCCAAACAGCTTTATTTTGCATTATTACTTTATGAACTAAAAATGCCCCTACCTAAAAAAGTCCTCTTAACAGCAGAATAATACTAACCCCACACCAGAAATCATTCCATGAATATCGTAAAAATATAGGGAGAAAAGAAATTACTGATACGTTAGTCATCCTTTGCTTCATTCTTTATTTGACTGTTTCCCATTTAAGTACTGACCAAAGTTGCCTTCACTTAGTTTCAGAGAGCCTGCAGGCAAAAAATTATAGAGGTGTCTGAATTATTTATTTTAAAACTTTGAAGGTGTGTGAGGCATCTCCTATATTTTATAGACTTTGAATGGATCAGTGTCAACTACTAGAAATGTAGACTCAATGATCCTATAAGCCCAAATGGCCATTCTGTACCCAAATGAAAAATGTCACGTGAGCTCTTTGGCCTTGAAGAATCTAACCCAGAACTGGCTAATTTATGGAGATTACATGCTTTAGTCACCAATAAATCTTACAGCCATAATCTATGAAGAAACTGATTTTATTTATATTAAGTTATGGAAGTCAGTGATGACTGTGAGGTGAGCTGCTTAGAAAGTAGTCTGTAAATCCAAATCTATTAGATAAGCCTTTTAAGAACATTTTTCTCTTAGCAACAGAAGGAATGGTACTTCAGTTTAGATTTTATTTCCTTATGGAACATATTCTAGTGGTAAAAATCACTTTGAATATTTTGTGACTCTGAAATGCAATAATTAAAACATAATCTGTTCCTTAGGAACTCTAAATTTTTCTAAATTTGAGATACACAACTGGGATGTCTCAAACTAAATTTAGATTACCTAAAGAGTAAATCCAAATCTTTTTGGAAAATTGATGCATGCACCCACTATATCTGTATGACATGAGAGCATAACCTAAATATAATACCTAGCTGCAGATTCAACAAACCACTTATATCATAAAATTTAAGGCACATCTAAATCATACACTTAAAAAGTCTTAACTTCTTTGAAAGTACAATTTGATTCATCTTTTTCAATTTTGGAGTTTTCTAGTTCAAGATGGCAGACTGTGTACATATTCACTGTCCCTTTTTCCTAAAATCACATTAAAAGAACAGAAATATGAACAGGAGGGACTGGATGTTAAATAGCACTGAGACTGGAAAGGGGAGCCATCAGTAGACCAGAGGATTTTAGCAATTTTGCAGCAAAAACTGGATGAGATAGAACATGCTGAAAAGCCATAGGAAAAGACTGCAGGAGAGGCAAAAGCTATTTTAATGGCAGAGTACCAGGGAGGTATCAAATTTGGAGTGAAAAAGAATAGGGAACAGCATAACACCATGGGGCTGTAATTAGGGAAATAAATTTAAAGGACTTTGCATGGACCAGCCAATCAGTGATCTCTTCCCTCAAGCCCTTCTCCTTCTTCTCAGATGGAGTACCAGGCAGTAGCATTTACCACTGGATAAGGCCATGAAAATCCTATTTTTTTTTTAATTCCTAGGGTTTCAGTAATTTTTAAACCCAAAAGGATAAAAATACCAATTTATTCAAGCCAAAGTTGTAGACCTAGGTTTTCAACAGTTAACACTTGGGGGGAACATAATACTTGATTCCACAATCTAAGCATTCATACTGAAGTTATTGATCACTTAGTTGAACTCCTTTTCCTCACAATGTTGGATGTTTTCCATCTCAAAACCTTTACACATAGTCATTCATATTAATTTTAGTTATGAGATATTTTTCCTTTCTCAGAAATAAGGCGTTCTTTATGAATCAAATAGCCAGCTATATCTGACCAATTTTCCTATAATTATGATCTATTGATTTGGCCTATTGGTGTGATTAAAAATAACTATTTCTTTTCAGTATTTTATTATAAATAGTAGGGGTTATAAAAATTAGGAGTTTCGTCTTTCAGAGACAAAAAATAAATTCTACTTATATCATCATTTCTAAGACTCCATTTTATTTTTCACAGTAACATGCTTGAAATCCAGGTACATCTTAATGATGAATGGTATCGTGTAGTCTCAGTCAGTCAGGAGCTGGTGGGACACAGTGTTTGCCACTGCTTGCTCATGAACTGACTTGGTTGTTATCCAAGGGGCATGTTATCCAAGGGGCAAGCTCTCAACATTTCAGACGGCAAACTATTCAAGAATAGTTCCAGGAAGGATTATGAGACCTTGTGGTTGACTGAAAACTTCCTATTGATACCTGCTGTGAAGAACACATAAACAAGGTGTCAATATCAAAACCTGTTGAAGAGATATCAGTGGCTTAGAAGCAAATCTCGGAGATAATTAGTGCAGCACACTCCTAGAAAGGCTGCATCACCAATGTTCTTAATAGTAAAAAGGGCCAAATTGTATAGAAAATCACAGATGCTGATGACTTTGAGTCAAGTGGTTCAGAAGACTTAGACTCAGAATGGGAAGAAGTTTTAATTATATCTTAATTTATTTTGCTTACATTTTCCTTTTTATGCATGCACAAAAATAATGTTTTGTGTCTAACCAAATCTAAATATTCTGAGCTATAAAAAATGTGCTAGGGTATAACTGGCAGTGAATTTTTTTCTTGGTGGTATGAAAAATAATGATACATCTTTTTTTTTTTTCTTTTTTGAGACGGAGTCTCGCACTGTCACCCAGGCTGGAGTGCAGTGGTGCAATCTTGGCTCACTGCAACCTCCGCCTCCCGGGTTCAAGCAATTCTTTTGCCTCAGCCTCCCCAGTAGCTGGGACTACAGGCATGCACCACCATGCCCGGCTATTTTTTTTTTTTTTTTTTTGTATTTTTAGTAGAGATGGGGTTTCACCATATTGGCCAGGCTAGTCTCAAACTCTTGACCTCATGATCCCCCCACCTTGGCCTCCCAAAGTGCTGGGATTACAGGCCTGAGCCACCAGGCCCGGCCGAAAAATAACAGTACATCTTATACTCAAATGTATCCTAGATTTCATGAGGTACAGTTGCTTTGTTTTCAAAAAAAATTTAGTGGATTTATCATTCTTGGAATGAAATGTTGGACCCTCTTTTAATTGTGTTAATGTTTATTGGACATCTGTAGCTACTGAACTGAGTTCCTTGTCTACCTACTTAGTTATTCTAATCTCTCCTAAATTCTTCATTATATTCCTGCTGTAGCTCCATTTTTTTCCCCAGAATTGTATGGTTCACTCACTAGTTTTTATTCCCTCTTTCCCGATTACAGATCAAAACAAGTACCTATAATGTTGTATAAACAGGCATGTACTTAACAGAAGAAACAAAACATTCATAATTTCCTGCCTATTAAAATCAGTAAAATTAAGCATAATCTTACTAGGTTTACCCTTCTGTTATATTACAACTGATTTTACATTAATTTACCTAATCTTTCATTCCTAAATATGAATGAACAAGCTAAAACTCTGCTATTTCAGGAAAACCAATACCAAAAAAGAGAGGGATAAAGTTGAACAGGGAAAAATGACCCCAGGAGAACAGCAGTAACTCTAGAAAAGAGGATACATAACAAAAATGGTAAATTGATATTATCAGAGGATTTGAGGGGCTATTGTATGTATCCATAAAGGAAGAATAAGCTACTGTGGGGGAAAGAAGCAATCCAAGAACAAATTTTAAAAAAAAACCTTGTAAATTAAAAAATAAAATTAATTTGTATTTTGAAAAGAACAAAAATATTAATCAAAAAAGAAATTGAATAAAAGAGTTAAGTAATCAATAACATTGATAAATGAATGAAGGAGTTAAGTAATAGATTACACTGATACATAAAGGAATGATATGGAAGAAAAACTCAGAGAAAGTTCTTGAATATAGAACAAAAAAGCAAAGATTAAAAATGTGAGCAAAAAGTTGAGATATAGAAAAGAAAAGCATAAATTCCTACGTCTATCATATAAGAACCCAAAAGAAAAAAGCAGAAACTCATAAGATAAAGGAACTCAAAAGAGAGAACACCAATCAAACAAACGGACAAAATAAGATAAAGATAATCTCAAGAAAATATATGAGCTGAAGAAAGAAAAGAATCTTCAGTCCGATAAACCCTGGCAGGCTGAAATTTTAAATGTTTAAATAAATAAAATGTAAAAACCTTATTCAAGAATATGTTAAACAAATTACAAAACTTTTAAGAAAAATATTTATAGTGTTTCAGAGAAAAAGACAAAAAAATTAC
The DNA here is from genome assembly GCF_000001405.40 of Homo sapiens. Taxonomy (NCBI): domain Eukaryota; kingdom Metazoa; phylum Chordata; class Mammalia; order Primates; family Hominidae; genus Homo; species Homo sapiens. The sequence goes on along the minus strand of NC_000005.10, from coordinate 91,523,131 downwards.
CTAAAATAAAACCAATATTGGAGCTTCATTGTATTACTTTTTGATTCTGAATGCTTTTAAGATTCTGAGGGGGAACGAAGTGAAATAATTATTTTAAGATTCTGAGGGGAAAAATGTTTTGAACTTAAAATTCTTTTTTTATCTTTTATTTTAAGTTCAGGGGTACATGTGCAGGTTTGTTATATAGGTAAGCTTGTGTCATGGGGGTTTGTTGTACAGGTAATTTCATCACCCAGGTATTAAGCCTAGTACCCATTAGTTGTTTTTCCTGATCCTTGCCCTCCTCCCGTCCTCCACCCTCCAATAGGCCCCATTGTGTGTTGTTCCCCTATATGTGTCCATGTATTCTCATCATTTAGCTCCCACTTATAAGTGAGAACATGCTGTATTTGGTTTTCCATTCCTGCGTTAGTTTGCTAAGGATAATGGCCTCCAGCTCCATCCATGTTCCTGCAGAGGACATGATCTCTGAACCTAAAGTTCTTTACATCACTAATTAAGCAACTATAAAAATAAAGTGAAGGAATTTTCAGACACGCAAAGAGTCAAAAAGTTAACTTCACTTGAACCTCTTTAAAGGAACTACTTAAAAGATTGTGGCAAACACCACAAGATACTGATCCACTATCCATTTTCTCCTCTTCTTTCTTAATGGGAATCTTATTGTATTGAAGATGTCAATGTTGTAGCTAAAATGATTCACACTCATGTATATTTGGAGGGACAATGATATGTAAACAGAAGCCATTAGGTGAGGCTTAAAAGGAAGCTTTTTAAAAGCAGCTAGCTAAATTGTAAAGAACATTTTTGTCCTTCTCCTTTTCTTTCTTCTCTCTGCTTAGAAGGTAGAGTTTGCAGATTCAGCAGACATCTTGGAGAGAAGGAGACCTTGGCAGCAAAAGCCATGCCCTAAGAATGATGAAGTATAAAGATAGAACTTACTTATGTTCTGGAGTGTAATCGAGCCACCCTATCATCACTGAATTTCCTACATCCAATATTCCTGGTGTAACTATAAAATACATAGATAAAAGGAATGTATGCAACGTATATGTATCGTTTAGTGACTAAGAATAAAATGAAAATTCATTCACCTACCACCCAACTTAAGAATTCAAATATTACCATCATCTACACATACCACTGCATCTATGATATGCCCCGATCACACCCTTCTTTCTCAGAACTGTTCACTATCCTCTATTTATGTCAAGTGTTTCCTGGCTTTGTATCTATAGTTTTATCACGTATCTATGTATCTTTAAAATACATTATTTCAGGTTTGCCCATTTTTTTATATCACATAGTAAATGTTCTCCTGTGACTTCCTTTCTTTAATCAACATATTTTTGAGATTCATTCATGCTGATACATGCAGGCTACAGATAATTTGTTTTTCACTGCATTAGAGTATTCCATTACATGAATAGACTCCAATTTATGTATGCATTCTACTCTAATAGAGGGTGGGTTGTGTCTTGTTGTTTTGTTGTTGTCATCATTGTTGTTGCTACTGTGGCTGTTTGGCTATTACAGATGACAGTGTTCTGAATATTCCTGTACATTTCTCCTCATGCTCATGTGTAAGCTCTCCTCCATGACTGCATGGTGTATACCTACAGGTGGAATTTCTGAGTCATAGGATATGCACATACTCACTTTTATTAGTAATGCTCTTTTCTAAAGTGGTTTGCTAATTTATATGCACTTCAGCACTGTATGAAAGTTCTTAGAACTACACATCCGCTTCAAAACAATATTTTTCAACTTTAATTTTTTGCTTATATAGAGTTGTAAAGTGGCATCTCATTCTGATTTTACTTTGACTTTCCTTGATTTTAATGAGATTGTAATGTATCCCATAGTTTTGCCATTTAATTATCTTTTTGTCCCTGTGAAATACCTATATGTCTTGTCAATGTTTCTATTTGATTATCTTTTTCTTTTTGATTCTCATATATTCTAAAAACTAACTTTGTCCGTTACTGATGTTTCAAATACCTTCTTACAATTTGTGGCTTATCTTCTGGCTGTCTCTCAAGTGTTTTGATGAGGAAAGAATTTCATTTAATATAGTTGATTAGCTATAGCAATTATTTTACTTATAGGTTGTTCTTTTATGTCTTGATTTCAAAAACTATTTTCTATGCTGACTTTGCTTCAATGTTTTGATTTTTATTTTTTTCTATCTTTTTTTTTTTTTTTTTTTTTTTTTTTGGAAACAGAGTCTCGCTCTGTCGCCCAGGCTGGAGTGCAGTGGCGCGATTTTGGCTCACTGTAACCTCCGCCTCCTGCGTTCAAGTGATTGTCCTGCCTCAGCCTCCCAAGAAGCTGGGATTAGAGGCACGCACCATTATGCGCAGCTAATTTTTGTATTTTTAGTAGAGATGGGGTTTCACCATGTTGGCCAGGCTGATCTCAAACCTATGTGTCTTGTCAGTGTTTCTATTTGATAATCTTTTTCTTTTTGATTCTCATATATTCTGAAAACTAGTGATCCACCCGCCTCAGCCTCCCAAAGTGCTGGGATTACAGGCATGAGCCACTGCACCTGGCCTTATTCCTTTCTATCTAAAAACTGGTTTTTGTCTGTGAGGTGATGTAGGAATAAAAGGTTTTTGGTTTGTTTTTTTTTTTCTGTATTGATAACCAATCACAGAGGCACCATTTATTAAAGAGTCTATCTTTTCCAACTAATAGGCAATGCCTATCCTGTTATTAATCAAATTTCCATTTAAGCATGCATCTTTCTGTCATTGCTATTCTGTTCCTGTTGATCTGCCTATAACTCTGCCTTTACTACATTTTAATTACTATGCATTTATAATAAGTTTTGGAATGTGGCAAAAACAAAAAGTCTCCCTTCTACTACCTCACTGTGTCTATTCTTCTGGCATGCTTTGGCTGATTTTATCCTCTTGCTCTTTTGTAAACATATTACAATAGATTGTTTTAAGTTCCTAAGAGAAAAGAAATTTGGAATTTTATTGGAACTGATTGAATCTGAAAATTATTTTGAGGAGAATTGACAATTTCACAACTGTTTTCTACGTATAACTATAAGACCACTCTGCATTTATTTAGTTATTCTCATATCTGTCAGTAAAATGTATAATTTTCCTCCCAAAGAGCTTATAAATCATTGGCAATATTTTTCTAGATACTTTATATTTTTACTGCTATTGTAAATGGTCTTTTTAAAATTATATATTCCAAATGGTTATTGTGCAAAATCAATACATCTACCAACTTAATTTAAATAATGCATAGCATCTTACAGCAAAGTTCTAGTTATTCTGTTTCAAGGGTAAGAAGTCAGTATATACTAAAGGGACTTGCTGAACTGAATAATATTCAGATAAAGAACCTTTAACAGCCAGGCAATGGTGGTTCATGCCTGTAATCCCAGCAGTTTGAGAGGCCGAGGCAGGTGGATCACCTGAAATCAAGAGTTCGAGACTAGCCTGGCCAACATGGTGAAACCTTGTCTCTACTAAAAATACAAAAATAAACTAGCTGGGCATGGTGGTGCGCACCTGTAGTCCCAGCTACTCGGGGAGGCTGAGGCAGGAGAATCGCCTGAACCCAGGAGGTGGAGGTTGCAATGAGCCAAGACCATGCCACTGCACTCCAGCCTGGGCGATAGAAGGAGACTCCATCTCAAACAAAACAAAACAAAACAAAACAAACAAAAACCTTTAACTGGATGAAGTAACTTTAAAATTTTTTTTCACATTTAATTTAACCAAAAAAAAAAAAAAACCTCTTTGCTATTTAGAAGACAAACATAACAAAATATACCTCACAATTGTTCTAAAACACTGTACCTGCCCATTCATCATATAATATTTCCCAGAATGGGGGCCTTGTGGTAGTCACAGAGAAACACCATGTTATCTCTTAACTGGTTTCCATAGCACATAGTACAGCACATTTACAAACTCTGGCCCCTCAAGTCAAGTTTTGAGGTCTTTGGAGGTGGGGCTAGTTTATCTGATCAAGAGCTTTTACTGTTCATCTTTATCCTCTGTCAGTTCAGAAGTGGTTCATTATGACTTTTACTACTCTTCCCTTAACTGCAATTAGAGAGACTTAGCCTGGATCTAAACTGACAACTCTTAGTCAGAGTTGTCTCATGCTGGGCTCAAATGTCTGGCCTTTTGAAGACCTTCCTCCAAAAGTCCTTATATATGCATTGTCTGTAAGGGTATGACTTAAGCAAGTCAGCTCTCTGAAGCTAAAGTATCTCCAAAAGGATGATCTGAAGGTCGTATGCCAACAACACTCCTAGCACTGAGACCACAGTCCTTCTTGAAAGACTACCTGAGTAGTGCACTCTCGTGAACACCACACCGCGCCTGCCATGTGCATACCCTTGCCTGGGTGGTCACCAAGGAACAGGTGTCTGTAGAGGGTAGGGATGGAGTTTGAACATAGAGAAAGATTGTTCACACATATGAATTTCAGGCATTCGGCCATTGGTAGTAAAAGAAAAGAGGCCTTGGGCCAGGGACAGGGTAAGAGCTGGCTCTTCTTATATAGCTATGTTTGTTCACAGAACTTCAACAAGTTTGAGGATCCTAAATTTACACTTTATCTTCCAAGTGTAATTGTCAAGGCATAAGTACAGAATGCATTTTTAACTTGATTAATAACTTTTAAATATTTAGAAATGTTGTATATGGTCCTTTGTTTAAACTCTTGCCTCTGGCCCTGTAAATGTTAGGAGTGTGCTTGCGTTCTAGGATGTGTTTTGCTATTCTCCCAGCCTGCCCTTTGTGTCCCCTTCTCCTCCTCCTCCTCCTTGATGAACTTTAGAAATATCTGAAAAAAAAAGCGTCTTATGCCTGAAGAAACTTACAAAGAAGGGTTTCACATAGAATAGCTCCCGCATGAGAGTGATATTTGTCTACATTTCTAAAGTCTGTATTTACCCTCTGTAGTGTGCATCCTATGCTAAAATATCCAACCACAGTCCATAAACAGACACACTGCAGCTAGACCAATTGCTTTTACATTTTTAAATGTAAAATACACGATGCCAATATCCTGCCCAAAACCCTCCAATGGCTCCCGATTATACAGAATAAATCAAAAGTCCTTCTTCCCATGATCTCTAAACCCTACTTGATGTATTCCCTGGCTACATTTCTAGTCTCTTACTTGAAGTCCTATTACTCTCCCCTATAGTCTGTGCATTCTAGGAGGCTTGCCTTTTTGCAGTTCTCCAAAATCACTGCTTCTGCCACAGGACCTTTGCACCCGTCATTCCCTCTGCCTGGAGTGCTTTTCATTCTGATGCCTCACTTCGTGGTTTCATTCTAGTTTCTATTGAAATGTGTATTTCTCTTAAAGGCCTTCCCTGACATCCTATCCAAAATACATCCTTTTATGCATTATATATTTATAGAACTTATCACTACTTCACCTTATATTACGTATTTGTTCCTGTTGATTGCCAATATGCCCTATTAAAATGTAAGCTCTATGAGGACAAGTACTTTGTTTAGCTCATGTTTGCATTCCCAAAACCTAGAACATGCCTTCATATAGTAAATGCTCAATAAATATTTATTGAATGTACATTTCGCCTCTCCTTCTTAATCACAGACATTGCCAGAGGGACATAGGAACAGTAAGATGTGGATAACCCTTTCTTGTCTGCATAAATTATCATGGGAATATCCCCAGCTTTGGGAATCAGAACCCCAGAGGCATTCAGACAATCCCAACCTATGACTGAGGGCTCAAATATCTTGATATCACAAGTTCCTCTTGTTGGAGAATAAAAAAATCTATTTCTGTTGGTTTTCATAAAATTCCATTTGTATAAGATAAAAATAATTAGCTTCTGGACTCTTGGGGTTGAGAGGATAAAGAAACACTTTAAAAAGTACTTCTTGGAGTGGAATTGAAAATGGGCCTAGGACCAGGGTCAGAAAATTACTTGATATTTGGTAGCATTCTATATTTCTTAATTATTTTATCTATGTGCATAAATCATTTTTAAATTTTAAAAGGAGAAATGGTTTACAATAAGATGAAATATTTTAAATATATTCTGGAAAATAATACATATTAAACTTGTTAACATCTACTTTTTCCCCTCTATTTCCCCTTACAAGTAAGGTAGCATCTTCATATTTTTAACAAAAGGGCACTAACTCTTTTAAAACACCAAGATTCATTTTTGTTCACTAAGTTTCCCAAGGAAGTCAGAGACTCCTTGTCATATATCCTTCTTTCTTCTCATTCCAAGATCAAATAGTACATATTTACGTAGTTATTCTACTCTTATACTCTGCCTTTGCAGATTATCTAATCAGAAAATGCAAACATAATCTTCAGGATTAATTAAAAAAAAATTTAAACCAGTAATGTATTCCAAGCACTTTGCATTTGATACCATGGAACAAAAGACTACAATATTTACCACTGATGAAAGACACGAGGTAATTGAACCCAAAAGAAAACAGTGAGTTAATAATTATAAAAATAATTATTTCTTCATGTGTGAGATTACTTATCCTAATATGTCTAATAAATTTAATTCTTAAAAACACATCCCATTTTTGCAAAAAATAAGAAATATATATGTATATATGTGTATATATATGTGTACGTGTGTATATATGTGTTCATGTGTATGTATGCATGTATTTGTATGTAAATGAAGAGAAAAGGGATAGAAGAGATATTCATAAAATTGCTATGTTACCTCTCAAGAGGGAAATGGAGGTGGTAGGAAGAAATAATAAAAGGAGATTTCCATAATTTGCTGACCAGAGTTCTCTGTGGTTTGAATTTTTAACAATGAGATATAGTTATGCTTTGTGTAACATATATATGTATTATGTACATATGTATGTTATATGTTATACATAATACGTATAAAATCGATGACTATGTTTTAGAGTAGTTAAAACTAAATTTGTCCACAAAAAATAAAATAAAATAAATTAAAAAATTAAAATGAAATCATTTTAGGGCATTGAGAACTTAGTATTTAAACAAATACCATGGAAAACAATCCGAAACATTTAAAAAATGAAGCATTTTTAAATGAATTAACAAATTTTTAATTCTTCTGCCTTTATGTCTAGGTCTCTACATTCATATAGCTATACATAAAGTGTCACATACATTTATCCCGTTAAAGCAGTAAAAATAGTGAAACCAAATCTAACTTCTATAATCTTATGATATTGCAATTCTTAGTCTATACTAAGGAAATGTGGGGGGGAGGGTTAATTAAGTTACAACTTTACGCACTTCTGACATATTTGTAACATATTGACTTTTCAGGGGAAAAAAGTATCGTTTCTAATTATCTTATTTTATCTTTCTAAATGGTAGAAAACTTTAAGGGAAATGATAAAAGTACCGATTTGTTCCTACCTTCCAAATCCATGAACTATTTCCTGAAATCTTGCTGATGGGCTCTCATGTGGAACATTTCCCATCAGTAGCTAGAAATTACCTTTCGGAACCTCCAACGTACTTCAGAATCTCAGGATGAATAATTAATGTAACTGCACTAACAGACCTTTGTAATGAACACGTATTTTATAAGTAAATAACTAATGTCCAATACCAAATGAATATCAATGGAATAGAGATTTCTGGGAAGCAGGCTTGGTGTTTTGTGTGAAGCCTGAAACTGACACCGATAGGCTAATATCCACAAACTTCCACTTTTATTAGTTGGTTTTTAGACCCATTTACTGAGTGGGTCAGCTTAGTTCTCATATTGGCAAATGAATGTTGTTTGTGGCTCATGAAAGAGAATGGAATTAGCTATATCATGTAACCACAGGAAGCCACAAATAATGTTAACTGATCAGCTGGCCATAAATTTATTCTTTCTAACTGTTGAATTATGCATTCAATACTCTGCACCTGAAAGCAGTTTTCTTCTCCTTTCCGGTATTTGTGTATTTGTGTCAGTCTTCTCTACTTTGTGGATCATTTTTACATTCATAGAGGATACTACATGAATCACAAGCTTACGCATATATATACACATATGTATATAAAAAAATTGTACAGCCTCACATGCCTGCATGACTGTGAGACATTTTTGCATTTAATTTAATATTTTTTAAAAGCCAGATTTCGTAGATTCTAATTTAAAGATCTTATGTTGCATAAAAGTAAATAGCTAAAGAAGTACTTATAGAATTGACCACTTTCTCTGGTAACCACCAAGGCAACAATACTTTCTGCATTACTCCATTTTTACAAGATTAGTTTTACTGACCATCTCTAGATTGTTTTCAAGTGAAACTATTTCAAGTATTCATGGGTGTTAATTTTTTCCCTTAGGAAATCCAAATTATGTCTCATTTTCTATTTGCTTCGAGAGTCTCAAGTGAAGAGAAGGAACTCTGACTTTGTTATGATATTCTGTAACAGTTTTACAGAAAATATCCGTGAAGTGTGTTGGCCTAAGGCAAAGGAAGGCTATTAGTGAATGTAAAGAATCTAGCAGAAGGGCTAAAGAAACTGGAAGTAGTGAGGTCAGAGGGGTCTGAGCTCAGCTCCGCACAGCTGCTGAGAGAGCAGGGAGAGCTAACCTGACTTCCCTGCACCACAGTTTTTTCGTGTGTAAATGGTAATAAGGATGTCTCTCTCTTGAAGCTGTTATTCAAATTAAATTAGAGTATTTAAAGTACATGACACATAGTAAAGAATCAATAAACATTAGTTCCCTTCACATCCTCTCTCCTTCCCTTGTCCAGTTACAAATAACACATCTGGAACTTCGCAATATTGAAAAAAATAGACAAATGAAATCGCATCAAATTAAAAAGCTTCTGCATGGCAAAAGAAGTGGCCAACAGAAGAAAAGACAATCTACAGAATGTGACAAAATATTTGCAAATCATGCATCTGATAAGGAGCTCATATACAAAAAATATAACGAACTCAAATAACTCAATAGCAAGAAAACAAATAACCTGATTTTTAGAATGGGAAAAAAAAAACAAACCTGAGCAGCCCTTTCTCTAAAGACATCCAAACAGTCAACAAGTACATGAAAACATTCAACACATCACTAATCATCAGGGAAATGTGAATAAAAACTACAATGAGCTATCACCTTACACCAGGATGGATATTATAAAAAAGACAAAAGATAAGTGTTGACAAGTATGTAGAGAAAAGGGAATATTTGTACACTTTGTGGAAGTGTAAATTAGTATATCCATTATGGAAAACAGTATGGGGTTTCCATAAAAATAAAAAAAAATAGCATGTGATCAAAGAGTTCTACCTCTGGGTATTTATCCAAAAGAATTGAAATCAGGATCTGGAATAGATATTTGCACTCCTGAGCTCATTGCAGCATTATTCACAATAATCAAGATATAGAATCAACTTAATCAACAGATGAATGGATAACAAAAATGTGGTATATGTATACAACGGACTACTATTCAGCCTTAAAAAAAGAAAAACCTGTCATTTGCAACAACATGGATGAACCTGGAGGCCATTAAGCTAAGTGAAATACGACAGACACAGAAAGAAAGATATCACATGATCTCACTTATATGTGGAATCTAAAAGAGTTGAACTCATAGCAGCAAATAGTAGGATGATGATCGCTAGGGGATGGGGGCTGTAGCAGGGAGACGTTGGTCAAAGGACACAAAATTTCAGTTAGAAAGGAGGAATAAGTTCAAGACATCTACTGTAAAATGTGGTGATACGTTAATAACAGTGAATTCTATTGCGCGAGATCTGAATATTAAGGCAACCATGTAGTGGTCTCCCTGATTCTCCTTCTGTCTATACTTTCCCTTCATGGCATTTACCACAACTGTAATTTATTACTCTTATAACTATCTGTTTAACACATGGTGCCTCCACTAAGCTGTGACTTCACAAGGACCATGACCATTTCTGTCTTCCATCATTGCATCCCCAGAACCTAGCACAGGAACTATTGCACAGGAAGTGCTTAAAGAATGCTCATTGAATGGATGTAAATGCAAGCCTTTTTGTCTAAAAGCTCTAAGATCAACTACCTTTTACTTGAATCATGGATAGTCATTACTGGTACATTTCACCATGAAATACACAATTAAACACAATAATTAAACTTCAAGAAAAAAACATGAGTTTTTACCAATACATAATCAAAATAAAGTTCAATATTTCCATGTGTTCCAGATAGAATGCCTTCAAATGGTTTATCGCATCAAATAACATTGTTGGTCACTTTCAAAAGGTATACTGATTCTACTGCAATTATTCTACAGCTACTCGCGTGTGTAGGTTTTGCTGAAAAGATCAATTGGTAACGATCTTTCTATGGAAGAACATAAACATCATTCTTTGATTTGTTGCTAGAGCTGTTATTTGCAGAGCCTAAGGCTGCTTAAGTCTTTACTTTAAACTCAAGGTTTACCTGAAACCTTTACGAAAGGAGAGGGAAAACATTTATGATTGTTCCATTCAGTGAGTTGTCTGTTACTGACATTACTTTTATTAAACCAATTTTAATCTATTAAAAATAGTTTCAAAAACTATGATTGGGATTCTCTCAAAAAAATCAAATAAGTAAAATATTGATTACCACAGAGACCATAGCAAATGTGCATTTTATATTTAATGCAATTTAAGTGAAAACTCTAAAATTGTAAGGGAAACCTGTCCCTTTTGCAGAGTTGGAAAAAGAATAAACTGCTTGAAAAACCTTGATACATGTAAAGAAATTACATGGAGAGATGTTTGTTAGAATAGCAATGGTGAAAACTGCTAAGTAAAGGGAAATCACAGTAGTTAGACTTACCAGAACCAGAAAATTAATTTAATATTAATGTTCACTTACAGGTTTAATTTTAAACATTCTTTTAAAGCTCTTATATAGTAGGTCTTTACAATGCATCAGACATTCTGCTAAGCATCTTAGATAACTTCTTAAAATTTAACTCCCAATTTCAAAAATGATCCTACAATGTAAGAATAATGATGTTTATTCTATAAAGAAATGACGCCCTGTTAACAAGCAAAATCACTAGGATCTTAAATTTCTTTCTTTTCAAAATTCTAATTATTAATTGCTACACTATATTGGCTGCACAACTTTATTAGTTAGACAATTCCAAAGTGAGAAGCATTTCAACAACAATTTTGAAAGCCCAAATTCAAAAACTTCTCCTTATAAGTCAAGTAAATCTGTAATTTAAAATCTGAACACAGAAAATCTAAGTAGTGTCAGCAAATATCTTTGTCACACTTGCCTTCTACAGTCCCTCTGGAGTAATTCAACAACCACTGCAAGCATACTGGCAGAGACTAGGGGATGTCTCTGAGATCCCTACTTCTATCCACATCTCCAAGGAGACCATGATCGAAACTCCCTTCTAAAAGGCAGATGACAGTCAAGGGAAAAATTACAAAGAAAAGGAACAGCTTCTCCTCCAAGGCAGAGATCTCAAATTTGTTGGCTTTTCTACAGAGTACAGTTAGCAAAAGTCAACAGAATCCATTCATCCACTGAACAGTGAGAGAAAATTCCTCCTAGGCACATGCTATGTGGAGTCCTTGGGCCAGCAGCACAGTCCCACTGGCCCCAGTTGTCCTAGAAGACAGCTAGCTGCTTGACAAAACTAAATTGCTCCCAGTCTCTGTGATGAGAGGACTAACTTTGGACCCTAAAAAATCTCAGACCAGAGAATCTTCTTCCCAACAAGTAAGAGAAGAGTGAGAGTTGGCCAAGTCTTTTTTTTTCCTGAGTTTATATATATATGTATATACATATATATGTGTATATATATATGTGTGTGTGTGTGTGTATATATATGTGTGTGTGTATATATATATAATTATACTTTAATTTCTAGGGTACATGTGCACAACTTATTACTAGCCTGAGAGAGTAGAAAGCAGTCGTACAAACTGATAAATGAAAAAGAGCCAATACAAAAGTGGGCAATTTTAGGAAGCACATATTCCAACTATAAACAAACAAATGAAATGGTGTATAATCTCACTAATAGTCGGGAAATTAAAATTTAAAAAACATGTGATGCCACCTGTCAAAATGGCAAAGTTAAAAATATTAATGCATGCTGCGAAGAATGTAGAAAAACTAGTACTTTCTATGCAATGGAGGCCATATAAAATGCTAAAAAGCTCTTAGAAAATAATCTAGTAATACCTATTAAAAGTGAAATTTCAAATATTCTTAAAAGCAGAAATTCCACTTTAGGAAACATATTGGACAACAATGCGAGCATCAGAACATAGGAATATAGGTACAAGGATACTTTTGTGTTAAAAGAAAACTGAAATCAGCTTGAATATCATCTATAGGAATATGATTAAACATACTGTAGTATGTCCATTCCATGCAATATAAACCAGCCACTAAAGGGAATGTTTTAACTTTATTAATCTGGAAGTCTACGAAAAAAGCAAAGTGATGACAATATGTAAAGTAAGATTTTCTTATTTAAAAACCTAAGTAAGTGTATACATGTTTGATACATTGGCATAGACATGAAGAAAGATGCAGAATATCACACATTGTACTATTAATGTAGTTGATTTCAGGGGAGATAGAAATAGACACATATGTGGAAATCATTATCTTTTCCTTTATATATCTCTAGATTTTTTATCTGGCACCAGTGGGATATTATTTTGGAATTTTTTTAATTCAAAGAAAAAAGTATTAGATGAAATAACTATCAATATAACAACGATCTGACTTTATATGAATTTAAGTAATATTTAATTTCCAATGTTTCATATCCAAAATAACTAGATTAAAATGTATTAAATGGATTGCTATATTTCTATGATAAAAATGAAATATATCAATCATGTCCATATATGTATAATTTCTAGCCACACACTTTTTTGAATAAATGCTAAGGTTTATGCTATATTCTTTCAGAGTTATTTTTATCATCTCCACTTTTAAAAAAAGTTAAATAGTTAAATGGCAATAAAACAAAATAAATCAATTCTGAATCTAGAACTTCTGTTTGTACTCTCTAAAATCTATTGCTTTAACTTAATTTTGATGACCTGTAGGAGAAATAGCATTAAACATTAAAATGAAGTATTACTTTCACTTTCTTTTGTCCCAAAGGGTTTATTTTTCTCCTGAACACTCTAAGAAAAAGTAGAGGGTTTCAGTTGTTAGAAAGAATTGTTGGATCATTGTTAAGCTTTTAGAGATAATACTGTTTCTAGTTATTTTTAAGAAGGCTGAAATAGGAGAGAAGTCCTGGAGTATCAGGCCAGACACCAATTTGAACACCCTAATTAGAGAGAAACAATAAGCCCTGGATGAAATGCTTCCTCTGTGCTTTGAAGTGTTCAGGTTTCCTGGGTTAAGGAAACTTGCCATATCTGCAAACAAATGTATGGGAATCATATCCAGACACCTGTTGTACGTCTAGAAAAAAAAGAAAGAAATATTCAACATATCAGGGTCTTCATTCATTCTACCCTTCAACCATCTTCAATTTACTTGAAACCATTTTAAATGAAACCTACCTATCTCATTCCCAGGAAATTAGTTTCAAAAATTTGGTAGATGCTCTATAGAACAAATTATTTAATGTTTCATTTGTTTCTACTCCTGATTGTTTCTGATTACATATTAACTAAATGTCTGCTTCTTAAATTTTTGTTTTCTGATGATAACTTCCCCCATTCGATTGCCTCAGCACCTGTTTGGTCTGCTCTAACATTCTGATTCAAAAGCTGTACTCTTCAGTTAAAATACTCTCTACCCTATGCTCTCTATTTTAATTACCAGAATTTCTACATACTCTATGAGCTAGAAACCTTTGGATCATCATTGTCTTTCTTTCTTCCCCATCACCCACATTAAAACCCATTTATGCCTAGTATTCCATTATTGGAACGCTAAGCATGTGGGAGTTACTGCTCAAGGTCATCACCAAGGCCTGATTTCAAAATTCAAAAAATTGCAACCTCAGGCATAAATGGGTTAATGGATTACCATGTCCTGCGTATCATTTGAATTGGTCTCTTTTATTTCTGTGTCCACTAATATTGCCTTGGTTTAGGTTATTATCACCTCTCACCCAAGTTAATGATGACTTTACTATTCTCCCTATTTGAGTTGCTTTTTATTATTGTTTATTTTCACTTCTGCCAAGTTTTCCATCTAAAATATTAATCTGATTCCATCTAAATGTATTTCAACACGTTTAAGACTCAATGGTCAGCCGGGCATAGTGGCTTACGCCTGTAATCCCAGCACTTTGGGAAGCCGAGGCGGGCAGATCACCTGAGGTCAGGAGTTCGAGACCAGCCTGACCAACATGGTAAAACCCCGTTTCTACTAAAAATACAAAAATTAGCCAGGTGTGCTGGTGGGCACCTGTAATCCCAGCTACTCGGGAGGCTGAGGCAGGAGAATTGCTTGAACCTGGTAGGTAGAGGTTGCAGTGAGTGGAGATCACACTATTCCACTCCAGCCTGGGCAACAAGAGAAAACCCCATCTCAGAAAAAAAAAAAACCTTCAGTTTTCATGTATATTCATTAGTTGATTCATTCATCAGTATTTTTAAGCATCAACTATTTGCCAACTACCTAAGTACAGAAAGGTAAGAAACCATCTCTTTGCTAATTCACATGGCTCCCTGGGTTTTTTCATTAGCATCTCAGGCATTCAAAGCAATAATATTCTTCTTTCCCAAGGCAGAAACTTAAAAACATAATAATATTCTTCTTTCCCAAGGCTGAAACTTAAAAACATTAAATTCAGTTATCTGCTTTTCTATTTTAAACTAAATTTTACTATGCTCTTTCTTATCCCTGCAAAATCATTTTAATATAGGACCTTCAGGTTAATGCCTAAGGAGCATATATTCTGTTTTAACTTAACTAACAATTATTACTAGAGATTGAAATGTGTGTTTGCGTGTGTGAGTTTTATATATTAGTATACAGACATATATATACACACATCTACATTATAATATGTGAGATAGGGATACATATTTACATGTATGTTTGATATAAAATACTCCATTTGGCTGGGCGCAGTGGCTCATGCCTGTAACCCCAGCACTTTGGGAGGCCAAAGCAGGTGGATCACCTGAGCTCAGGAGTTCGAGACCAACCTAGGCAACATGGCAAAACCCCACCCCCACCAAAAATACAAAAAATTAGCCAGGTGTGGTGGCATGCGCCTGTGGTCCCAGCTACTTGGGAGGTTAAGATGGGAGTATCGCTTCAGCCTGGGAAGTGGAGGTTGCAGTGAGCTGAGATCTTCCCACTGCACTTCAGTGTGGGTGACAAAGTGACACTCCGTCTCAAAATAAACAAAAAATTAATAGAAGTACTCGATTTGAATAGGAGAAAGGGACAGAGTTCATATTGTTTCTGAAATTAATGAGCCTGACTGGTGTTCTCAGCTGGGCAGAAGGGCATAAAGATTTTTATAAAGGTGGGCCTAAAGAATAACTATAGGCGGGCGCGGTGGCTCACGCCTGTAATCCCAGCACTTTGGGGGGCCCAGGCAGGCGGATCACAAGGTCAGGAGATCGAGACCATCCTGGCTAACACAGTGAAACCCTGTCTCTACTAAAACTACAAAAATTAGCCGGGCATGGTGGCAGGTGCCTGTAGTCCCAGCTACTCAGGAGGCTGAGGCAGGAGAATGGCGTGAACCCGGGAGGTGGAGCGTGCAGTGAGCCAAGACCACACCACTGCACTCCAGCCTGGGTGACAGAGTGAGACTCAATCTCGAAAAAAAAAAAAAAAGAATAACTATAAGGGTCAAATAAGCGTCAAAGAAAATCTCCAAATGTCTTTAAATGCCACACTCCAAAGCACAAAAGAAAAAAAAAATGATCCAGAAAAAATACCTGTAAGTAGAATGACCTTCTTCCTTTGGTTCTACCAGAAAAAGTGCATTGACTTGCTGGATTGAGTTGTTTTATTGGATATGTAAGCACTGTAGAACATCTAGAACATAATGTTTGTTGCCTTAGTTTAATAGGTAGGGTACAATTTCTTAAGTAAGATAGCTTTGTCCACATCCAAGCCCCATCACTGTCCAGCAGTAAGACCTTGGCCAGTGAAACAGACCTCTTCATCCGGTGCTCTCTCATCGCAAAACAGGAATATTGATAGTACCTACTGCATAGAACCGTATTAGAATGTGTGGTAGGCAGAATAGCAACCCCTCTGCCAAAGATGTCCACATCTTAATCTCTGGAACATGTGACTCTGTTACCCCATATGGCAAAGGGACTTTGCAGATGTGATTAAGTTAAGGACCTTGAGATGGAGAGGGTATTCTGAATGAGAAAGTAAATGCAAAATGCATAGTGCAATATCCCTGATACACTGAAGTACTCACTAACTGTTCACATGGTAATGATGGATGATGATGATGCATGTCTATTTTGGTTCTGATAATTTCCAAAAATTTTGACTGTTGAAATTAAATTGAACAAAAATTCCAATATTTAATCATTTTACCTATAAAAATGATCGTTTCATACAGCTCAACCTAATATTTCTAAGCCTACTACTGGTTCATAGGAATAAAAACATCAGAGGAAGATGTCTGTGCCCTCAAAGTTCATCTTAGCAGTCCCTCTTCAATTCTAACACCTCATGAAATTGTTGTAAGGATTAAATGAAATAACATACATAAAGTAGTAACAGGAGTATTTATAGCAGGCCTGAATACAAGTTAGCCATTATTATCCTCTTCAACCTGAGTTCCAGGAGAGCAGGAACTTCCTGTTTAATTCACTGCTGAAATTTTGCTCCCTCAACAGCACCTGGCACATTTTCAAATAAATTACTTACAAAAAGAATTTGGACCAAAAAAAAAGTCTTCAAAGTTTCTTGTAGTACCTATCCAATATGCCCTTTTCTTAGAATTGTCATGTATTAAAAACAAAAATTTTTGTTGGATTAAAAACTATCACTTGGGTCTTCTTTTGTCAAATATTCTGTTTCTCTTTTGTTGCATGATTTTTCTCCGTCTGTAGCTTACTCATTATTGGTATTTTTTGTAGCACCTAACTTGTGGGCTTAAGAGAAACTTGTTTTCAGACTACCTGATACAAGCAACAATATCTTTTAACAAAGGTGTCTTCTTTCTGCCTCCCTCCTGGGTGAATGAAATACAGTAATCCACATCTGCTTTGTTCATAGCAAGCAGTGTGAGACTGAAGTAAAAATTCAAAGTTACCAAAAATACGGCAAGTGTTAACGGCCTACCAAATATACATGTGCTTCCCCACATTTTCCTGCCTCCTTTTTATTAGGTAAAGACCCATGACCAATTAGTACGGTCTAAGAGAAAAAATGGTATGTGCTTCTTCCTGCCCAAAACATTTAAAAGCCTATGTGTGAGGCTCCATCCCTGCCCTAGTCAAAGAGGCCATGTGCTTCAGACAGTGCATTCATAGGAAGCAGAGTCTCCTATAGCCTATATTCCTTCAAGGCTATTTAAAACAAAGCCCCACACACCCATGTTAGACTTGTAGCACAAAGGAAAAATAAACTCTGTGTGTATGTTAAGCCACTGAGATATTGGAATTGTTTGTTACTGAAGTTCAACTTCTCACCTTGACCAATAAAAAGAAAAAAATATGTATCTAATAACTTAGTGATCCTGGCCTGATCATAGACAAAACATATTTACTTATCCTTACCCTTCTAAAAAACAATTATTTTCAAAATAAGTTTTAAAAATTAGTTTGGAGAGAAGATCAGGGACATGATAAAATAGCAGGAAGCAAAGGAACTAAAGCATTGAATATGATAAATGGAAGAACAGCCATCAGAAATGCAGTAAGACAAAAATTGAGATTTATGCTACTAGTTCATAACACACATAGAAAGAAAAGCAATATTCTAGGTTTCATAATGCCAGGGAACAGACACCCTGTTCAACATTAATGGATATTGTATGTTATTATGCGCTATTATTGCTTGTATTAGAATTCTAGACAGATGTTCACCAGCTGACAACATAACTCTTCAAGAATTTCAAATAGAGACCATCTGAGATATGAGACTGTGAAATAACATTCTACATCCGTGGGTCTCAAACGTTAGTGTGATTAAGAATCACCTAGGGATTTGGTGGGAAATGCAGATTCTTGAGACTTGCCTCTGGTCATTCTGGTACACTGTGCTTAGGGAGATGCCTCCAAACTGGCAGTTTTAGCAAGCACTCCTGCTGATTCTGACGCAAATGGTGCATGTATCCATACTTAAAAGTATCCTTTACTAGGAACAAATTAGTAACTGGCTCTAACATAAATGTAAAACACCCTCCCACACATACTCCAATGATTGCTTTTCCCTACACATTTGTTTTATCAGGGTTAATTTCAATATCATATTAGAGGGTTTTCTCCCTCTTACTTAAATATGTGTGTGTGTGTGTGTGTGTGTGTGTGTGTGTGTGTGTGTGTGTGATAGAAAGGTGTTCTTACACTTATGCTGATATCTAAATAACTCAGTAGTTTAAATGTGTATTTGGTTGAAAATAATCAAAAATATTTTTGTATAAGTATGTGTTCTGTAAGAATGTGTTATTTTCATTTTTACCATCAGTGATGTCATATCTGAAACAGAGGTTTCTTATTACTGTTTTAATTAGAACAATCTACAAGGATTGTTATAAGAATTAAATGAGATATTATATGTAGTTAGAAGAGTGCTTAGAATATAGTGAGCCTCAATAATGTCAGATATTATTAACCACTAGAACATAAGTTTCATGAGAAAAGAAACTTCCTATGTTTTACTCTTTGCTGTAACTTTTGCTCCAACACATATATATATGATAAATATTTGCTGAATAATGGATGGATGGATGCACAGATGAGCAGAAAATGGTTTTATCACTGTCATCTTCTAAGGTTCACACCATTCAACAGCCCAAGTATTTAACCTCACACCTGCTCGGATTAAGTTTCACTGTCTGTCTTCCCTTCCTTGCCCTCAACCCCATATCCTCAACACCCTTAGCTCAGGCATTTAGTCCTGCTCATCCGTAATTCTAAAAGGTCAATGTTTCAGAGTGGCCTCCATTCAGAGTTCCCTGAAGTGAACTCTGTTATTGCTTGACCCCAAGATGTTGCTCAGTGGTACAGGATCTGTGCACATGAGGCTGAGAACTAGTGAGTCCATCTCTATGCCAGGAATCCAGGAGGTCATATGATCATTGTATTCCAGCTACTGAGTGGAATTCAACAGTCTCCAGTGGAAAACATACAATTTGTAAACTTGTATTTGGGCAGCATACAAGATGCTCCTTAGACCATGAGAGAACAGCAACCTGGCCGAGTAAGAGGCTGCCACATCCCCATCTGACGTCAGAGTGTATCAACAAATATCTCTGTGCTGATAAGGGAATAATAACGTTGCAAGGAAAAGAAAATATTAGCCTAAATCTCTTTCAATCTCCTAAGATGCCAGGCAGATGGATTTTTAAAAAATGGTAAAAAAAAATATGTAAAGCCTTCAAAAATCATATCAACTGCATACTATCAAATATTACACCACGTTGTTCTGACAAAGAAACTTTGACTTGCAATACAAGTTACAACACATCTGCTAGTAATTATTACGATGATTTTATTCCTTAATTTTGAATAATGGTTGTGTTCCTACCTCTTAAACCACACAGACATACATTGTACATGACATTAATGTTACATTTGTTTCTCATTATACACGTTTCTCATTAACAACTAATTAGTCTTGATTTTTCTCCTTAAACTATGTACTATTAAAAGAAATAGACCTTAAAAAATGTCAACAGCAGTCAAAGTCAATATTAAAGAAACAAACAGTTCTGGCCTATAGTTAACCTTACAAGCAAGAGGAAAAATTGACCACTCAAGTTCCCTGTTTAAATTAACCAAAAAAAGAGTGTGAAAAAAAGTATGCTTTATACAGCATATATTTTTGTGGAGGAATAAAAAGAGATTAGGTGCACGGCAATTGGAATAAAACTGGATTATATTAGATTTGTGCCACCAATATGTTTTATCCCTGCTTCCTCTCCTCATAGTTAGAGACCTGAATGATGTATGTTTCTTGAACAAAACAACCAAAACATGGTTTCAATAAATCACCCTGCATTTAAACAAAAAAAAAATGCTTAAAATGTTATTTTTAAAATCTGAAAAATCAACTGCCAAACTAAAACATCCTAATGATGTCAAACAATATGCTAGTATAATAAAACTGGAGGAAAATGTTTCATTTTCTTTTCTTTGTTATAAACTCAACAATGTTTGACACCTGTTAGAAATAAAGGATATAAAATGTATCCAGTCTTTAACACCTATATTGGGCTGCACTGAATTTTAAAATATAAAAGAAACCTAATGATTCCATGTCTACTTCACTAATAATTTTAAATAAGTCTTAAAACTCCCCCCTCATTATTTGACTAGAAGCAGAATACTTCTAATTGCTTACACGGCCTGCAGCAATACTGCATCATGGGAAGAGATGCCTACAGCTGTAAGGCTTCCTGCAGTGTGAGAAGGTAGAAGTTCGACATGTCCCCAGCTTTACCCTGCCCATCAAGGGTTCAAAGTAAAACAGTCCTGACATTGACCTCTGAAAGACCCAACAGCTAAAATAGCCTTAACAAGGTATTAACACTGCAACATGCTTCATAAACTGTTGCCAGCTGGAACATGGGCCAGGGAGGTGAGGCATGGGAGACAGAGACTGATGAAAAGAAAAAAAGAAGTCATTTCATGGCTGAAAGAGACAGGGCGACAACAGAAAATTAAAGAATACAAAGTTAGTGGAGTTTTTCTGTATAATTGTTTCACTGGGGACAAAGTCTAATACAGAACAGAGATCAAGTAATATATTACTACTCAAACCATTGGAACTATTTTATACCTTCTCTTTCATTGCTTCTCTTTCATTTCCAAATCCATTGTTTCCATTTGGATTTGGAAAAATGTAAAGCAGGGTTCTTACTGTTTTCTGTTGGCTAAAAAAAATTGAGACTTATTGCTTTGAGAATATTTCCCAAATGTTTTAAGAGAGGGGGGAAGAGGAGAAGAAAAAAACCACCATTTGAACCCCTAAGAAAATAAAGTAGTCCTAATTCTAACAATGACCTAAATCTGTGTTTCTCAAGCTGTAATGTGCATAAAAATCACCTGGAGATCTTGCTAAACTGCAGTTCTGATTCAGTGGGTCTGAGATGGCACCTGAGATTCTATATTTCTAAAAAGGCCCCTGGTGATACTGACACTGCTGGTCCACAAAACAACACTTTGAGTAGCTATGACCTAAATTCCACTGCAAATCAGCAGAAGTTCCTAGCAGATGGAGCCTTTCAAAGAGAAATTGATAATTGGTCTGTTTTACTCTTAGGTGTTTAAGGTAGATCTAATACTTGGCTTAACTTTGTAATTTCTCAATTTCTCTTTTGCATACTCTGGGCCTTATTTTCTTCATGTTTCTTAGCCACATTCCATGGGAACCATGGAGTATTTCATAATTGGTATTTGATTATTGTTTCCCTTCTGTCCTATATATCATATATAGGTTATTTGATTATTGATGAAACATTAGAAACTTATCTCCTCCTAACAAACTGGAAGAAGACAATTTCAGGCTGACTGATCAGGTCACTCCCCTACAGGTACCAGAAAATAATTGCATGAAATTGGGTAGTTACAGTAAAAAACTGAGGAACTGTAAGAAATGGGATGAGACAAAGGCTATGTCCATATGAATCCAAACATCCAGTCTTTTCACCAGGAATAAACACCAACCCAAATAAGTATTTGATAGGAAGTAGTAAAAACTAGTAACTGGTCAACCAAACTGGTTTCTCAACCAGTTACTTGGTGCCATGTGGTCACAAACATTATGAGAAAGAGAGGCTGGGGGAAATAAGCCATTATTATTTTCATGTTCTTTATTGTTATCAAAGATAAAGAGCTTTATTGTCATCAAAGATAAAGAGCTAATAGAGGCCATTCTGGAAAAAAAAGCTGGTAAGAAAAGTATAGGACTTCATTAGAAACTAAATTTAGAAGAGCTAAAAAAGTACGGAAAAGCAAAAAGCAAGGCATGCAAGCAATAGATAAAATGGAAAGGCTCCTTGCAATGGAAAGACTTTATCAGGGAGTCAGGGCTGTGGAGAGCGGAGAGGATCCGGGAAAAGGAAGGAGGTGAAGAAGTCACAGGTCAGGACAGAGACACAACATGACAAAACCATTGGAATGAAGGAAATAGTTGTAAAGTTACATTAACATTCTAAAATATCAAAAAGTGAAAACAGAATTCCAAAATTCAGAATATTTTATCCACAGTAAAATCTACATAATAATGTAAGGACTATAACAGGAAGGAAAAAGATTTTTTTCCTTTTGAGAAATCTTCATCACATAATTTAGGCAATAAAATTCTGTGGATTTTAACAAAGCAAGATATCTTTGAATAAAATGGCATTCATAAAGATAGCTGAGCTTCCTTCTATTACACTCAGTGAGACCATAAAATCAGAAGAATATCTCACCAACACCTTATCACCATGAAGATATACTGTTCTCATAAATGTAGACGGCAGTAGTCAGAGGACACTGTCTTATGTCTGCTTTCTTTTTATTAAAACTACAATTTAAAATACTATCACAAATGGACAACTAAAGTCTAGATCTAAAGCTGTGGCTACTTTTGAGTGAATTAGTACATTCTTAATCCAAAACTAAAAATATTAACTCTAAATAGATTTACTGGAAGTTACCTTATTTTTCTACAAGTGATATAATGTTCTGCAAAAGGAAACACAGTAGAATAAGAGATCTGTTTAGGATAAAAGCACTCCATTTTTTAACTCCCCCCAACCACCAGTATCATCATGTATCTCTTCATCTCTTCTTCTTAATCCACTTTTTCACTGAAAAAAAAAAAAAAATCTGAAAAGAGAGGGCTGGGAAGGAGGTGCAGCAATTTAACTTTAGTCTTACAGTGACATCTAGTGGTGATAAACGGTTATACTAGCGAATGTGTTCCTATTTAGTATAAAAGTAGAAATTGATCCATTAAAAATGATGTTATTTCAATGAGGATCTTCCATCTCTATGTAAGTGTGGGAAGACCTTTCCTGATTGCTTCTACCACTCTGTGTGTCCTTAGGTGATTAGCTTTTATACTGTTTAACACCCATTTGCTGGCTTTTCTGTCTTGCCTGCGTAAGGTGAAAAGATACAAGATCAAGTCTTGTATTTGCTGTACTCAGGTTCTTTACCCATTCCTTATGCTATAAGTTAATAACATAGGTGATTCAAAATAATCGTTCACGCTGGGTGCGGTGGCTTATGCCTGTAATCCCAACACTTTAGGAAGCTGAGGCGGGCAGATCACCCGAGGTCAGGAGTTGGAGATCAGCCTGGCCAACATGGCAAAACCCCATCTCTACTAAAAACACAAAAATTAGCTGGATGTGGTGGGGTGCGCCTGTAGTCCCAGCTACTTGGGAGGCTGAGGCAGGAGAATCTCTTGTACCCGGGAGGCAGAGTTTGCTGTGAGCCGAGGTCGTGCCACTGCACTCCAGCCAGGGCGACGGAGCCAGACTCTGTCTCAAAAAACTAAAAACTGTTTTTTTAAAAAATGTTGTTCAGCATGTGAGCAAATACTTTACCACACGCAAAACCAGCTTAATAGCAACCTCATTTTACTTTCTTCTTCCTCCAGAGCAACTGAACAAACCCGGGGACAGGTCCCTAAGCCTCTTCATGCCCAGCCTTTCTTTCCTTGGCTTCACAATATTACAGATGCTAAGATCATGAAATTTGAATTTAAATAGACGTAGATTTTATTCTTATCTCCTAAATGTGATCTATGTGACCAGGAAACATTGTTTAACCTCTATAAATTTTAGCTATCTTACTGATGAAATGGAGCTAATCCTTACCTCATAGAGTTTTCGGGGGATTAAATTGGATGATGCATAAGAAGCACCACAGAGCTTGGTCCGGAGAGATTGTTTAATGTGTTTGGTAGTTTGCTTTGGTAATTTTCTTCCACTGAATTCACAAGCAGACAAATATCCTGCCAGTTCCCAAATATTCAACATATATGCCAAGCTGTGTAACTTTACTCAGTTTGTAAATTTACACAGCCAAGCTGCTCCCTTTGGTTAGAATACCCTTTCTTCTGGGCCCAGCTGAAGTATATCCTCTCCCAGAAAGAAAGGCTGCCTTAATAATAATGTCTCTTACATTTCTCCTTTCTCCAGTTCCTAGAGCAGCTATTTGGTTCTTGACATGACCTGCCTTGTTTCACTAATACCCCTTCCAACTAGATTTTACACTGCTTTAGGGCAGGACCCAGGGTCCAGCACTGAACAGTTTCATATAATAGGTACTCAGCAGACACCAGCTGTTTATAATTTTGAAGTTTGGACGTTGTGAAGTTCAGGTGTATGGCATTCCCTTAGGCAAGGGTATAAATGGCAGCTTCTCAGTCCACCTTCAACCCACAGATCAATTTTCTTTGATGAAACCATGGTTTTCAAACATCTGACAGTAAATGAATAGACATTTTCCAGTCATTATTAGTGGAAAATCTTCTCCTTGACCCCTCGTTTCCATATAAAGATGCCTTCAGGTAGCATCCCTAGCCTCTTGCCTCATTTTATTTACATGAATTAGGAGTGATTAATCTGATTAGTGGGTGGTGTTCACTTATTAAAAACTATAAGGAATGAACATCAAGGGTTTTTCTTTCCTGTCTGCCCTGAACCAGTGCCAACCAGGGATCTGGGTAAATGGAACTCATGGGATCACCTGAGGCACTATCCCAAGTGATAGCTAGCGGCAGGGGAGACGTAGCAGGTATAGAGGAGGAAGGACAATGGACTATTACCAAACCACCTTCTCCAAAAACTTTCTCACGAAAAAAGTTTTTATCTGCCTAACCCTTGCATCTATCTCTCAACTCAGGCAGAAGAAGCGCATCCAGTTAGCCTTTCTAAACCCTGACAAGTCACATCAGCACCACCACTCTTCCATCTTATACTTTCTGCTTGCCTAAAGACTCTTGAACCAAATATCAAATTTTAAACAAAGACAGGATCTGACCCTACCTTGTATGACCCTGACTTACTCACCTCGGCCTCATCTCAGCTCTCATTTCACTAAAAACTATTTACCAAAACAGGCAGTCAATCCATAAGGCATAGGAGACCAACCTGACTTTTTAAAATATTGTGTTAAAATTTATCTTGATTTCTGAATTGTTCAATGTCTCCTTATATTTTGCATCTGAACACCTCACTCTCCTCCCCTAGTGCCAGCTCCTCTGAATTGTAACCTTCTTCTCAGGGACCTTTCCAGCAAGAGGTTAAGTAACAAGCTCGAGGAAAATGAAGCCAGCACTTTTAACTCATAGTACACCCATGGCAAGAGAAATTTTTTTCTCCAAGCATTTGGGCATAGGGTACGAGGAAGGCCAGAGTTCTTCCTTAGAACAGGACTGGTAGAAAGGAGTTCCCACTCCTCAGGGACTGCTGAGTCTGGAGCTAGGTCTCTGGTGCTACCAGCAGGCATCTTCTGCATCATTTGAAAAAAGCTTGTGTGCAGAACAAAGCCAATCAGAGACCAGCATGATAAAAGCTAGATAGAAAGAGAGAGTCCAGAGGTACTGAGACCCTTTCAGCATCCTAGTTTCCCCAACAATTCCTTCAGGCATGTGAACTAGTGGAGCTGCAAGAGCCACCATGTTTCCTTTCTGCTCAAGGTAATTTGAATTAGGTTTCTGTCACATGTTTCCAAAAGAGTGTTGATCAATTTCAGGATCCCATCTCTAAAAGTTCTTTGATGTCTATTATTATCACCCAAAAAAAAAAAACTTTTTCCTGAATTCTGTTGGCTGGTCTAACCTGAAGACCTTAACCTTCAGGATGGTAAATATTCCTACACGGAGAGCTAAGTATTGTCCCATGACAAATGGAGAAATGTTTAATAACATGACACATTTCGTATGACCTGAGATGCCTGTGGAATTAGAGCCATGCGCTGCACAACGACACTTCAGTCAATGACAGACAAGATATGACAGTGGTCTCAAAAGATTATAATACTGTATTTTTACTGTACCTTTTCTATGTTTAGATCCACAAATATTTACCATTGTATTACAATTGCCTACAGCATTCAGTACAATAACATGCTGTACAGGTTTGTAGCCTAGGAGCAATAGGCTATCCCACATAGCCTAGGTGTGTAGTAGGCTATACCATCTAGGTTTGTGTAAGTACATTGTATAAAGTGCGTGTGATGAAATCATCTAATGACACATTTCTCAAAATATATTCCCATCACTAAGCAGTGCATGACTGTACTAGAAATCCATCACAACTTTTCATTCAAAAACAGCCCCAAAAAAGTTAGGAACTAGTTGAAGTTTGTAATTCGTGTCCTAAAACTTCTTTCTAAATTCCTCTATGTATTTTCAAAACTCCCTCTTAGACATACTGTGCTTCCAACTGTTCCTTGATATGCTGGATTTCAGCAGAACTTGCAGAATGAGAAAATGACCGCAAGACATCTAGAATTCCTTCCCCAAATATCTAGGAAACTTAATAAACCTAAGAGCAGGGAAGTTCTACTTGGAGTGAACCCTATTCCAGAAAATTTATCTCAATAAAATGTCAGACACCTCACCCTACTTTTTCCAGGGAAACTGGGACTCGAAGCTAATGGGGTCACAGAGAGACTGTTCTTCCAAGGGCTCCTGGCCATTTCTGGGTTCTCTGAGTAGCTAATTCCTTGAGCCTACACAGATGACAGGACATTCAGATTCTAACTGTGAGCAGAAATGTATAGAAGATGAATCCTGATTTTTTTAACTTATCATAAATAAGATTGCTTTTAATCACTCAATAAATCATCTTACATAGCTAGAAATCTATAAACTATTATTTTTAAATGCCTAAATTTTGTCTAAAAAGAGGGTGTGGTTTTGTATTGTCACTTGTAGATCACAGCAAGACAGGGTCCAGAGGGTTTACCCCGTCCTCAGCACTAAGATAAGCCGTAAAGGGACTTTATAAGACACAGGTTACCCTTTAGAAGCTTAGAGCAAATAAATGTTTAAGGCAGAGGCTGAAAACATGGGGCATAGTCTATAGAAACTCTAAGTGAGGTGGGAGGGCTGCTGTGTGTAGGTTGTACCCTGCTGGGGTGGTGCTGAAATCTATCCTTTATCTTCTCACCAAACCATGAGTCCTGGAACCACTTTCTAATTGCTCCACCCAGTGGGGGCTCCCTTTTGCAACTCCTCCAGGAAGAAGCAGAATGAATTACAGGACTCCCTAGAGGACAACAGATCCTGGATTTGAAGTTTCTGCTCTCAATAGTACAACCAAAGCAAGTGGGTAGAACCATGGGGCTTTATGTCCAAATGAGCACTACTCAGGATTCCAGTTTTGAATGAAGTAGCAAAGAATAGCAAATAACTTTGATAACAAAATGAGTTGATTTCTGATAATAAAATGAAACTGATAACTAAGTCATTTGCGACTGGTGCAAAAATACCTTTCCACCACATCCTAATTCCTAGAACCTATGTTAAATTACATAGCAAAAAGTTTGTTAATCAACTGACCTTAAAATAGGGAGATCAGTCTGGGTTATCCAGGTGAATCCAATGCAATTACAAGGGTCCTTACAAGTGGAAAAGGTACACAAAAGAAGAGGGTGGAGTGAGAAGGACTCAGCCCACTCTTGCAGGCTTTGAAGATAGGAAGGAGGCCAGGGCATCCCCTAGCTGAAGACAGGACTCAGTATATCTTCCCTATCGTTTGAAAGGGGAGAAAGGCACACAGACATCCTCTAGAATCTGAAAAACAGAAAGTAAATGGATTATCCCATAAAATATTCTTCAGAAAAGAATGCAGATCTACTAACATTTTTATTTTAGCCCAGATTTCTGACCTACAGAACTATAAAGTAATAATCTTGTACTGTTTTAAGCAACTAAGTTTGTGGTTATTTGTTACAGCAGCAATATAAAACTAACGCATTATTTTTAACAAGTCTGCACCACTAATATAATGCTAAATATAATTAAAATCACAAAAAAAATGATAAATGATTTACTTAGGATCTTAGGAAGTGATACTGGAGGAATAATTTCAGGCATGGAGAAAGCCACAGAATACGAAATCCCTTTGAAATTCTCCGTGAATAGAGATTGACTATCCTACCTAAGATGAGATGCCACCCCTGCTGAGACAGCTCACAAACACAAACTGGCTTGTTGAGTCTCTAAGACTAAGTAAATCTGTAATATCAAGACTGGCTAAAATCTCAGAAAGAGAGCTTCCTGTTTCCTGAAAATAAATCATAATGTTTAAGATTAGTGAAGTTGAAACTTTTTTTTAGCTGTGAAACCATTTTGTCAAGTGAATTGCTCCTCAGATGATTAGGCAAAAAAGCAGATTAAAGTATGCCAACGCTGATTGAGTGCTGTTGGAGTCAAGCTTCCCCTCATGGTCTCCCTGACTTCCATCCTCACCAGCGGTATCATGAAAACTTCACTGTATATAAACTGTAGCTCAAAAAATCAAATACTGAATTCTAGTGATCATTATGTTGAAGTGCTTTCAGGGGAAGTGTACTGATTGGCATCTGCAAGTTATTTTGAAATATATAAAAAGATATAGGGTGGGATGATGGATGGATAGAAAGAATAGATATGTGATAACACAAATATAACAAATTAGGCTTCAAAGCAATCTCAATTTCAAAAAGCAATAATTAATGGATATCAAGCATTCACAATTAAGTAGGCAATTGCAAGACCAGTTTTAGCTAAAATTTCAATATTCACCAATCTTATTTGTCCTTGCCCTGTAGTTTAATGGACCTGTAGCATATCTACAGTGTTATCCCACACCTTGTGTGGATACCAACACCCACTCAAGGAGCTTTATTTATTTGTTTATTTATTTATTTTTGAAATAGGTCTTGATCTGTTGCCCAGGCTAGAGTACAGTGATGTGATCATAGCCTTGAACTCCTGGGCTCAAGCAATCATCCCACCTCAGCCTCTCAAGTAGCTAGGACTACAGGTGTGCACCACCATACCCTGCTAATTAAAAAAAAAACAAAAAACTGTAGAGACAGGGTCTCACTATGCTACCCAGGCTGGTCTCGAAATCCTAACCTCAAGCTATCCTCCTACCTTGACCTTATAGGCATGAGCCACCGCACCATCAAGGAGCTTTATATAGCATTTTATTTGTTCTAAAGTTTACCTTAGACTTCCTCTTCCAAGGTTCACGAGCAACCGTAGGTGAAACAGAGTGAAAACTTACTTAACTAATGCAGAATGAAAATTTATCAAGCTAGAAAGAACCATTTTTTAAATTTCAACTTCTATACAATTAAGATAGTCAGAGTCCCCCGAGTTCTTTAGAACTACTTTTAAAACAAAAGTGTGGCTCACAAACAATTATGAAGATGTTAAGATGATCTTAGGTATCTTCTCAGCAGTGTGTAAACTTTCCTTACAAATGCTAGCAATCCTGAGCTGTTGGGAGTACAATTTTGAAAATCTCTTTAGCACAGAAATCTTGACAATTTGAAATGATTTTTTGCATTCAGCACATGATATAAAGTTTACCTGTTTATAAGGTTGACATCAAACCTTTATTAATTTTTCTTTCATTTCACATGAATAAGGACACCAAACTTTTCTGGACTGTCCCTTCTTTAAGACTTTTTTTCCCATAATTTATGGGAAAAAAAACTGTGTCACACAGAATGCAAACCACCCCATCTGACACAATGAGTAATTTTGTGAATGGTCAGAATTCACGTTGGCATGTGCCCTGACCTTAAATACTACTTCCACTTTTCCAAGGGAGAACAATATGGAAGTTGCTAGCTTTTCTCTCTTTCCTAAGCCCTATCCCTTAGTAATGTCTAATAAATCATCACACTTCTCAGAAGACCTTTTTTAGGAAATTTAGACTAGGAAACTTTCTTAGCAAAAGGAAGCCAGGCCTCCAATATAGTTCATAATTCAGAATTAGTCCAAACTAAAGATTTGTCTTTATACCTCCTAAGACAAAATCTAGGGGAAGATTAGAACTAGCATTCTGTATTTGCTGTGTACTATCTAGGAGAATTATTTATTCTGGCTTTGAAGGACTTCTCTCAAGGGAAAATAAAACTGAAAGTTAAAACAAAATTGAATGGCAGATGTGACTTTGATAGTTCTTACTGTTTGTTCTTTTGCAGAGGTGGCTAAAATTGAAGAAATAGAAATATCCCTAAATTCAACTAATTGTTCTCTTCTACGAAACAGTCTGCTGAACAGCATATATTATTTCTCAGAGACTTCTTTAAAGTTTTGACTTATTCAAAAAAACTCTGTAGCCTTTGATATTCAAGGAAATGAGATTGATGCTGAAAGCTTCATGTAAATTATTAGAGGGTCAGAGAACTTAGCTCCATACTAACCTTCCCTACACTTGAATCAGAAAATGTTCCAGAACACAACACTCTTTTCATTTTTAATCCATGAATCTAGGTAAGTCTGGAGACCTAACTGTAACTTAGTTGGATATTGTCATTGCCCCACTGCCCATGCAATTTGTGAACCCTAAATGCCAGCCTTGTGCAATGAATTTTCCAAGACCAATTTTGATGGACATAAAACCTCTTTAATCAGTTTATATTCCTAAGAGATTAATAACTCCTTTATTTGAGTATGTATATGAGTATGTGTATGTATTATGTGCAGAAGAGGAAGTGTTAACACAACAGATTGGGGTGGGGGGGATAAATAAGAGTCATTTCGGCCCGGTGTGGTGGTTGGCACCTGTAATCCCAGCACTTTGGGAGGCTGAGGCAGATGGATTGCTCAAGCCCAGGCGTTTGAGACCAGCCCTGGCAAACATAGTGAGACCTCATCTCTACAAATTAAAAAAAAAAAAAAAACTTAGCTAGCCATGGTGGCACACACCTGTAGTCCCAGCTGTTCAGGAGGCTGAGGTGGGAAGATCACTTGAGCCTGAGAGGTCAAGGCTGTGGTCATGCCCCTGCACTCCAGCCTGAGCCACAGAGTGTGACCCAATCTCAAAAAAAAAAAAAAAAAAAAAAAAAAAAAAAAGAGTCACTTCATTTTTTACCGTATATCTGCTTTTAACTATTTAGAACTAACCAGACCTGCAAACAAATCTAAACTGTCTAATGCCATAAGATTTTACTATGACTCACTATTCAAAAAGCATTTATTGAGCTCCTACTTTATACTGGGGTAGAAGAAACAGATACTGAAAACATGTTTGTAACCTTAAGAAGCTTATGATCACAGTACATGCTCAGCTAGTAGAGCAAAGTAAGGGCTTGTCTCCGTTGTTTTTCATCCCTGGCACTGAAATTCCCCATAATAAAAATAAGTAAGAAATGTTTCAGCAAGATGTCTCTAAGCGCTCTTGTAGAGTTGAAATTCTGTGATCTTATGAATTCATTATATTTTCTTAGATGTGTTAGACTTCTTGAAGTTGGAGGAAGAGTAAGAAGCCCAGTTTAAAGTAGTTAAAGCTAGTTTGCGGTAAGGATACCCAGGGAATTGAGGAATAACAAAAAATAATCTCAACAGCTTTATGATTGCAACCTAGCCCACTTTTAGAGTGATGTTTCAGTTTTCTGATGGTTCAGCTACTTTCTATTTCAGTTTTTATAATATCTACTTCTCCTGCTGTTTCTTAGTGACTCTGACTTTCTACCTGCAACTTTTGGCTTTTGTATTTGGTGGCTTTGGCAACGTTATGGAGTCCACTAATTGCTTTCTTTCTGTGATTCTCTGTGCTTTGGAGTTGCTATACCATTTATATGTCTCACATTTGAATGCCTTAATAAAAAGATGTAGCTAGCTCCAGTCTCCTGTCTCCTATATAAAAAACACTGCTATGTCCCAGGGTTCTCACGCCGTAACCTGCCACCCCAGGATTAGTGGCCAGCACATAGTTGCCTTTCTTTACCTCACAGGCTGATCCCTGGTCCGATTGGCTATGCTACCAAGCAAAGACTGCATGCTCCCATGGATAAAGAACTATTCCAAAAGTTTCACACTTAAAGTCAGAAGTTACAAGGAGTCAAATTTTAAAACTCATATATTATCCTTTCAAATTATGAATTCAGTGTTATTAACACAATAAAAATACAGATTTTGTTTCTGATGAAAAATCTAAATGTAAAAAAAAATTAGCCACAAAGATCCAAAACATTTATCAGAGGGGCTTATGTTTCTGATAAATATTTAAGTGTGTAAGGCAGAACCACTGAGAACAATAAATAGTTTATAACTGGCACTTTGTCAAATCTATAAGTGGCTCTGCCTTAGAATTTTACATCATCACTGAATTTACAGTCATTTGATAAGTGGAACAGGACAAGAATTACTTCTTTCTAAATCTAAACCCGGTAATAAATCTAACATCAGGATTCTTCTTATTGTCTGTTATCATCTGATGACAATGCCTTTTACCATCATTGTCTTGGCAGAAATATGATATGTAAAATTATAATGTCATATTACTCACAGTGATTTAACACTCTCCAGCCCATACCATTTTAATCAATCAAAATTGTCGCTTTTTAGTGTAATGATTTTGTGGTGAATTCCCGTGTTTAATATGATATATGGTCCTATCCACCAGTTGATTTACTATTCTCTTCCAAAGTCTAACAGCTCAGGAGGCTGTTCTTGCTTTTGGACATATTTGGAATTAGCAAACAAGAATAATTTGTGGTAATAAAAATGCTAATTTCTATGACAAAAATGAAAGCTGAGAAATATCTTAAGTGCTAGTAGCTGAAGCTAATTTAAGAAAAAATAAAAGATGATTTTGTGAATTAAAACCACAGAAGTCCTAGAGCTTTTTCCTCTGTGTCCACATATTCTTCAATGCTATCAAGAAAAATCAGGAACACACAAACTATTCTCCTTCATTAAATTCGGATACACATTGTAGAAATTTCTTCTTTAAAAAAGTAATTTGAAAGGCAATTTAAAGTGATTATCAAATATTTATAAATCTTTTCTACTAGAAAAAAGCTAGTAAAAATCAACCTCAGATCTCATTCCTGAACTATGTTATACATTTAGAATTGACTATGGTGCAATAACAACCAACCACCAAATCTCAATGGCCAATGCCATAATTTCTCACTTATACTATGTACCCCAAAGAGGTCCACAGTCACTTAGGGATGCAGTGCCTGAGGGACCCATGCTACAGACTCCACATAGGCCACCAGGGAGTCACTTAGGGAACCCGGTTTGTGAAGACTCTGCTCTCCTATGTCTGCACATCTGGAATCTGCAGCCTCCTGAGACACCATAGAGAGCTGGGTAGTAATAATTTCCACATCACAGAAGGAGGAAAGAGAAGGCAGG
This sequence comes from Homo sapiens, assembly GCF_000001405.40. Lineage (NCBI taxonomy): Eukaryota > Metazoa > Chordata > Mammalia > Primates > Hominidae > Homo > Homo sapiens. Next base: position 91,489,689 of record NC_000005.10, on the reverse strand, counting down.
GTCTCATGCTAGTGATTAAATGATGAAATTACACACCTGAGCACATGTCTCTTGTGCTCAGAGCCCATTGGCCAGAACTAGTTTTAAGGTTCCTCTCCAACTGGAAGTTGGGGAAGAAACATAATCCCCCCATTTGCCTGGAAGGAAAAAACAGGATATGGATGAACGCTAAACATCTTAAACTTGCAGGTTTTCAAAGAAAAAAAAATGTACACGTTTATTCCAGGCAACTCTCTTTGTAGAATCTTGAAAACCATATATTAGCTCTGGAATCTGTCATCTTACACAGTGAGAGAGAAAATTACCTATATGACTCTAGATGAGATGACCAACTGATTCCATTATTTAAGTGACTGTGTATATTTAAGTGAGAAGAAGGCAAATATTCTGCCCATAGTTTAATAAAAGCACTGATCTTTAAAATTGAAACCTTTTACCAATTGGCAGAGTCATAAAAATAATTTAAAATAAAAATTGTTGTTTTGGCACAGTCATCCCAGTTCTGGCTTGTTGAAGCATAAAGACAGATTTTTCAGAACAAAAATATTAATAAGAAATTTAAGAATCTAATATTTCTTATTTAACCTTAACAGAATGGGTTGAGGTTCTTTCAAACTTATTAAAACCCACTGTTACTGGTGCCCCTGGCCCAAACCATTGAGAAGATGTCATTGTAGTTCCCAGAGTGCAGAATCAACTGCTCCTACCTTCAGCTGGTTTCCTAAGGCCCACCCTATGCTGGTGGCAAGAGGAATATGGGAGTTTGATCATTCATCTAATGAATATTTGCTGAATACCTACAATATGCCTAATAGTATGGCACTCTGCCATTCTTTTGAGAATGTGACAATACCTGAAATAACAAAAGTTGTTTTTTTTTTTTCTTGAACTTCACATACTAGTGAGAGGACAAACAAGAGTAAGGGGAGCCAGGGAGTAAACAACCACAAAATCCCAGTGGCCAAACACCAAAATTTCTCACTCATGCTATGTACCCCAAACAGGCCTATCTATAGTCAACAACAACAACAAAAAAAACATAATTACGTAGATCATTCCATGTAACTATGAATGTCATGAAAAAATAAAGTCAAATAATAGGAGAGACAAGCATGGAATTTGGAGCTACTGTGGAGTAGATGGCCAGAAAAGGGCTTGAAGGATGTGACATTTCAGTTGAGAGCAGGAGGATATGAGAGAGCCTGGGCAAAGAATTTGGGGTTGAAGGAACCCAAAGGCAAAGGCTTAAAGCCAGAAATAATTTGGGCACACTGGAAAAAACTACCAGGGCCACAGGGCTGAGGTGTAATAGGCCAAGTCAAGGCAGCAACAGGGAAAAATAAGAAAACGGGTCAATAGCAACTCAAGATAACTAAACAGCCCACAGACTTTCAAACCATTAATGTGGTATAGAACAGAAAGTTTCATGTGGTGATCAATAGTTCATGTTAAACAAGTTCAGTATGGTGGCTAGACCATCAAAGAGTGTAAAACTTATCCTTCAAGTCCAAGAAGCACTCTAGAAGAGGTTTAGTTGGTTAAAATTTTGAAGTGATGAGTATGAACTTGGAGCTGTGGTTGGGGGTGGAGGGAGTATAAGAAATTTAATCTGTGTTAAAAATGTTACAACTATATGAAAAAAAGCAGAGCATATACCCTAGAGAATGAATCAAAAACTTTTGAAACACAGTGTCACTAAGTAAAAATTATCATGAGACAAATTAAATCCCACGTGTTGAGGGAAGAGTCGAAAACAAGGAAAGTTACTCAAGAGAGGGTGAATTCTATTTGGAATTTTGAAATAGAGGCCAGATGAAAGATTTGCTAGTGGAATGCTAGAAAAGTATCAAAGCAAGGTATTCCATGTGGAGAGAAAGAAGTGTGCAAAGTGGGAATAAATGGTTATTGTTTTGGTTATCTATGCATTACAAAACGTTGCAAATTCTAGTAGCTTAAAGCAATGTATAGTCTCTCATGGCTCTGTGGATTGACTGGGCTCTGCTGAGTAGCTCTTATTTGAAGTGTCTCATACAACGGAAGACAATGGCTGAGGCTTAACTGAGCCACTCATCCAAGATAGCAATTAATGCTGGCTCCTGGTGGGAAGCCCAGTTGCAGCATTCAACTGGAATACCTACAAGTGGCCTCTCTTTGTGGCTGGAGCTTCTCACAGCAACAGCAACTTTCTGAATGGAAATGTCTCATAAGTAAGCATTGCAACAAACAAGACAGGATCTGTGTAGCTTCTTATCACCTATCCTCAGACATCCCATAACATAATTTTCACCACATTTTATTGGTCAAGAAAGTCACTGAGGTCAGCCCAGATTCAAGAAGAGGGAAATTAAAAATCCTCTTCTTGACATAAGTAGAAGCATGTCTATATAAAAAGGAACAGAATTCATAGGGACATTCTTTTACTATCAGTTTGCCTTTTGGCCACCAAAATTTGTGCCTGTACCACTCACTCTTTCAAGATTCTCAATATTCTCATCCCACTATGGCATCAGGCTCAGGTTTGAGGTTCAAGATCTTGTTATTTAAACTGGGTCCAAGTGCAGATGTGCCATGTTTCTTCAGGTTCAAATCTTGCAAGTACAGTTTCTGTAAATCTGAAGACTTGTTAACTTAAGAGACAAATTATCTGCCACATACACATATCACACAATAGTGAAAAGGCATAGGATGACTGAAATAGATTCTCTCTTTCACAAAGAGACAAAATGGTAGGTACATAGCAGGTCCACAGACGTTCTGAAATCTATTTGGGCATGTGTCACTGGTTCCCTAATTATGGCACAGTCCTATTTCCTGGGAGTGATTCTCTGTAGCTTTTGACTGCTCCTCCTGGGATCTTGATTCTGCCCTCTGAGTCATCCCTCTTTCTTCATGAGAATAGTCATCTTTGCAAATAAGCAGGGTTTTTTTTTAACTTGTCTCCTGCGAGTTAGGAATACAAAGAATTTCCTTTTCATTTTGTATCATCTCATCCCTTTAAGTCAAACTTTGTGTAACTCCTTTAGAAGCTTTGTGGGCCTCCTGTGTGTCAAATTATAATCCACTCCACTCAACAAAATTCACACCCCAATTTCTTTCTAAAAATACTTGGCCCAAGCATCAAAGTCCATGGACTTTAGGGTACTTAGAAGCCTTTTTTCTAGTTTAAAATATCTAAGAGTCACACTCTTAAGATCTTTAGGGGACCTATTTTCTATCAGAAAGGGCATGCATTAATATTTTTGGAAGCCCTAAGCACACCCTTAAACTTTTCTTAGGTCACAACAAACGTCTTACAGGCAAACCCTTGAGGTTTTAATCTGAGACTATGCCTTATTGATAGCATGCTGGATCTGATCATTATTCATTTTTCTGGTGTCATCACTGATTTTGAAAATCTTTTGTTGGGAGAGGCTAAAGATGAGAAACATTTTTTTTAACACAGAAAGTCCCAGCTTCTTCATGTTTCCTCTAATTTTGCTTAACAACTATTCCTTAAATTTATCTAAAGTCTTTTTAAACACAGTTTTTAAATTTCATTCTGAAAGGTCAAAATGCAAACATTTTCATTTGGAAAATTCTATAATCAAGAACTAATGCTAATCTTTTGGAAGACAGTACAAACAAGTAAGAGAACAGTGTATGAATTTCACTGCCTATTCTTTCTGGTAATTGGTCTGTAGCTACAACAATTGTGTCCTAATTTCAAGACACACCAAGGACACTGGCTAATAAATACTTTTCTCAAAAAAAACATTAATCTATCTATGTCTTTATCTCTCTAGAAGAAACATCCCCATGACTTTCAGATCTGGCTGCACTGTCATGGTTGTAAAGCTTCTCCCATTGCTGGTTATTCTCCCCTCTCACAAGGCCACATCCCTCGCTGATGAAGACAATATGCTACATTTGCCCCTACCAATATGAAGTACAGCAGCACTCTCACCTCTCTGTGATGTATTTTTAAATCAGTTAAAAATTATACCAGCATTTTTTGCAGCTGCCTCATTACCTAATTTCTGTGAGGAAGGCTGCTCCGATTGTGCTCTCCTAGTATGCCTCATCATGTTGACTTATTAGTTATCTTTCCGTAAACAATTCTTTAATATTATCTTATTACATTCAAAGTTTATGTCAAAATACTTAATTAGAAGAACAGACAGCTATTTGATGACTCTAAGAGGGAACCTGCCAAAGTCATTTTTCCTCAATCCCAAAATATATGAATCAGAACATCCTGATGTGTAACATATTTATTCTAACTGCTTAAATTAAAAGTTGCTCAGAAGAAGTGTTTTTATACTTACCAATTTAATTAACATTTACATGACTGTGAGAAGCATCTTTTATACCAATGTTTAATTCACACATCAGTAAGCACTAATGACAAGTGTATTACCATATCATCTTCTAGCAGTTAGGTATATCAGTGACATGCATCATAAAATTAAATAGTTAACTAATATTCAAAAGTGCTGCAATAAGAAATTATTGTTGTAATTACCAATGTTGAAAGTAAAGAATTTTAATCAAATCACTTTCTTGGGTTCCCATATTTTCAATTAAAAATTACTTTGAGAAATCACAGAGAAGCCTGCTGTTTTCAATGTCGAATGCTTGTCTAATTAATCCATTTTTACTAACATTAATAACTATTACACTCAGCACTTAAAAAATCAGTATAAATATATTCTCTCTTGTTTTTTTAACCTTCACCTCACTCTTTGCCAGCTATGTTTCTTACTGATATTTGGCAACAGGGAAGAGTGTTTACTTTGCTTGGATAAAATAATTGTCATTCCTAGTGTCCAGGAAATAGCCTCATGACTAGACACAGTAGATATTTGAAGAGACTTCCAATTCCCTCTCCTTCTTAAGTTTGTGGCTTTTAACCAATTCTGAAAGATGCCATCAGTTTTTTATGATGGTATCTCATAGTACAAGCTCATACAAATTCTGCTTTCTTTCAGTCCCTTATTTATTTGATAATATAAATTTCCTCTTGGCCTCCTGTTGAAATTGGATTTTCAGAAGAAATTGTTATCTTTCAATGGTACTTTATAATTTTTGGGCTGCATTTATATTCTCTGGTATTTGCTAAAGGTGATTATTCAATTATTACATGAATGTTAAATCAATATGCACTTAACTAACCAAGATGATAAAGAACCCTTACTCAATGTTACCTCAAAATAGTATAATGGTAAAATAGAAAGAGAAAAAATAGAAAGAGAACTGGACTAGAAATCAGAAGAACTGAGATTGAATTCTGATGCTCCCACTTATTTTATTAGCTGCAGAATCTTGTACACATTACTTAAACTCTCAGCCTCAGCTTCTTTTTTTTTTTTTGAGACGGAGTCTTGCTCTGTCACCCAGGCTGGAGTGCAATGGCGCCATCTTGGCTCACTGCAACTACTGCCTCCCGGGCTCAAGCGATTCTCCTGCCTCAGCCTCCCGAGTAGCTAGGATTTTAGGCGCATGCCACCACACCCAGCTAATTTTTATATTTTTAGTAGAGATGGGGTTTCACTATGTTGGCCAGGCTGGTCTTGAACTCCTGACCTCAGGTGATTCACGTGCCTTGGTCTCCCAAAGTGCTGGGATTACAGGCATGAGCCACTGCACCCAGTCCAGCCTCAGTTTATTTACAAAATGGCGGTGAGTATTTATAATAGAGTGATTTGAGGATTTGAAGAAATAATATATTTAAATGAACCTTTAAAATAGCTCACTCTAAGATCTTAATAATGTTATCTTGATGGTAAATGGTATAATTACTATGAAATCAAAAAATAACACATAGAGAATTCCACAATAAATACCTCTTTTAAAGTGTGCAATTAATTTTTTGCTTATAAGCCTAAGTCTTTGCAAATACAATTGGTTTTTAAAAAGTCATATTATTTCTGAGGTTTTCTTTTATGAAAACTTATCTCCTTCTGATATATTTCAAACAAATGTATGCTATACTTACAAATTCTCTCATAATCTTTCTTACACAAATTTTTGGAATAAGGGAAAGAGTGGGAAGAGCTGATGGCCCTAGTATTATAAGGAGAGAAAAATGGATCGTTACAAGCTCTTTGCTTTATGGTACAAGAAGCTTCCTGCATGCAGAGGCAAGGTCTGACCTATATACAGACAAAATTTTAGTGATGTTGAATTTTTGCAATGTTCTCTGGTGATTGCAAAAACTCATAGTATCTAGCCCGCCAAAAAAGTATGACTAGGGAAAGGATTTTACAACATAAGGAAGGTATCCAACCAGTAAGAGAGCTTAGGAAAAGCAACAGACTGTAGGAACTGATATACGCTCTATGACTTGTTACATCGGCCAAGTAAACTCCACAATATAGTATTAAATGGTGTGTTATTAGTTGGAACTTGCCATCAAAGTAGACCATAAGTAGTCCAGGACTATGGTATTTCAAGACCTCTGTTGTAAAGTGGAAATCCCATGAAAATCCTGGCCTGGAACTATCTGGTCAGCCTAGCACAAAGGACTCTTTCTCTGACTTGTTTCAAAATGGACATATAGAAGTCCTTCAGAAAAGTTCTCCAACTTTGGGCTGCAAAGTGAGGGTGAATGAAGCTGCCACAGTTACCTCTAAGATGTTAAGACAGACCATTAAATCACTTATACAACAAATATATACTACGTGTCTGGTGCATTCTAGATCCTATAGTTGAATCAATGAACATAACAAAACCTGTTACCTAATACAGTGGCAGTTCTACTAGAAAGGACAGGTAGTAAGCAAGTAAAAATATAAATGCAAATTACATTATCAGGTAATGAGAAGTGCCATCACAAAAATTTAAGCAAGTGGGGTAAATAACAGTTTTGGAAAAGCAAGAGGGGTGACTCCCTTGAGGTAACATTTGCATAGCCAAGAAATGAAATGAAAAGATAAACAAAAATCTGGGGGAAGAGGGCTCAGGGCAAAAGGAAAAAGCAGAGAAACTCTTAGGCCAAATAAGCTTGGCATGTTCCTGAACACAGCAAAGTCAGGGTATCTAGAGCAACATGAACAAAGGGTAAGGTTAGAGAAGACAAGCTCAATGAGAGACCTCATGGGCCACTGTGAGAGCTCTGGCTTTTACCATGAGTGAAGGAGGAACCATTGGGTTGTGTTGGGGTAGGAGTGGCATGGTTGACTCTGCCTGTCACTCAGGAAAGAGATAAAAGCAGCAGCTCAACTTTTTAATCTCACAGGCACTTTACACCTAAAACTTACTGAGGACTCCAAAGAGATTTTCTTTAACAGGGTTATATGTATAAATATTTACTGTATCTCAGTCTATTTAGTAAGAATGTTTTTAAATGTCTGTTAATTCATTTTAAAGTAATAATGACCCATTACAAAATAAGATAAATAACATATTTTTTAAATAAGCATATTTTCAAGCCAAAAAAATACTTGATAGAAGAGTAGCACTGCTTTACACCTTTGCAAATTTCATGAATATCTGGCCTCATAAAAGACAGTTGGAGTTTCAAATCTTCTGCATTAAATTTATGGCTATATGATGTTTTGGTTAAAGTATATTAAGAAAATCCAACCTTACACAACAATGTAATCGAAAAAGGAATGAGTGTTTCAATTAATTTTTCAGATAATTTTGTATATTCTTCTTTGATATTATACCAAAACTTAACAAGTACTAGTTTCTTAAAGGTGATTTTCAAACCATGTTAATAAACCTCGTCTACTCTGTTTCAGAAAGATCCATTGGTCTATTCTGTACTGTTTGTTTGTTTGTTTTGAGATGGGTTCTCGCCGTGTTGCCCAGGCTGGTCTCAAACTCCTGGGCTCAAGCCTCCCAAGTAGCTGGGACTATCCAGCTATTCTGCACTTTGAATGGATATTTTATCCATACATGATCTCTTAACATCATGCATTGGTCATTTGAAAAAATTATTGATTCATTGAGTTATGCAGATTCTCCAAACTTGCAAACATTTCATTACATAATATCAAAAATCATATTCATTAATAGCACTTCTAATATCAAATGAAAAGTTCTTAGGTATTGAAAATTTCTCAAGCACATACAAGTTTTCCAAAATTTGAATTTTCACTTAAAAACTTTATCATCAGCAACAGATACTGTAAATTGCTTTCCATGAACTGTTAGGCTTATTTTATTTATTTTTAAGAAAATGTCTGCCAAATGTTCAAATCTGAATAACTATTGTTTTCTGTCTGTTTTTCATTCAAGTAAATAGATGTTTCATGAAAAAAAGTAGATAGTTTAGTTTTTGTCTAAAGCAACTGCACAATGTGTTCCTTCCAGACAGGCACCATATGTCAGTATGCAACAGAAATGCTTTCTGCATACTTCCCACATCATCATATAGAATATTAAAAAGTTGTATTCTCAAGAGAGAACAAATCTTAGTTTTTGCTACTTTATCAAGGACATCCTTAAGTGAAATTGCGTTTTTTTTGGTGGATTGTTAGTGAAGTACAGTTTGACTGCTAGTAGACTTTGGTGCCACTGGCTCGATTTGTGATAATGCACTAGCAATTTACTCACCACTGCCTTTGCACCAACAACACAAATGTCAGTAAGAGTGAAAAATAGCAGTAGATCCTCATATAATTAAGAAATTAGATTTGACCTCATGTACCCCAAGAAAGGGTCTTGGGGACCCTCAGGGATCTATGGGACACATTATGAGAGCCTGAACTATAAGGAACTTAGGTGGACTGTAGAGAGACAAGTCGGAAGTCCATTGCCATAATCCAGGCAAAGAATGTGGGTGGACACAGCCTGGGTGATAGCAGTGAAGTGAGTAAGAAGTGGTCAGGTTCTGGAACCAACAGGAATTTCAGCTACATTAGATATAGCCTATGAGAGAAAACAAGGGTCAAGAATGATTAAGAGATTTAAGGCCTAAGCAAATTAAAACATGATTCTGCTATTTACTGAGATAAGGGAAATATTTAAAGAAAAAATTGAAGATTTGTTTTTCAGACATGTTAAATTTGAAACATCTATAATATATCCAAGCTGAGATTTTTAAAAATGGGCAGTTAGATATGCAAGTCTAGAGTTAAAAAAAAAGTCTGAACGAAGATATGAAGATATTAGTTGCATAAGTTGACCACACAAAACATTCTAACCCGAAAATAACTACATAAACTGACCATAGAAAATCTTCTCTAGGCCTTTATGAAGATTGGTTCTGCAGACTTAGTAGGCACTATAGTCATCAAACAGACTTCAAAAACTGTTATCCTGCCTAATGTGGCAAGGTAATCTATTGAGATGATTCATGCATTCTTGCTTTTTTATTTTATTTTATTTTATTTTATTTTATTTTTGAGACAGAGTCTCACTCTGTCACCCAGGCTAGAGTGCAGTGGCACGATCTCGGCTCACTGCAAGCTCCGCCTCCCAGGTTCACAGCATTCTCCTGCCTCAGTCTCCTGAGTAGCTGGGATTACAGGCGCCCGACACCAAGCCCAGCTAATTTTTTTGTATTTTTAGTAGAGATGGGGTTTCACCATGTTAGCCAGGATGGTCTCGATCTCCTGACCTCGTGATCCACCCGCCTTGGCCTCCCAAAGTGCTGGGATTACAGGTGTGAGCCACCACGCCCGGCATTTTGCTTCTTTAAAGACGCAAAAGAATGAACAATGTTGCCCTCTTCCTCCAACAAGAGAGCAAACTAACCTGAAAATCGTGGAGGCCTGAAGGCTGTCTTGCCAAAGTTAACAGGCCTTGATTTGGAAAAGCCTCTGCTTACAAAAGCAATAAAGTCTGGAGAGAGGTGTGGAGTTGATGGATGGGAAGTGGCCCTAACTGGGAGAAAGAGGATGGCTTCCCTGAGACTAAATGAAAGAGATGGTTTTGGAGAGAGCTTTGGGAGATGAGCTGGCAGGCTCTTCACTCGCCAGAATGCTCTTTTCCCAAATATTTACATGGCTGGTTCCACTCTTCATCTAATCCTCTGTTCATGCTCCTGGAGGCTTTTCCTGACCTCCGTCTAAAATAGCCACTTTTAACACCCCATCATCACCTTATATTCCCTGTGGTTTTTATTATTTTTTGTTTTGGTTTTGGTTTTGGTTTTGGTTTTGGTTTTTTGTTTGTTTGAGACAGAGTCTTGCTCTGTCACAAGGCTGGAGTTGCAGTGGTATGATCACAGGTCACTGCAACTTCCACCTTGCAGGTTCAAGTGATTCTCCTACCTTAGCCTCCCGAGTAGCTGGGACTACAGGTGTGTGCCACCACACCCAGCTAATTTTTGTATTTTTGGTAGAGATGGGATTTTGCCATGTTGGCCAGGCTGGTCTCAAACTCCTGACCTCAAGTTATCTGCCCACTTCAGTCTCCCAAAGTGCTGTGATTACAGGCATAAGCCACAGTGCCAGGGCTGGTTTTTATTATTTTCTAACGATAATCTCAAACTGAATTTTACCACAGATATATTGTACCCATTTACTTACATATTTATTTATATAGAGACTTATTGTTATTCTCCCTCACTAGAATTTATGCCTTTCAAGGGAGGAATTTTGTTTTTCATTTCTTTTTCAATCTTTCTGTACCTCGTGCACAGTAATGAATCAATAAATATTCGTTAAATGATTAGTTTTCCATTTCCTTTTGAAGGATATGAAAGATACAAACATTGACAGTGTCCCCCAAAAATTTAACTTTTGAGATTTAAAATTTTTTATTAAATATTGTAAACATATTAAACAATTTATAAAGCATGCATTAGGTGAAAAGAATAAAAAGAACAACCACATATCACTAGTTAGCTTAAAAATGGAACATTGCAAGAACTTTGAAGGCTTTTGTGAGCCCCTTCCTTTATCCCAAAGGGAATCACCACCACAAATTTTTGTATTTATTATCTACTTGCTATTCTTCATAATTTTATATGTTTGTATCTCCTTAAAATATTACTTACTTTTGCCTGATTCTAACTTTACCCTCTGTATTTTTCAACTTGTTTATTTGGTTCAATATCATTTGTGAGATGAGTTCATGCTGGTCCCTTCAATGCTACTGCTTCACAGTATTCCATTGTATGAAAAGCACAATACAGTCATCTAATGTCTTGTTGCAGGATGTCTGTTTCCAACTTTTTTTGTTATTACATACAATGCCGCCATGACATTCTTGTACACATTTCCTAACACACATGCTCAAGAGTTGTTCTAATCTATATGCCACTGAGAGGAACTTGGGAGTCACAGAGCATATGTATATTGAAGTTCACAGAACGCCAAATGCCAAAATGTCTTCCAAAGTGCATGTATCCAGCTGCTACACACCAGCATGACTTGACCTGTTTGTAAAATATTGAAATAGTTCCACACTTGATAAACAGCTGCTGCCCTAAGTCCCTGGAGGATCCCCTTGCAACTGCTATGTCCACAGGGTAACCTAAACTATCCCAGCTTTCCTGGGACTGAGAGGGTTTCTAGGACAGGACATTTCAGTTTTAAGCCAGAGAAGTTAAAATAGGACAAGTTTGTCATTGTACCTAGCCAGCCTCTTAGCCAACAGAGACTTTCCCACAATTCAGTAACTAAAGCATTAATGCCTGACACCGTGGTTAAGTGTTGTGAGCATTGCCTGTGGTTGCACCTGCTTATATTCCCACTGACAGCTTATGTGTTTCATTACTCCCTTTCTTTATCATCACTTGTTATAGTGCTAATTTTTATTTTTTGCTATGTAGTGAGTATAAACTATTATCTCATTATCATATTAATTTCTTTATCTGACTATACTGAAATTTTTGAATAGTCTGGAATCACTTTCCTTACCTGGTCATATCACCCCCTTTTGAGTATGGCAAAGAACTTTCATGAAGCCACATGAGTAGCCAATTATCCTATGAAAATATGATCAACCACATTTTGACTATATTGACGATACTGATTGGTTACATTTTGAAGAAAACATACAATACAAAATACAAGTAAAAGTTGGTTCTGTCTCCTCCCACTATCCCCTTTACCCAGCCACCCCCAAATACTCATGATGATTTGGTCAGAACTGGGCTCAGAGCAAGAGGTCAGGGTGACAGAGGGTGGAGGGGTTGTAGGCTACGGGTTTGTGGCTGTCACAATAATGCTGTGATAATGCTGTGGTTTCCCAGAGGGGAGTAGGGGGCAGGGAGAGGGCTGCAGCCTGATGACAGCCAGATGAAGAAAGAGCTGCCTCTTCCTTCCCTAGCCCCAAGGCCTGCCCCACCGCCCAAACCCAAGACCACTTCAAACAAGGTAAGAATATGGATGCTCTTGCTGGGTCCGCTATTCCACAAGAGGGAAAGAAGGTAGCTGCTTGGACCCCACTGTCCCCATATACAAGGTTCAGGAGACAGGAGCACGTGGCTACTACCAGCAAAAGAAAAGTGGGAAAGCAGTAGGAAGAGGAGGAAGTGGGAAGAGCGGAAGATCATATACATTTAAAAAGTGACTTAAGACTTAAAATCCAATTAGTGTTTGTACAGAAATGTACAGGTGAAATAACTCACTATGGCCTATGACCAAAATTATATGGAGAAATCATGGTGGACTCCTACTCCTACCCCCCTACCCAAGAGGTGGCCCGAGTCGTTAAGTACAATTGGTTAGAGTGGATTCCAGGTCACTAAGGTGGAAGACTTGGGGGCAGTGGACAGGCAAGGGGGGCTCCATTGCTGCAACACCGGTTGGGGCTGGCCGGGTGGTTCTCCTGGAGGTCCACACCTTGGTTTCTGTCTGGAGCACCAGCTGCATTCTGGGGCTTGTTCTTGGGAAGTTTCTCAGCTATTGCCATGAAAATTTCATTCACATTCATTGCACCCTTTGCTGATGTCTCCATGAACAGCCAACTGTCATCGTCTGCATAGGCTTGTGCTTCCTGGAATTCCAGGGGTCTCTTGCTGGCCAGGTCTGCCTTGTTACCCGTGAGCGCAAGGACCATGTTGGGGCTGGCCTGCTTGGTAGCTCCTTCACTCAGTCCTTGGCTCTGGCAAATGTATCTGTATTGGTGATGTCATAGACCATGATGGCAGCCTGGGCCCCCCCAAGAGTACATGGGGGCCAGGCTGTGATACCACTGCTGTCCAACCGTGTCCCAGATCTCAAACCTAACTGTTGTGTTGTCCAAGCAGACATTCTGTGGGAGGAAGGCTGCTCCGAGTGTGCTCTCCTAGTATGCATGAAATTGTCCCTTCACAAGGCAGAGGACAGGTTAGATTTGCCCACTGCAGACCCAGCAGAACACGCTTAAATAGACAGATCTTATTGAGTCATGCTGTGCCTCCCCAACTCGCCACTGCCCATCCAGCTGCAGTGGTCCAGAGAGGTGGGAGCAGGGACCAGTGCTGTGCAAAGAGGCATTTAGTGTGGAGGGGGACCTCCAAGGTGGCTCCAGGACAGTGGCTTTACTTGGGGCCAGGGCTTGGACCAGCTCTGCTTCTCTCCCCAAAGGCAGTGTCCCAGACTTCAGCCTCCTATCATGTTAATTTTCATTTTTATGATGTAGCTGATCATATTTTCATAGAATAATTGGCTCCTCAGGTGGCTTCGTGAAAATTCTTCATCACACCCTAGAAGAGGTGATATGACCAGGTAGGCAAAGTGATTCCAGGCTATTCAAAAATTTCATTTCCTAGAAGGCTTTAAGCTTTGGCAAAGTTTCCTATCCTGTCCTAGCTTGGCTTGGAGTTAAGTGGAGCACCTAAAATTGGACCATCAAGACTTAAAACCATGAGCATCTATCACAATGCAAAAAAAAGTAAACTGAGGTCCAAAAGTCCTTCCCTGCCTTTTTCCTAGTGTGTAGGCCACATAAGCTTCCTGTATCATACCAAAAAAGAGGGGAGCAACAAACCAATTACAGCCACTACTGAATATCTAGCCAAACTAAGTTGGATAATGAATATATCAATTTTATTCGATTTAGAAATATAACAGTATGCTACCCTTGCACCTTCACATAGTGAGCCATATTTATATTCCCTACACTAGACTCATCTGACCACCAAACCAAACATGGTATAATCTGCTCTAAATATGTAATCCATGCAAATCGTCATATTATCCAAAACCTGGATGTTAGTACAGACTTGAGAGGTAAAACAAATCCAGAGGCAGTTAGAGACTGAAAAATGAAGTGCCATAGCTGGCCGTCTCCTCTTGTGAAGATGTTTTAATGACATCTTGGAAAAAGGGTTGGGCTCAGTGAAGGTAACTGAGAAAGGCTCCATGAAATTGCCTCATCAGAAAACAAAGCTTTTACCTAATTTCTGTGGCTGACAGGAATAAGGCATAATTTTAACCTTGATTAACATTTCTTTGGCTTTTAAATTCTATAAAATTGTTCATTCATGATCTTTCTATGGTGCTTTGTTTATAAGAAGAAGAATTTCTGTAGAAATGTTTACAGTGCATTATTCATAAATATTTTGGTCAATAAGTAGTGATGGTGGAGGCAGTAGAGGGGATGGAGAATAACAGGAACTTGGCAATTAGATTTGTTATTTTTTAATCATAGAATCTCTCCATTCAATATTATTTAGAAAATGTGAATAATGATATTTAAGCTATTGGCAGAAACATAAAAACAGTTTTGTAGCTATCTTTTTTTAGATTTGTTGAGCAACTAAATATAATAACTATAAATATGTTAAATATGCTGGGTCTAAATAGCTTAGTAACTAAGAGCACAGTAGCTAAGAGCAGTTCCTGAAACTAGAAACTTTGAAATGCAAGCCTGTCACAGGCTTATGTTTTACATGAACCTTTACAGTCGGAGGTTCTGGAGACATTTATGTCAAGATTTTCCAAGATGCTCTCAGCATTGACTACCATAACTAGGCTTCCGCAACACCACTCAGAAATAGCTTCCTCTTGGGTAATATAATTTAAGAGATTTGGGGAAGAACCATCCAATTCCAAAATATCTTCTCACTCATTGTTACATTGTGGAGAATTCTATCATTACACCCTACATAGAACTTGAAAGTATTCGACAAGAGGACCCTACATATTTATTTTTCAAAAGCAACTATTTTCAGAATACATGACTCAAAAATAATGTAACAGATGAGAAGGGAGTATGGGGTGAAAGCTGCATCATCTAACATAGGAGTAAGTTCTTTTAAGTGTTCCTTTATACCCCTATGAAATTGACTGAAGAATTATTAATGAATCAAAAGTAAAACTTACCTTCTTAGTAGCACATTCTGCTTATTCCTACTAATGAATCACTACTCCACCAGCCCTTCTTCCACTTGCCATAGCCAAGTGATTTCCTCCCTTTACTGCTGCATCTTAAGACTCCCAGTGGAGCCCAGCCAACATCTGACCATTCGTTCCCCAGACCACAGAGATGGACTATTTGGCCTGTGTGTTCTGTGCAGGAAATCTTAGGCTGCTTCATTTACTAAAGGCAACAAAATTTTTTTGCCCAGTATTATTGCTGTTTTTAAAATGTAGATAATATATCAACAGTAAATGAAATCTGAACAACTAATTAAGAATTAGAAAACCACTTTTGTGATTAAAACCTGAATTACTATTAATGCTGAAAATCTTGGGAATTTTCATGAATAATGTGTAGATCATGTATTATTTTGTCATTTTTTATATAGCAGGAAACTTTTAATTTGAAGGCCAAATCCAAAGTCACATAGAGTGGCAGGAGAAAATCAGGAAGAGCAGCAAATCTCTGTGACTATAGAATCATAAAAATCTAGGCTTGGCAAGGAAACTCCTTTTCTCTTTAGATGTGCTTTATACAAATCAGTTCTCAATAATATTGTGGGGAAGAAATATTTGTGCTATACAAGGCAGGAGGATTGTGAAGCTATTGTTATCTGTGGTTATACACACAGAGAGATATGTACACACAGACACATAGAAAAATAAATGTCCCCCTATGAAGGGAAGAAATAAATCACGAAATTCGTATTTTAAAAAACTGAACGAATCAACAAAATAACATACATAGAATGAACACTGAGGAAAATAAAATATTTGGCAAGAATCTAATTAGCCATATCAACCGAGAGAGGTTTGGGTTAGTTTTAGTAAACACAGAGTGGTTTCTGAGTAGAAAGTAAATAACTGCACAGAGGTACTGTTCTAATCACATTTGTTCTAACATTGACCTTATAATAATTAAAAATTGATGCTTGCAACATAATACAGCTGTGCAATCATATTTAAACCTAATCATTTCATAGACAGAGGAAAGTTGTACAAAAAGGTCAAAAACACTTTAATTTCATGACAGTAAATTTACTCTTTATTCCCAAAGTGAAAATGTCTAATTTCTAAAAGAGCAAACCAATAATTACTTATTATAAAGCTATTTTAGTCAATACTTAATTTTGCTATATTGATTAGTGTTTAGACATTTAAAATGTACCCTACAGCAAGAATATGTGTTTACAATATGATTCTCTCTACTGATGTTTGTAAGTATTACAGATATCGATTTAAGACATGTCTCAAAAATGCCAAACTTAATAGTAATCATATAAAAAACTGACTCTTAAAATTGGAATTTAACTTTAAAAATTTGAATACCAGTGTCCTTAAAGATCTCTTTGTATCATGATCACCAATTCTGCCATTAAATACTTTAACCTTGAGTGCTCAATTAAACTACATTATAAACTCTACGTCATCCCCAAAGTAACAGAGAGAAAAAAATAAATGATCAATTTTACCATTCACAACTGGAACAAAATGTTTTCTCTCTATTTTATGTACTTCTGATTGTAAAATAAAGACTGGGATATTATTTCCCCCTTAACTTGTATTCTGTGTAACTTAGAGCTCCTTGCAATAAAACAAAATGATGCTTCATCAGGATGTTACTGGGAGTACCAAGGCAATTTACAAACATTAAGTCTGAGAACATCACTGTGAGGCAGGTATTAATGTAACACTTCTCTCTTGAGGAGTTCAATGCACTTTACATAACGTAATTTTATTAACTCTTCCTTGAGCTGGGCAAAAAGACTAAGAATATGTCTAACCACTTACCTCACTCACATGCATGTATAAAAAGAATAAAAGAGATGGTTCTACACAACCACATCTTTTAAATTCGCTTTCACTTCCAATCTGAAATTATGACTAAAGATAAGGCCAACTAAGTCACTCAATATATTTGGCTTCTACTAATATTGATTTTGAACAGGTATTAATTTTATAAATATGAATTCAGATTTAAACATTTAAAAGATAATTAATCCCAGTAATTCTTAAGCAATAATTGTTTTTGAAGGTGGAAAAAATTGACAGTAATAACTTTTCCCTCTATTATAATATACTAAAGACTCCAAAACCACATTATAATTCTGTGGACAAGCTTCACAACATCCTTAAGTAAATCTATGCATTTCTTAGCAAGAGTACAACTATGCACACATGAAGACAGCCAGAAGAGACATATAAAGTGAAAGATATAGAAATGCTAATGATATCTAATGACACTTACCAAGTGTCAGCCACTATTCTAAGGAATCTACATGTATTCGCTCATTTAATCCTCATAACTCTATGAGATGGGCAGCATTTTCATCATTTTATAGACAAGAAAATTGAGACTCAGGAAGTTGAGTTAGTCCTAGGTCACAGAGCTACAAAGTGGCAGAGCTGAGATGCAAACACAGAAAATATGAGTCCAGAGTCCATGTTCCCAACCCATGTTCTAGAATAGAAGTTGTCCCCAGCCATCCCTGATCATGGAATTCTGAATCCATAATTATAATGTTTTCCACTCCAAATGTAACATTTCCCAACTCACAGTCTACCTCACAGTAATCACAGAACAACTGCTCAATTTTATGTATCTTACTTTCAAAATATGATACTTGTATTTAGAAAATGGTCACAGGAAGGCAGTATAATATAGTTTGGAGTACACACCTCAGGATCAGACAGACCTAACAGGCTATCCCTAAGCAAGTTATTTCTATCCAAGCTAAACAATATAGACGATGGAACCTACCTCCTGATGCTGTAGTGAGAACTAAATAAGTTAATACAACACATTTAACATACGCCTTACTATGCCTTCTACATAGTAAGCATTCAACAATTGTTGCTACTGTAAGTTAGTATAAACTTATTCAAGCCATTCTCAGAACTCTGAAACTCAGAATTACCATTGAATTTAGCATATCTCAATGCTGGTGTCAATAGAACTGAATTGATTTTTTCATCAAATATATGTTCTAGGCACTGGCCATAATCTCATTTAATACTCAGAACAAACCTATAATTTGTGTTTTTATGCCCACTTGCAGGAAAATAAGCCTTGAGATTGTAAGTAACATCCATAACCATGCCAGTAATAATTAGATGATTAATCAATTAACTGCATGGATCCCACAAAGCAGGTTAAAAAGTAACCAATAAGCAAGGAAATTATTTGAAAAAGTCTTCTCTCTCATAAAATTATAGAACTAAAAATTCCTAGACTGAAGTTCACCTTGTTTAGCCTTTGCTATAATTAGAGCAAAGCTGTGCCCAGAGAAAACAGTTAGAATAGAGATGATAAAAAGGAAAAATACTCCCCGAAAATATACACGCCACCCCCCCCCCACCCACCCTATTTCCAGTATACACCAGGCACTTCTGATTCTTCCATCATCAGAACCACTGAAGAAAATAGCAAGGGCCAAGGTCAGGGTAGGAGCCTTCAGAGTTGGACAGTGTTACACGGGAAACAGGCAAGAAGTCTGCACTTGGGGACTGGTGCTTCAGCCAGAGTGAGGTATAAGATTGTAGATCTGTAAAGCACATTTGCCTCAAATCAGCCTCACCTGCACCCAAACACACTGTAAAGGTCGGCTTCTGGTCTATTCACAGAAATCTGCAGAAAAAGAGAAAATGCATTACATTAGTCTTTTGCTGACCTCTTCCTTGACCCTTGACCTACCAGCATTCCCTAAATTGGAAATGTCTTAGTTACGCAGAACAAAAATAGTTCCGCCTGAATTAGGACATTATTTCCTCATTCCCTCTATTTAATGTGAAAGAAATATTTTTGTCATTTGCATAATGACCTGCTGCATATAGAAAGACAATTATTTATGATTTTCACTTTAAAAACATGATTCTGAATTGATTATGATACATAATAATCATGTGAAAACATGATTGAAAATAAGATTTAAGTGAAAGAATAGAATTTCCACTTTCATCAGCCAACATATAAACCAATATGGAGGAGGTGGCAGATACAAATAATCATATATAAAGAGAGACACAAGCTCAATGATAATGGTCTGCTTACGCAGGCACAGAAAGTAGTGGGAAAAAATCTTCAGCCCATATGTCACAAGAAATAGAATTTTAAAAAATTCACGTTATCCCAAGAACATATAAGATCTTATGTTCCATTATCAACTAGCAGGTAGCACCCAACCTAGTCATTTCTTCTATACTTAGAATCGGTGGCCTCTCTCCATAACTCATTCCAACTTTTAGTAATTGTCATATAAAGGTAAGCTTTTCTTTTATCTAACTTCAGTCACTTATATAATATGATTGAAAAACCTGTAATGATGCTCCACACATGCAGGATACTTCATAAACCCTTGTGGATGCGATGTTGATTTCAGTCTATTTCCCTTTTTTCTGACCTCAGTGGAGACAGAAGTGCTTAGACAGAAACACTGGCAAAATGGTTAGAGATAAGAGGAAGTTGATTAGGAACAAGTGCAGAGTGGAACCAGGGAAGAAAAGAACGTGGAATGACTCACTGTGCCCCAGAACAGTGTGATCTGTTTTAGAAGACACAGCCAGCCACGAACAAAATGTGAGTTGTAAAGCAGAATACGCTCAAGCATGCGCTCAGAAGAATTACTGCTGCCTTCCAACTCACTTCCACATTGATAAATCAATCAATCCATCTCTCTCTCTAACCCTGACCTCTGTGCAGAGTTCCAGTTCTACTTACACGATTGTAAAACCGAACTGGGTGGATAGGATATTCTTTCCCGTGACTCACTCTAGCCTTCCTCCACAGCTTTACTGCTGGTATGAAGACATCTTTGGTAAGCTCTAGTGAAGAGAACTACGATAACCACTGACACTTTAATGTGAAAAATAATCCGTACTAACTAACAAAGGAAAAATGTTATCTTGTAGATTCACCAATATCTTAAACCCAAAAATATACAGAAAAGACCTCATACTGCCCGTCTGAAAAACAAACAAACAAACAAACAAAAACAGAACCCGGGGGACACGGTCAGAAGCTCACTGGGAAAATTAAGATAGGCGATTGGTAAACAGCAGGACCCTTTCTGAAAGAACGGACTTGCCTCTTATCCCCTACAATAAAAGGCCCAAGAAAGGGGTTAAATTTGGATGTCCTGGCAGCACCTCAAACTTAACATTTCTAAAATTAAACTTCTCCAAGAACCAGTTTCTGCTGACTTCCTGTTCGTTAAGGGTACACTTGTTCTCTCTGGCTCCAAACATGAGTCATCTTGCTTTATTTCTCTCCCACCCCCACCATATCTAATTAAACACCAAGTTGCATCTATTTTTTTCTTCAGCACTTTTTTGCAACTCTCTGTTGCTCTCTTTTCCCATGCTTTATCTCTAATTTGGTTTTGACCCCATATTAAGCCCATTATTCTTCCAAACAATGCATCTGGCAGTAGTTTCCATTTTGAGTTTGAGCTCTGCCTTGTTTAGGTCTGCTGCTTATCAAAAAGATTCTGTGATACCCGCTTGTCTGCTGAACAAAGATGCTGCAAGCTATTTCCAAATGTACCCCCAACTGCCTTTCAGTCTTACCTTCTCCTATTTTCCTGGGCATCAGCCAAACTAGCTATCATCCTACTCCCCACGATACTCTATTGCCTTAATTCCTACCACTTCCTTTTTCTGAAATACAATCTCTGCACCCTCAGAAATTCCAAGCACGCTGCCCGCACAAACATTAATGCCACAAATTCACCTGTGAATGCTTGTTCAGATATTTTTATTCAAAAAGTCATGTCTAAGACCGAAAAATATGTATTTTAAGTGTTTTTTAAACTAAAACTCCATGAGTTTCCATGGAAAAAGTTGTTACCAACTCAACTCATAATTTAAGATATTGAGATAGAGCCCACACAAAATAATCTTCCTTAAAAAAAAAAAACTCTTATTAAAATTGCATAATTCAACCTGGCAAAACAATTAATATTCAATAATAATAGATTGATGTTAAATAATAAATTCATATTTAATAATAAATTTATGTTCAATAATACTAATAAATTGATATCACTTGGAGTTTAATTTTATATTTTAGGTTAGGCACAGTGGTTCACACCTATAATCCCAGCACTTTGGGAGGCCGATGCAAGAGGATTGCTTGGAGCCAAGAGACTAGCCTGGGCAACATGGTGAGACCCCCATCTCTACAAAAGTAATTTTTTTTAATTAAAACAAAATTTTATCCTTGGGATGCCTTTTAGATCAAATAAATCAAGCAAAGTAATATTTTAGTTGACAACTTCTGTTTAAAATTATTTGCATTCCTAGCAAAAAAGAATTCTACAATATTTACTATAATGCACTATCAAAAAATGCACAAAAATAAGTCTATTTTCTTACAGAAATGATTTTGGTTTGCTACACAACTTTTCTTATTGATCCTAAAAGTTCAAATAACTTATACTTTACTATTGTACAACAGCAAGTAATAGAAGGTTAAAAAAAAAAGACTTTTCTTAACTTATGTTGGAATGGAGACTTTTCTTTGTCTATTTGCACTCTGGTCTCACCATGCTTTTTTGCAAGTATTTCCTATCTGTGTAAAGGTCACCTTTCCTTGGAAGTCCTACCACTGAATCAGTCTACATTAGTCTCTTTATTAGTTCTTAGGAAAGCCACTGTCCATACAAGGAACTTCGAATACAGATTAAGTAAACACAAATAAAATTGCAATTTTACCTCATTCTAATCCCAAATCTACACTTGACCTATTAGGTGGCACACATCGTGAAAGTTTAAAAGTGAAAAAGACAGTCTTTAAATAGAGAGTCAAGGGTAGAGCTAGATACCAAGTTCAGGTGGAAGAAAAGCAAGGTTATTTGCAGGAGAATGTAGGAAAGTCATTTAAAAGTCCCTCAGAAAAAACCAAAAAGAAAGAAAGAAAGAAAATATTAGCAGTGGTAATAAAATGCATCTCTATAATCATCTCTCGCTGCTTTGAAAAAAAAATTGAGGAAAATTTTCCATGACCCTAATGGTGCACTCAGAACTATTTGTCATGGTCTATTGTGGACTATTTACTTGTATTTCTCACTCACTTAAATCTTATAGACAATATAAAGTGCTGGATTTGGCCAGGCGCATTGCCTCACATCTGTAATCCCAGCACTTTTGGAGGCCGAGGCAGGCAGATCACCTGAGGTCAGGAGTTCAAGACCAGCCTGGCCAACATGGTGAAACCCCATGTCTTCTAAAAATACAAAAATTAGCCAGGCATGGTGGCACGAGTCTGTAATCCCAGCTACTCGGGAGGCTGAAGCAGGAGAATTGCTGGAACCCAGGAGGCGGAGGTTGCAGTGAGCCAAGATCACACCATTGCACTCCAGCCTGGGTGACAAGAGCAAGACTCCATCTCAAAAAAAAATGCTGGATTCATAGGATGGCCTGTAAGTATTAGAGGAATTCAAAAAGACCAATGCAGGTGAATTAGTCAAGTGTGGCTTCAGGAAGAAATCACCATCGGTTTTTTTCTTAACCAGACCCATCTTTTCTAAACAACTGGCTTTTGCATAGAGCCAGAATCTAATCAGGCTCTCTCTGTTTCCTTGTAAAGTCAACTTTGATATTTATCTAAACATTTTATAGCTCCTTCTGCTAATTTACATGCTGTTTGTATTACACAGGTGAAGTCAAACCTTTTTCAATGAATATCATAATAGTGAAGTGGTTCTGGCTTACAAAGTTGTTTCTGTGTTCCACTTGACATTCATAGGTTCAAAATTTTAGTAACTTGGTTATAATAAACTAAACAATGGACTATCTAGTACACAGGAATCCTTTTCTGAAAGCCATCTACATGGTCCCATTCCTTACAGAGAAAGACCATGATAATGTGTTGGTACATTGCAATGAAGGGAGAGAAGGAAGGGAAGGAGGAAGAAAGAAAGAGGAAATGAAAGAGGGAAAGAAGGGAAAAAGGGAGGAAGGAGAGAAGGAAGGAAAAAAGGGAGGGAGAATTGAATTGAACTAAGATGTTTACACTTTCTATTTTGTCATCTCATAGCATCTTTACCTCTCTTCACACTTTTCTACATCAAACAATACCTAAACAAAACTACCATGAGTTCCCAAATGGCCTTTAAAACAATATTCTAATAGTCTAATAGATACAGAGGCAAGAAATCCATAAATTCAAAGAGAATTAATTTTCTCTTCAGAATTTATACATGAACAACATGAATTGTAGAAATTTTAACAATTTATATTTTATTACAGAATTTCATTCCAACTAAGAGGAAAAAATAATTTTGCACCCTTAAAGAATTAACTCACCAGGCACGGTGGCTCACACCTATAATCCCAGCACTTTGGGAGGCCAAGGAGGCTGGATCACCTGAGGTCAGGAGTTCAAGGCCAGCCTGACCAACATGGTGAAACCCCGTCTCTACTAAAAATACAAAATTAGCTGGGCGTGGTGGCGCATGCCTGTAATCCCAGATACTTTGGAGGCTAAGGCAGGAAAATCACTTGAACTAGGGAGGCAGAGGTTGTAGTGAGCTGAGATCGTGCCATTGCACTCCAGCCTGGGCAATGAGCAAAACTCCATCTCAAAAAAAAAAGAATTAACTCTAGTTCAATAAACACAGCCAAAATAAATAGTCATGGCTATATAAAAGATTAATATATAAAGATCTAGTCACATAATTTTTTTTACTTTAAAAAATGTTTAACTTTTATTTTAGGTTTAGAGGTACATGTGAAGGTTTATTACATAGGTAAATGTGTCATGGGGGTTTGTTGTACAGATTATTTCATCACCCAGGTATTAACCCCAGTACCCAATAGTTATCTTTTCTGCTCCTCTCTCTCCTCCCATCCTCCTGGCTCAAGTAGGCCCAAGGGTCTGTTGTTTTCTTCTTTGTGTTCATAAGTTCTCATCATGTAGCTCCCACTTATAAGTGAGAACATGTGGTATTTGATTTTCTGTTCCTGTGTTAATTTGCTAAGGATGATAGCATCCAACTCCATCTATGTTCCTGCAAAAGACATGATCTCATTCTTTTTTACGGCTGCATAATATTCCATGGTGTATATGTACCATTTTTTTTATCCTATCTGTCATTGATGGGCACTTAGGTTGATTCCATGTCTTCGTTATTGTGAATAGTGCTGCAGTGAAAATTCACATGCATGTGTCTTTATGGTAGAATGCTTTATATTCCTCTGGGTATATACTCAGTAAAGGGATTGTTGGGTCGAATGTAGTTCTGCTTTTAGCTCTTTGAGGAATCACCATACTGCTCTCCACAATGGTTGAACTAATTTACAGTCCCACCAATAGTGTATAAGCATTCCCTTTTCACCACAGCCTTGCCAGCATCTGTTATTTTTTGATGTTTCAATAGTAGCCATTCTGACTACTCACTGGGATCTCATTGTGGTTTTGATTTGCCTTTCTCTAATGATTCATAGTATTGAGCTTTTTTCCTTTCTTTTTTTTTGTTTTTTTGTTTTGTTTTTTTGACACCAAGTCTCACTCTGTTGCCCAGGCTGGAGTATAGTGTGGCGTGATCTTGGCTCACTGCAACATCTGCCTCCTGGGTTCAAGAGATTCTCCTGCCTCAGCCTCCCAAGTACCTGGGACTACAGGTGTGTGCCACCATGCCTGGCTAATTTTTGTATTTTTAGTAGAGACAGGGTTTCACCATGTTGGCCAGGCTGGTCTCAAACTCCTGACCTCAGGTGATCCACCTGCCTCAGCCTCCTAAAGTGCTGGGATTACAGGTGTGAGCCACCACGCCCAGCCAAGCTTTTTTTTCATATGCTTCGTAGCCACATGTATGTCTTCTTTTGAGATGTGTCTGTTCATGTACTCTGACCACTTTTTTTTTTTTTTTTTTGAGACGGAGTCTCGCTCTGTCATCCAGGCTGGAGTGCAGTGGTGCAATCTCAGCTCACTGCAAGCTCTGCCTCCCGGGTTCAAGCCATTCTCCTGCCTCAGCCTCCCGAGTAGCTGGGACTACAGGCACCCACCACTATGCCCATCTGATTTTTTGTATTTTTAGTAGAGACTGGGTTTCACCGTGTTAGCCAGGATGGTCTCAATCTCCTGACCTCGTGATCCGCCCACCTCGGCCTCCCAAAGTGCTGGGATTACAGGCATGAGCCACCGCGCCCAGCCAACTCTGACCACTTTTTAATGGAGTTGTTTTTCTCTTGTAAATTTAAGTTCCTTATAGATTTTGAATATTAGACCTTTGTCAGATGCATAATTGCAACCTGCAGAATATCTCCGATTCTGTAGGTTGTCTGTTTACTCTGTTGTTAGTTTGTTTTGCTGTGCAGAAGCTCTTAAGTTTAATTAGATCCCAATTGTCAATATTTGCTTTTGTTGCTATTGCTTTTGGTGTCTTTGTCACGAAATCTTTGCTCATTCCTGTGTCCAGGATGGTACTGCGTAGGTTGTCTTCCAGGGTTTTTATAGTTTTGGGTTTTATATTTATGTCTTTAATCCATCTTGAGTTGATATTTGTATATGGTGTAAGGAAAGGGTCCAGCTTCAATCTTCTGCAGTTGGCTAGCCAGTTATCCCAGCACCATTTATTGAATAGAGAGTCTTTTCCCTATTGTTTATTTTTGTCAGCTTTGTCAAAGATCAGATGGTTGTAGATGTGAGGCCTTATTTCTGGGCTCTCTATTCTGTCCCATTGGTCTATGTACCTGTTTTTGTACCAGTACCATGCTGTTTTGGTTACTGTAACCTTGTAATTTTCAAGTTGGGTAATGTGATGCCTCCAGCTTTGTTCATTTTGCTTAGGATTGCCTTGGCTATTCAGGCTGTTTTTTGGTTCCATATGAATTTTAAAATAGTTTTTCCTAGTTTTGTGAAGAATGTTGTCAGTAGTCTGATAGGAATAGCACTGAATCTGTAAACTGCTTTGGGAAGTATAGACATTTTAATTTTATTGATTCTTCCCATCCACGAGCATGGGATTTTTTTTATTTGTTTGCATATTCTCTGATTTCTTTGAGAAGTGTTTTGTAATTCTCATTGTAGAGATCTTCCGCTTCCTAGTTAGCTGTATTCCTAGGTATTTTGTGTGTGTGTGTGACAATTGTGAATGGGATTGCCTTTCTGATTTGGCTTTCAGTTTGGCTGTTGGTGGTGTATAGGAATGCTCATGATTTTTGTACATTGATTTTGTATCCTAAAGCTTTGCTGAAGTTATTTATCAGCTGAAGGAGCTTTTGGGCCTAGGCTATGGGGTTTTCTAGATATAGAATTATATCATCTGCAAACAGAGATAGTTTGACTTCCTCTCTTCCTATTCAGATGCACTTTATTTCTTTCTCTTGCCTGATTGCTCTGGTTAGGACTTCCAATGCTATGTTGAACAGAAGTGGTAAGAGAGGGCATCCTTATCTTGTGCCAGTTTTTTGAGGGAATGCGTCCAGCTTTTGCCCATTTAATATAATGTTGGCTGTGGGTTTGTCATAGATGGCTTTTGTTATTTTAAGTTATGTTTATTCAATACCTAATTTATTGAGAGTTTTTAACATGAAGTGGTGTTGAATTTTATCAAAAGCCTTTTCTGCATCTATTGAGATAATCATGTGGTTTTTGTCTTTAGTTCTGTTTATGTGATGAATCACATTTATTGATTTGCATATGTTGAACCAACCTTGCAGCCCAGGAGTGAAGCCTATTTGATCATGGGGGATGAGTTTTTTGATGTGCTGCTGGATTTGGTTTGCCAATATTTTGTTGAGGGTTTTTGCATTGATGTTCATCAAGGATATTGGCCTGAAGTTTTCTTTATTTGTTGTGTCTCTGCCAGGTTTTGGTATCAAAATGATGCTGGCCTCACAGAATGATTTCGGGAGGAGGGATTTTTGGAATAGTTTCTGCAAGAATGGTACTAGCTCTTCTTTGTACATCCGGTAGAATTCAACTGTAAATCCATCAGGCTCTGTGCTTTTTTTGATTGGTAGATTATTTTTTACTGATTCAATTTTGGAGCTCATTATTGGCCTGTTCAGGGAATAAATTTCTTCCTGGCTCAGTCTTAGGAGAGTGTATGTGTCCAGAAATTTATCCGTCTCTTCTAGGTTTTCTAGTTTGTGTGCACAACTCTGTGTGCACAGAGGTGTTCGCAGTAGTCTATGATGGTTGTTTTTATTTATGTGGGGGTTACTGGTAACATTTCCTTCATCATTTTTAATTGTGTTTATTTGTATATTCTCTCTAGCTAGACTTCTTTATTAGTCTAGCTAGTGGCCTATATATTTTATTACTGTTTTCAAAAAAAAACAACTCTTGCATTCATTAATCTTTTGAATGGTTTTTTATGTCTCAATTTCCTGCAGTTCAGCTCTGATATTTGTTATTTTTCATCTTCTACTAGCTTTGGGGTTGATTTGTTCCTGTTGACTAGGCTGGAGTGCAGTGGCACAATCTCGGCCCACTGCAACCTCCGCCTCCTGGGTTCAAGCAATTCTCCTGCCTCAGTTTCCTGAGCAGCTGGGACTACAGGTACGCACCACCACACCTGGCTAATTTTTGTGTTTTGGTAGAAACAGTTTCATCATGTTGGCCAGGCTGGTCTTGAACTCCTGACCTCAAATGATCCTCTTGCCTCGGCCTCCCAAAGTGCTGGGGCAGGCGTGACCCACCTCACTGACCTTGTTCTTGTTTCTCTCATTCTTTCTGTTGTGAAGTTAGGTTGTTGATTTGAGATCTTTCTCTTTGATGTGGCCATTTAGTGCTATGAATTTAACACTGCCTTAGTTGTGTCCCAGAGAATCTGGTATGTTATATCTTTGTTCTCATTATTTTCAAAGAACTTCTTGATTTCTGCCTTAATTTCATTATTTACCCAAAAGGCATTCAGGGGCATGTTGTTTAATTTCCATGTAATAGCATGGTTTTGAGAGATTTTCATTGGCTTGACTTCTGTTTTTATTGTGCTGTGGTCCAAGAGAATATTTGGTATGATTTCAGTTATTTTACATTTGTTGAGGATTGTTTTGTGTACAAATATGTGGTCAATTTTAGAGTATGTGCCATGTGGTGATGAGAAGACTGTATATTCTGTTGTTTGGGGGTGAAGATTTCTGTAAAGGTCTATCAGATCTATTTGGTCCAATGCTGAGGTTAGGTCCCAAATATCTTTGTTAATTTTCTGCCTCAATGATCTGTCTGATACTGTCAGTGGAGTATTGAAGTCTCCCACTATTATTGTGTGGGAATATATGTCTCTTTGTAGGTCTCTAAGAACTTGCTTTATAAATCTGGGTGTTCCTGTGTTGGGTGCACTTATATGTAGGATAGTCAGGTTTCTTGGATTGAACTTTTCACCATTATGTAATGCCCTTCTTTGTCTTTTTTGATCTTTGTTGGTTTGAAATCTGTTTTGTCTAAAATTAGTGTTGTAACTCCTACTTTTTTTGTTTTCCATTTTCTTAGTAGACTTTTCTCCATCACTTTATTTTGAGCCTATGAGTGTCATTATGTGTTGTCACATAATTTTTAATAGCAAAGTAACTACAAATTACATGTATAAACAATTGATTAAATATATTAATTTAATAAATCAGAATAGTGTATAATCACTAAAAGTGACGCTGTAGAAATATATTCACTAAAATAAAATTCAAATTTTTAAGAAGCAGATTGCAAAATACTATAAAGTCATATAACTGCTTAACTATGGGGATATGTTCTGAGAAATGTGAGGTTAGGTGATTTTGTTATGCAAACATCACAGTGTGTACACAAACCTAGATAGTATAGCCTACTACACACCTAGCTGTATTGTATAGCCTATTGCTCCTAGGTTACAAACCTGTACGGCATGTTACTGTACTGAATAATGGAGGCAGTTGTAACACAATGGTAAGTATTTGTGTATCTAAACATAGAAAAGGTACAGTAAAAATACGGTATTATAACCTTATAGGACCACCGTTGCATATGCAGTCGTTGACCCAAACATCATTAATGCGGTGCATGACTGTACATGGTATACTTGTAACATTTTGTGACACATATAATCGTGGAAAATAAACACTAGTAAAACAGTCACCAAAATGTTAATTTTATTCATCTCTGACTTGGAGGTTATGGCTGATATTTTATTTTGTTTTTAATACTTTGTCTATTTTATACAATATCTATAATAAACATGTAATATTTTGATAACCAAAACAAAAAAAAAGAAAATACCTGGATTCTAATGATAGCTGGGTCACGTTGAGCAAGTTGCTTAAGCTCATTCAGCCAAAGATACTTCATCTAAAAATCTGGGGCTATAATTGTACCAACCTTTTAGTGTTGGGTAATAATTAAATTAAATAATATAATTCATGTAAAATTCTTAGCACTGGTACATGAGTAAATGGAAGTTTGAAAAGACAAGCTACAAGAGCTGTACAGGAATTTCAAGTTTCCCCTCCTCTTCTATTCTTAATCATTTTAACCATCAACAATTTAGTTAGTGTACCCTTGAGTTCAAACTCTCCTAAATCAAATCATTGTTTCACTAACTTGTGGAGGTTTGTTGAGCCAAAGAACATCACTATGGCTGTGGCCCAAGTTAATATTTCCCATCAGCTGCATTACACATTGGTAGTTTCAGTAAATGACCATCATGGCCAACAGAGGAAAGAAAAGAATTATCTTCCTAATTCATACTCTTTGGGAATTCTAAGAAGGAAACACATAATTACTAGAATTTGGCTGGCATATTGAATCTGGGGCGTGAAGAAAAGTCATGGGACTTTTAATGATAGAAAACAGTCCAGACCTCAGATTTTTATGTCATCAAATTAAAAAAAAGTCCTTAAAGTAAGATACTCTAATGAAGAAAGGTTTTCTTCTGGGTATACTTCAGTCATTTTAACTGGAAATATAAATTGTTATTCTGTATAATTATTATGTTTTTATTTTTTCTGGAATATATATGTCAGTATTAATCAGGTAATAATCTGATTGAAGATAGTCACGAGTTCAGAGATCCACTCATTCCTTCCTTCATTCATTCACCCAAGAAATATTTATTGATCACTCAGTATGTGACATTCACTGTGTAGATACTGAGGATACAAGGAAGGTCTCTTCTTGTGAAGACACATAATGGGGAAAATATTCAAATAAGAACACAAATAATTATATAATTATAATTGAAGTTACAAAGGCGAGGTGGCATGGTTCTGAGTGAGGAGTGGAGGATGTGGAATTAGAAGCAGCAAGCTTTGGGCAGGTAAGGTGGCTCACATCTGTAATCCCAGCACTTTGGGAGGCTGAGGCAGTGAATCACCTGAGGTCAGGGGTTCGAGACCAGCCTGGTCAACATGGTGAAACCCTGTCTCTACTAAAAATACAAAAATTAGCTGGGTGTGGTGGCCTGTAATCCCAGCTACTCAGGAGACTGAGGCAGCAGAATCACTTGAACCCAGGAGGCAGAGATTGCAGTGAGCTGAGATAGCACCACTGCACTCCAGCCGGGGTGACAGAGTGAGACTCTGTCTCAAAATAAATAAATTAATTAGTTAAATTAAAATAAATTTATAAAAAGCAGCAGCAAGCTTTTACAACGCTGAGAGTTCTCTCTCGTGGGATAGTGGTCTCTCTCTCCCTCTCTTTTGCTCTCTCTTCCCGACCTTCCCTTCCTCTGCCCCCACCACATGTGTGTAAGTATGTATGTGTATGTGTGTGTAAGAGATAAATAGAGAGTATGTGTGTGTGTGTTTTCTCTTGTAAATGCCCATCATGGCATATCCACACCCATGCTTTAACCCAATCAGTTGAAACTGTTAGCGGTGTGTACTAGTTTACTAAGGCTGCCATAACAAAATACCAAAGACTCGGTGGCTTAAACAATGGAAGTTTATTTCCTCACAGTTCCATATGCTGGAAATCCAAGATCAAGATGCCAGCTGGGTTGACTTCCTGGGAGGCCTCTCCTTGGCTTGCAGATGGCAGTCCCTGCTGTCACTTCACATGACACATGGTCATCCTTCTGTGAACACGCTCCCCTAGTGTCTCTCCCTTTTCTTAAAAGGGCACCAATCATATTGTTTTAGGGTCCCACTCTAATGGCCGCATTTTAACTTCATCACCTCTTTTAAAAATGTTATCTCAAAGCATGGTTACATTCTGAGGTACTGATGGTTGGGATTTTGAAATATAAATTTGTAGGGGACACAATTCAGCCCATGACAGGAAGTTAAAGGCTTAGGGCATTGGGAGGCATAGTTGCCACACATGGTTATGCCAGTTATGTATTGCACAGGCTATAGGATGTGTCGCTCACATAGCAGTTATCATAAATTTTTGTATTATTTAACAAAAATTTTCCTGCAGAAAGTGTCTGGAGAAAGATTTGCCTTTTTTCCCGCCACTATGAAGTAGAGGTTTGCCTTTTTCTGATTTTCGCAAAGGACCGTTTGGACTAACAGTGTTGCTTTATGATAGGAAACACTTTTCCCTAATCTGATATTTCTTTCCATATGGAGAGGGCTCTCCTACAGTAACACTACAAGCCCCTCTTTGCCCCTCCTCACTCTCAATGAATCCTCCCTTGAAGAGTGATTTATCTTTGATGACTAATTTTGAAGCAGCTCCATAAAGGTCCTGTGTCCACACTCACACATTGACATAACAAAGGCCATGTGGGGTAGGATTAAACATGGAGCTTCTGGAATCAAATGACCTGGGTTTAACTCCAGTTCTGCCACTACATGACCATAGGTCTTATTTAACACCTGTGTGCCTAAGACTCCTCACCTATAAAATAGAGATTATAAATATAGCCTCGTTTTAGGGTCATTGTAAGAATTCTATTTATAGTGAGATTAATAAATAAATATTCAAGTAAAAGTTGCTCTTATGACTTCTGCACAGATTTCAGGATTGCCTTTCTGACTCTCTTCCCTGAAGGCAGGGAAGAGCAGACAAGCTACACTGATAATTATGTGAATGCAGCTCCAAGAGGGCTATGACTCCACTACATACATACCAAACACTGGCAGAGCTCTGGGCGTAGAGAAGGTATTCTTGACTTGTTGAATGAATTCATTTACTAAAAGAATCAAGGTCAGACTGCAGAATTCCAGTCTATACTTGAGAGTAGGGTTTTTATCTCATGAGTCTGTATATCCTCTGAACTGCCTAGTATGACATCTTGTTTCTGGTAGGTAACAAAATATGTATTGAGTTGCTATTAGGTTAAATAAACATAACATACTATAATGTAATTTTACCATTGTCCCTTCCTGTATGATTTTTCTTTGAAAGACAAAGGGCTTTTGAGAAGTGTTGCATTATTTTAAATGCCCCTGCAGAGTTCTACAGAAGGCTAATGGTGATGGTTGCATAACAATGTGAGTGCACTTAATGCCACTAAACTGTGCACTTAAAAATAGTCAAAATGGCTAATTTTGTATTATGTATATTTTACCACAGTTTTTTAAATGTTTGCCAAGGATCTACAGTGAGAAGAAAGTAAAGTTGTGCTGCTCAAATATTTTTTTGAAAATCAAGTAAGGTACCCAAGTGCCTGGCACATGGCAGAAGCTCAACAAAAGTTAGTTCCCCTTCCAATAGTTCTGAATCACAACTGCCCCTGATGGTGACAGTCATGAATAATGACCCCTGTAGTTTCTATTGCCAGATAAAAATGTTTTTCAGGGGATAGGGAGGGGGGGAATCAACATTTGTAATGCTTCATGTCCTGATACTGTGGATGGTGGCAATAACCGCCCCCACACCGCCCCCCTCCACTCCACCAGAAGAAACATTAAAGCTTGGTCTCTATTATAATCAATTCTAATATCATGAATTACAAATTGCCAAAGGAAATGCTTGAGATATTAAAAGAAGACATGCCATCTACTTTCCATTTTGGATAGGCATCTGTAACATTGGTTTCAAAATAACATGTTTTTTTTTTTTTTTCAATTACAGCTCTACTGAATTTATGTGCTTCATTATAAAGTAATTCTGGAGGAGTTAAGGGATTAGAAAGTAGAGCCATTTACTCTCTTCAGAGGAAAACCACAATATAATACAAAGAAAGAATGAAGGATACAAATAATCTTATATTTAATACACAGTCAATATTTTAGAGAAGATATGTTCCTATCCACCTACTCATCGGCCTCCTTGTATTTGACTATTTTTTACAAAAATCAACCTATTCTTGATTGTCTTAGTTTAAATAAATCATGACATGATCCTGAGAACTTGGCAAGAACATCAATGATTTTACATCTGGCATCACACACCAGCTGCATATTGAGGGAATGAAAAGCTTTTCTATTTCTTTACCTTGCTTCATTAGTGAGTATGTGGTGATGCATGCATTACCGCCTGTGTGCAGGCTCAGCTCCCCATATGGAGAGGCACTCGGCAATGTCACAAAACCCATGCATCATTTACTGTGAAGCAAAACTTTCAAAAATAATAAGAATGATATTTTTACTAAATTTTTTTTTCTAAAAATGGGTATATTGGTTTTTTTGTGAATAGAATTATATGCTTAGTGTATATAGGTGGAACCTGTTGCAAAAGTCTCTAATGGAGAAATAACTTTAGCTGTCACAGTTGAACATATGTATGGTATGGTACCCATCTTCAAGTCATCATACAGTAAAAAACAATAATTTCCATGCCAAATCTATGTCCAACACATTTTCTACTCAGTTCTTGACAACTATACTACTTACTGGGAAAATATCTGCGCTGTGAGCTTTATGGTTATCTAAAGAACTCTTTACAGTGTCCTCAGTCTGAGCATAGTTATTTGCCTTGTATTTGAATTTTGTAAATTTAGCAAACATCTCTTTGTACTAGTTATCTATGCTGTGTAACAAATTACCCCAAAATTTAGTGGCTTAAAATAACAATTTATTATCTTATGGTTTCTGGTAATCAGGAAATCAGGAGTGGCTTAGCTGGGCAGTTATGGCTCTGGATTTCTCATGAGATCTCGCCAGGACCACAGTCATCTTAAGATTTTACTGTGGCTGCAAATCAGCTTCCGAGATGACTCACTCGTGTTATTAGTTTGCTGTTTATGGCTGTTTTTCCAAGAAGTCTCAGTACTTTTCATGTGGAACTCTCTAGACAGCTCCTTGAATATCCAGATGACATGGCTTCTGGATTCTCCCAGAGTGGCTGATCCAAGGGAGCAGAGTAGAAGAGGCACTGTGCTGCCTTTCATGACCTAGCCTTAGAAGACCCACGCCATCACTTGTATGGTCACTTGCAGACTAAACCTGGTTCAGTGTGGAAGGGGACTACAAGGAAAGTTGGAGATGAGGATCATTACAGCCGTGTTGAAAGTTGAAAGTTGAAAGTTGGAGATGAGGATCATTAGAGCCATCCTGAAGGCTGGCTACCACACTCTTAAATAAATTTTATTTTCAAATTTATAGGCTTCCATTGTATAAACACTTTTATTGGGTTGAAATCTGATTTTGCATATGTTCACTTTTCTGTCTTGGCTGAGAATTAAAATAGTAGCATAGAAGTAAAAACAGAGGTTCTCTACTGTAATAATTTAATCAATCTAAAAATTATAGACATAGCCATACTCAGCAAAAGAAAAATGTATCTGATCTAAAAGCAACAGCTATTTGTAACCCACTGGAAGCACTTACCCAATAATGAAAGCTAAAATCATTTTAGGTAGTTGGTTAAAATTACAGATCAGGAAACTAATTATTTAGAGAGATTTTATTGTTTCATTGTTTCATTTCATTCAATATTCTGAGGTAATATCAATCATTAATCTGGAACTATTTTTTAATAAGCAAATAAAAGCTTTTTATTAATGACACGTGAAGGGAAAAGAATGATCTTTATTGGATTTTAAAGAAACGAAAAGGAAATATTCATTCAGAATTTATCACTAAACTATTTGTAGAATCTCTAACTTGGTATTTATTCAACAAATATGTCTGAGCACCTGTTGCTTTGAGATACTCTAGGGAAATAAAACTAAGCCAAGGAACTTGCCTTCAAGGAACTTACACCTGGTTGGGTTGATAAGGCAGGTTAACACATACTTAAATACTAACCATTGTGCAATAAGTTTTAAAAGAGAAGGGAAAAGTGTAATATGAATAGTGGAGAAAGAAAGCAATTTTAACTGACAAAACCCACAAAGCATTAGAGAGTATTGGCATTTGGGCTGACTCTTTAAAGATGAATAGATTTTAACAGTGGGAGATGATAGAGTGGTTATTACAATAAAAGAAGCAGCAAAATCAAAGTGTAAATTCAATAAAGCACAAGGTTACCAACACATATCAAGCCCTCTTCAGTGTATGTACATCCTCCCACCACCTCCATGTTTTCAGGTAAGAAGTCAGATAGATTCTGTCTCACTGAAGATTACATCTTTCTCCTCGTCCATCCTCCAGCCAGTCCAACATTGTCTTTACCTTCTACTGGCTTTTTGGTTTGCATTTTCTGAGGCTGGTTTTCTGCCATTCCATCAGTTCTATAATTTAAACAATCTGATTCCAGTAAGTTCCCTCTTTTTGTTATTCCTGCTTCAATAAACCAGTGAAAGTCTCTATATAGGATCTAAAATTTATTTTTTATTTATTTTTAACTAATACATAATAATTGTACATATTCATGAGGTACGTAGTGATGTTTTGATACATACAATGCACAGTGATCAGAGAGTGGTAATTAGCATATCCATCATCTCACACATTTATCATTCCTTTGTTTTGGGAACATTCAATATTCTCTCTTCTAGCTATTTGAAAATATATATTATTGTTAACTATAGTCATCCTACAGTGCTATAGTTTAAACGATTCTGATACAGCTATTGTGTCAGATTGTATTTCTAATATGGCCACAAAAAGATCTCCCATTCAACATTTTCTTTTTATAATATGACCCTTCCTCCATCCAGACATGGCATCTACATTCCCTTTTCTTGAAGTGGGCCTGTGGCTAAGCCAAAACTAGCAGTATGTGACTTCAGAGGCTGGCTTCCTCCTAGGACCATTGGGATGCTCATTCTTGGAACCCAATAATCATGCCATGAGAAAGCAGGCCACACAGAGACAGGGAGGCCATGAGTAGTAGGTGTTACCACAAATAGCTGGAGCTAAGGTCCCAGCCCCAGCCACCATCTGACTGCCACCGCAAGACCAGTCTCAAATGAGAACTGCCTAACTGGGCCTAATCAATGCCAGAACCATAAGACGTAATCATGAGCTGACTGTTGTTTTAAGTCATAATACCTTTGAATTATTTGTTTCATAACAGTAGATATTTAAGAAAGATTCTGGCACCTGGAAGTGGGGCACTGTCATGACAAAATCCTGAGACATGTAGTATTATCTTTAGGAACAGGTAGTGAGCAGAAAGTGGGAGAACATTGAAGAGACTGTTAGTAGAAACTTAGCCTCCAGCAAAGTGTTAGTGGAAGCCCAGAGGGCTGAAGGAGGCTGTCAATCAGGGCTCAAGCAAAGTACAGGAAATGCAATTGGCAACACTGTCACCCTTAGTAATGTGAAAAATTGAAAATGTACTTAATGAATGTGAAGATCTAGTTAAGAAGATTTTAGGCAGAATATTGAAATTACCACCTGGCTTCTCACTGCCTATGATAAAAGGCAGGAGGAAAAAGATGGGCTAAAGAATATACTGTTAAATATAGAAGATCCAAGACTTGTTGGATTTGAAAATAAAACTATTTCTTGTTCTCAACCTCTTACAACAGCAAAGGATTCCAAAATTAAAAGTAGCTTCTGGGCATAGATGAAATCCAGTGCACTGTCGGGAAAACGTGGTCTACAAATGAAACGTAGGGCATGACGGTAAAACTCTTCAAGATTTTAAAAAGATTTAAAGTAATGGCTCATAGAAACTTTCAGTCAGACCAAAAGCCTTTTAAGGATCTTAAGAGTTTGCTTTGCAGATCTTCTCAGTTAAATGATTGGGCTTTAAGAGTCTCAAGGATGTTGTGTCCTGCAGTCTCATATGAGCCTGAGGGAGAAAGGGGTTTACCTGGAATAATAGGAGGGTGTGCCTCAGGATTATAAAGTGATATATTTAAACACACAATGCTTTCAAAAGAAATATTCTGGAGGAATCACTGTCAGCTTGGACTGAAAAGGACAGATAAATACTAAATATTTAATAACAAGATGACTTTAAACCTCTACCCTTCTACAGGCAGAAAGTAGACTAAGGAGACTATTAAATTGCAAACTTAGGTTTTCTTATTGAAAACAAAGGATGATTCTGAGGGCACCTAGAGCCCAGAGGGTAGAGCCAAGAGTCATGATGAACACCTCCCAGGCAAGTGGACTGAGCCCTCATCAAGGATATAGAAACATGCTAGCAATCAGTGGCTGCTCTGTGCCCTTGTCCTACCCTTTGGGAACTATCCTACCATTATATGTTGGGGATGTAGAAGAGAGATAGCCTGTTTCTTTAATTCACATGTCTTCACACTGAAAGCAATGGTCCTCAAGGAGATGTACCCAAGGAACCACAATGAAGGAGCCTCACCTGCACCTGGGCCTGATTGCAATTCCTAGACCTCAAGCAAATGCCATAATGAAATGCGATTTGGCAGAAGATAAAAAGACAAACATATTTTGCCTAGAGGAGGGATGTAAATTATTATGGCCAAAGGGGGGACCATGACAGATACTGCTTTCCGACATGACCATAAGATCTCCCATTCCAGATTGGGATGTGATCTTGACACTTCTCCCACAGACAGGCCATATGCCTCCTCCTTGAGCCTGGGCAGGCCTATGATTATAGCAGAAATGGAGTGATCTCACTTCAGAGGATAGGTTGTAAAAGGGAATACAGTTTCTACCTCGGCCTCATGGGACACTCCTTCTTGAAACCAGTCACATGTTATGAAGAAGAGGAAAGACCTCATTGAGACTATAGAAAGTGTTCTTGCCAACTGTCCCAGATGAGGTGTCAACCAAAAGCCAGTATCAACCTCCAGACATGGGGGAAAGTGAGCCTGGAGATGATTCAGCCCCAGCCACCATCTGGCCACCACCACATGGAGATCCCAAGTAAGAACCGCCTAGTAGAGCCCAGTTTGTCCCCAGAGTCATGACTAGAAAAAAATAAAATGATTCTTCTTGTTTTAAGCCACTAAGTTTGGAGGTAATTTGTTACACAGCAATAGATAACTGGGACAGTTTTCTCCTAAAATAATTAATGGTTTTTAATCCTTAAAAATGCCAAGAGAATTAAGTAAATATTGGAAACTAGGGTTTTTTTTTTTCCTATAGCAGCTTTTATAAAGTTTTGTCTTTCTTTCATATAAAAGTTTCACTAAGGTGCTACCTTCATCTTCTTTTTAAACTGGGGGTATCTGCTTCAGAGCTTTTTTTAAATATAAAAATTTGTAAAATCTTTTGTAGTAGATATTTGTTGCTTTTTGTCTACCACCCTATCCCCCAGTTCAGGTTGGTCAATAGGAAGTTCTCATGATTTAAGAAATGCCATGTGACCCACCATGCTGAGACAGTCTATCTGTAGAATGAACTGCTACTTGTCAGGTATAAGTTAAGTTGCTGTGATGAAGAGGCTCCAAAATGTCGTTAGGGAAATAAAGCATAAGTTTAGTACACACTAGTAACCATCCAAAAAGTGAGCATTTCAGGGCTGGCAAAGTGGCTCTGCTATACAAAGTTATCCAGGGACACAGAGATGATTACTCATTAATCCCATGAGAACCCATTAACCCATTAATATATTAATCCACAAGGACAGGGCCCTCATAACCCAGTAACTTCTTAAAAACCCATCTGTCAATACTGCCACATTGAGGGTTAAATTTCTACATGAGTTTCGGAGGGGACACATATTAAAAAAACAACAAAAACATTGGCACCAGAAGGCAAAATGAAGGCATTTAAATGAGACAGAATAAACACACAGAGCAGGTAACTTAGCCTAGTCAGCTCAAGTCATGGCGGTCAAACTACAGCTAGCAGGTGAGTAAGCAGCCAATGTAAAGGAATTATAGCATGATTCAGATGCTAAGCAGAACCAGGGTAAGTTAGTATGATATGATCATCAAACTATGGGGACAGACAGACCTGTAAATCCAACTCTTCCAGAAGAATGACTGCATGGACAATGTTAACGTTTTCCCCAGGGATTCTCTTTCTTCTGTTTCCTAGGTAAGGTGACCAACTTTTTTGAATTGACATGTTCTTTTCAGGATATTCTTGCAATCCAAATTTGCCAGGTAAGGTCACCATGAACAGTAATACAGATTGTATGAAATGTACAATGTACAATGGCCACATATAAGGCAACGATATCTCCATTCACATGAATTCCATATATTTGTATATTTATTATGGCATTTATCTAACCAGATGGAAGTCAAATATCTTGAGGAACGGGTATGTTTTGTAGTAAATTATATAAAACTATATGGACTAGTGGCTGGCAGTACTCATTCTTCTTGCCCCTTAGGAGTGGATGGAAATTGAATTCCTCATTATTCTATGGGAAGAAGCCTGAGAAATAGCCTAAGTGCCTTCTACTTAAAAGTTCTCTGCTGGTCTAGATCCCACTCCAACTAGTAGTGTATGACAGAGCACCTATGTCCATTCTGCCTAGTCCCCTTCTTAAGTTCAGCCATGCTTGTCTCTTCCAGACTCATATGAACTCTGGGAGAGGTGTGATAGCTTGAGCAGTTCTTTTACTTATGAAAACTACTTCCAAATTTCATCCAAAATGTATGAAGTAAACATACGCTAAATAAAGAGTGCATTTATACTATAAAAGAAGGGGTGAAGAAGTGTATTTTTGAAAGGCATCCCACTCCAACACTGTCTTGTTTCCTCTCAACCACCATTATGCTTTCTAATCATCAAGCCTCAGGCCTTCTTTAGGTCCCTCCCTGGTCCAGAAGCTCCAATTCCCTTCTGAAGAATTTCTACTTCTCCTCGAATGAGATAAGTCCCACACCACTTCCTTTTTTGTGTGTCTTTTAAACATTGATGCCTCTGGTTTCAGTCTGATTTTTAATTTTTTTTAATTTAGTCTTGATTTTAGTATTCATTTTTCTGCTCCAATTTCTGCCTTCCCCAAAAGAAAAGGAGTGGACTTTAATCCTGTGAACACAAGGAAGAAAGTATGTGCCAAGATTCCATATCAATCTTTCTACCAACAATAGTTACAACACATTTCCTTTTAAATTATCTAAAAGCAAACATACCACCCCCAACATCAAGTGTACTAGTTTCCTACAGGTTTCATTTCAAACTACTACAAACTTGGGATGGTTTAAAACAACAGAAATTTATTATTTCACCATTCTAGAGGCTAACAGTCTGAAATTACGGCATTGGCAGTTCCATGCTTTCTGAAAGCTCTAAGGAAGAATCTTTCTGTGCTTCTTCCTAGGTTCTGGTGGTTGCAATCTTTGGGGTTCCTTGGCTTGTAGATGAATCGCTCCAATTTCTGTTTCCATAGTTACATGGCATTCTCCTTCTGTCTGTCCATGTTCTAATTTCCTTCTTATAAGGATACCCATC
Organism: Homo sapiens; assembly: GCF_000001405.40. Classification (NCBI taxonomy): domain Eukaryota; kingdom Metazoa; phylum Chordata; class Mammalia; order Primates; family Hominidae; genus Homo; species Homo sapiens. The sequence continues at coordinate 91,448,929 of NC_000005.10, read as the reverse complement.
ACTGGATTAGGCCCCACCCTAATCCAGTATGACCTCATTGTAACTTGATTAGATTTGCAAAGACCCTAGCTCCAAATAAGGTCACATGCATTTGTACTAAGGGTTAGGACTTGAACATATCTTTTGAGGGCACACAATTCAACCCACAACACCACCAAGTATTAATTTTCTGACATTGACAATATAATCTAGTTTATCTGAGGCAAGTATATTCCTACTATCAATATGACTTTGAACTAACACTCAACAAAATAACAACTCTGATTAATGGTGTTTAAGAAAAATTACACCTTTTACAGGCCTTGAAGTATTTATCTTTTTTTATTTTTTTATTTCCATAGGTTTTGGGGGAACAGGTGGTATTTGGCGACATGAGCCAGTTCCTTAGTGGTGATTTGTGAGCTTTTGGTGCACCCATCACCCCAGCAATATACACTGTTTATCCCTCATCCCCTTCCCTCCCTTTCCCTCTGAGTCCCCAAAGTCCATTGTATCATTCTTTTGCCTTTGCATCTTCATAGCTTAGCTCCCAATTATGAGTGAGAACATATGTTGTTTGGTTTTCCACTACTCAGTTACTTTACTTAGGATAATAGTCTCCAATCCCACCCAGGTTGCTGTGAATGCCATTATTTCATTCTTTTTTATGGCTGAGTAGTATTCCATCATATATACATACCACAGTTTATTTTAATCCACTCATTGATTGATGGGCATTTGGGCTGGTTCCACATTTTTGCAACTGCGAATTGTGCTGCTATATGCATATAGGCCTTGAAGTATTTCTCTATGCGTTTGTAACTATCTAGCTGTCTGGAGCATATGAGTTTGCAACCTCTTGATTAGAGTCCAATATTGTAGGCCTGGAACCACTTACAAGGTGAGTATGTACGTATCTGCAATGTCATCTATTATACTATTTTTAAAATTTAACTCTCAGACAATAAATTTATTTCCAAGTTCTTAGAGGAAGTTACTTATAATAAGTGTCACATCCTGACAATGTAAGCTGTCAAAGGGGACCAGAGCACTGGAGTTGGGGGAAGAGAGGATTAAGCCTATCTCCTACTTCTCCCTCCCCAAAACTCTCAAGCAACTAAGAGGATTTTGGGGTATTACATGATTCTGTAGGCTATGGATATCTGGGTATGGTGAAATAGCCCGTCTGTTATATAACTTCATAAAAGAAACTCAGGGAGCTAAAACTCATCTTTTAACCTGGGAACCTGAAGCTCAAAAGGCCTTTAACCAGCTAAAGCAAGTCTTGCTCAAGGCACCAGCTCTCAGCCTTCCTGTAGGGAAGGTCTTCAATCTGTATGTATCAGAAAGGAAGGGAATAGCCCTGGGAGTTTTAACACAGGCTGGAGGACCAGCTCAACCAGTGGGTTATCTAAGTAAGGAACTTGATTTGGTGGCTAAAGAGTGGCCAGCATGCCTCCAAGCCATTGCCTCGGTGGCTCTGCTGGTCCCAGAAGCCTCCAAATTAACCCTGGGGAATGATTTAACTGTTTACACCCTACATAATGTGGCAGGACTACTGTACTCTAGAGGAAGCCTTTGGCTAACAGATAGCCGACTCCTTAAATATCAGGCCCTACTGTTAGAGGGTTCCAACATCCAATTAAAGACTTGTTCTAGCCTAAATCCAGCCACCTTCCTCCCTGAAGAAACTAGGGAACCTGAGCATAATTGTGAACAAGTCATAGTACAGACCTATGCAGCCAGGGAGGATTTCAAGGAAACTCCCCTAGAGAATCCAGACTGGACCCTCTTCACAGATGGGAGCTCTCTTGTAGAGCATGGATCCACAAGGCAGGATACGCAGTAGTCACTCTAAATGACGTCATTAAAAGTGTGTCTCTTCCTCCAGGCACAAGCGCTCAATTAGCTGAGCTAATAGCTCTTACAAGAGCAATTGAATTAAGCAAAGGAAAGGTAGCTAATATTTACACTGACTCCCAGTATGCTTTCCTAGTTCTCCATGCTCATGCAGCCATTTGGAAGGAAAGGCATTTTCTTACCACCAATGGATCTCCTATAAAACATCACCAGGAAATTAAAAGGTTACTTTCCTCAGTTTTCCTTCCACGAGAAATCACAGAAATGCATTGTAGGGGACATCAGAAGGGAACAGATGAGGTAGCCGAAGGAAATAGATTAGCCAGTCAGGTAGCTAGGTCAGCGGCAAGAAAGCCTCAAGACATCAACACACTTCAAACCCCTCTAATCTGGGAAGGCTCCATAAGAGAAATTAAACCTCAGTACTCCACTACAGAAGTAGAATGGGCCACTTCTCGAGGGTGTACATTTCAGCCCTCAGGAGAGCTACAGTCAGAGGTTGGCAAGCTCCACTTGCCAGCCTCTAGCCAACGGAAAGTCACTTGGGAAAGGATAAGACGTATCAATGTGGCTAGAGATTGTTTTTAGGAGAGAACTTGCTAAGAACAATTACGCAAGTTGTTAATGCTTGTGAAGTCTGTCTTTAAAATAATCCCCTGAACAGACGACTCCTTCCTCCTCAAACCCAAAGAATAGGAGGGTATCCAGGGGATAGACTTTGCCCACATGCCAAAGACAAAGAGTATCCATACCTGCTGGTATGGGTAGACACCTTCACTAACTGGATAGAGGCATTCCCATGCCATACAGAAAAAGCCTCTGAGGTAATAAAAGTGTTAGTTAATGAAATAACTCTTCACTTCGGTCTTCGTAGGTATCTTCAAAGTGACAATGGACCCTTGTTTAAGGCAGCTGTCACACAAGGGGTCTCAAAAGGAGTAGGCATAGAATACCATCTCCACTGTGCTTGGAGACCCCAATCCTTAGGAAAGGTAGAGAAAACTAATGATATTATCAAGAGACACCTCAGAAAATTATCCCAAGAAACTCACCTTCCTTGGGTCACTCTTCTTCCTATGGCCTTACTATGAATAAGAAATACCCCTTTAAAACGAGGTCAAAAGCCAAGAGCAAAACCCATTGAGACTTCCGGTTACCATCTGAAAGGGAGTTCAGAAGTATGAACCAGAGATCTCTGCTGGAAGAATTTGCAAACCTTGGAATTTTCTTAAACGTATCTATCTTGTGTATCTTCTCCTTTTTCTAAAATGATTAGTTGAAACCCCATAAACAGAAAAGGGCCTGGGTGCTTTGGGCACAGTAAAGAAAAAGTAAGTTACTCTTGATAACAACCAGGCCTAATGAGGAGAATAAAGAGGACTTTTAATTGCAGTGGTTAAGTGGCCAAGCCCTGCAGGGCGGGGGGGGGGGGGGGGGCGGCAGGGAAGGAAAGAATGAACTTTGAGCACTGGGAGCTATGGGGGATCTTTCTCAATAAGCAGGAGACCGATTCACTGTCTCCCCTGGGACACAGAGATAATTGATTATTGTCCACAGGACAGGCACTCAGAGTTACACTAAAAGAGTGGTTCTTGTGAGCCCCGAATATCTGAGACAGGTCTCAGTCAATTTAGGAAGTTTATTTTGCCAAGGGTAAGAATGCGCCCATGATACAGCCTGAAGAGATCCCGACAACATGTGCCCAAGGTGGTCGGGGCACAGCCTGGTTTTATGCAATTTAGGGAGGCATGAGACATCAATCAATATATGTAAGATGTATATTGGTTCAGTCCGGAAAGGTGGGACAACTCAAAGTGGGGAGGGGCTTCCATGTCATAGGTAGATGAGAGACAAAGAGTTGCAGTCTTTTGAGTTTCTGATTAGCCCTTCCAAACAAAGCAATTCTGCAAGGAAATTCCTCGTGTACAAATTGTGAGGGCAGTATGTACCTTTTTTATCTTTTGTAGGAATAGACTGGCAGGCTGGTTTGCCCTAAGCAGTTCCCAGCTTGACTTTTTCCTTTGGCTTAGTGATTTTGGGGTCTCAAGATTTATTTTCCTTTCACATGCTTATAATAAAATGTGGTTTCCAGGCTGGGTGCAGTGGCTTATGCCTGTAATCCTAGGAATTTAGGAGGCCTAGGTGAGCAAGTCACTTAAGCCCAGGAGTTCAAGACCAGCATGGGCAACATGGTGAAACCTCATGCCTACAAAAAATCCAAAAAAATATTAGCCAGGTGTGATGGTGCATGCCTGTATGTACCTGTAGTCCCACTTACTCAGGAGGCTGAGATGGGAGGATCACCTGAGCCTGGGAGGTTGAGGCTGCAGTAAGCTGTTATTACCCACTGCACTCCAGCCTGGGCAACAGAGTGAGTCCCTGTCCTTTTTTTAAATTAAAAAAAAAAAAAAAGGCCAGGCGTGGTGGCTCACACCTGTAATCCCAGCACTTTGGGAGGCTGAGGAGGGTGGATCACGAGGTCAGGAGATTGAGACCATCCTGGCTAACATGGTGAAACCCTGTCTCTACTAAAAACACAAAAAATTAGCCGGGCATGGTGGCAGGCACCTGTATTCTCAGCTACTCGGAAGGCTGAGGCAGGAGAATGGCTTGAGCCTGGGAGGCAGAGCTTGCAGTGAGCTGAGATCCCACCACTGCACTCCAGCCTGGGTGACAGAGCAAGATTCCATCTCAAAAAAAAAAAAAAAAAAAAAAAAAGATGTGGTTTCCAGGCCAGTAACATCATCATCACCTGACAACTCATTTGACATGCAAATTATCCAGCCCCATTCCTGACCTAGTCAATCCAAAACTCTGGGGATGAGGGCTAGCAATCTGTATCTTAACAAGCTTCTAGGTGATTATGATTCACAGGAAAGTTTGCAAACCATTGCACTAGGGGATAGGATTTGGATCATTACAGCATTTCACTGCAGGAAGTACTATTCCCCTAGAAAAAAAGGTGAAAACAAAAGCAAGTTGATTAGAAGGTAACTGTGCTGGAAAAAGCTAGAGAAAATCATTCATTTATTCAATATATTTGCCAGCAGAAAACATGACAAGAAAGGCAAGGCAAATAATCCATTGAATAATCATGAGTCATCACTCTTAATAGTATCTACCTTCTATATATACTGCTGTACAATCCACATTTGTTTGCCGACAGTTGTACTTGTTAACCAAAACCAAGAATACTCACTTTGACATAAAAATAGGACTTAAGATTAGTGCAACTTACCATATCAGATAGCAATGAAGCTGGCTGAAAACAACATATGCCTAAGATAAATATATATTATCCATTCCAGTCAGACACTTTAAAGAAAAATAAAGTAAAATCCAGACTATGGCTATCAATGAACTATAAGGCACTGATGTTATAAAATGAAAGGTTTATTATTCAAATATACTCATGAACTTATTTAAAATGTGAGAAGTCCTTAATACACTATTAAATGTGTATACATTCTAATTCATTGAATAAATGAAGAAAAAATTGTATAGAATATCATGACCAAACCTCTCTTTTCCCAGATTTCAATACATTAATTTTTAGATTTATATTTCTCATAACAAATAATCAGTCTTTATCATCATTCCACATAGAATCTACAAGTTTTTTCTTTTCCTCAAAGATTGAGTACATCAGAACAGGAAGAAATGTTGGAAACAAACTCTTTTATTGGAGAAGAATCTCAAGGCCCCTCACCATTAGTAGAAGACAATCCCATGGCGTGGCATGAAGCAAGGTGGCTAAGCCACATATGAAAGTAGACTCCTTGCTATGGAGCATTACACAAATGTCAACAGTGATTAATTGATAGCAAAAGTTCTCAGTGCCAGAGTCTGGGAAAATGAGTCAAGTAGGCTTACACAGTCAAAGGAAAAGTAGTCCTGGAATTCTACCCACTATAGCTATGGTAGGTGACAACAGATGTTTCTAATCTTCAAGTGGTTAGTTTTTCTTTATTAAAACAATAATAATCCAGAGATGATACTGATGTATGGACATGAGAGCAGCAAATAATTTCCATTTAGTTCAGATTGTCTCATTTCAACCTTGCTATATTCAGAGACACCTAATAATATCACCATATGCTTTGAAAAGAACATATTTATCACTGCATTTAAACGAGCATATGGTGAAATATTTTTCAGTGTTATCTTTTAAATGAAGTGAAGAAGAATGAATGTAGTATATAATACTTCTAATATATGAGGAGCTTGAAGACCTTTGAGATATAACATCGAAACAGGTGGATTAATAATTTTCTTGAAATATTTTTGCATGTTTGATTAATTAATCAGTGTCTTGAGACTATGTCATTTTATATCAAGATTTGAGTGTACATGGGTTAATTTAGTAATGGATATCATTTTAATTGGATTTGAAATTGGGGTATATGTCTCCAAGGATCTTTAACTGGTCAGGGTAGTCAAAAGTATTAATTAATGTGCTTCAGAATATTAACTTATTTTCTCAAAGCCTGTTGAGTTCATAGAGTTGTGAAAGTTTTCCTCTCAGCACTAACTTAATGCCCATACACTTAGATGTTATAAAAGATTAGTCAAATGTGAAATTATGAAAAAAAGTTAAAAATATTTTATCACAGGCCTCTGTTACTGATTTTTAAATTAGTTTACTGAAAATACATGTGTAGTATCTAGGAAAAATTCAATTTTGTGTTTCTTGGATGTCTAAAGTTTCTTTCTATCAAATAGCAATGCACTGGCTGGTGTTAATAAGTCATTTAAACAAAAAATTTTGTCAATCTGTTTTAGAAATATGTGTGTCAAAATATTCATCAAGTCGTTTGGGGGTCAGAAAATACAAGAATTAGTTGTATTCTTTCCATTAATTATTTGTGCAACCTTGGTCACATTAACCTGCACTTTTGTGTTTGGTGCCCTTACTTGTAAAATTATGCTGCACTTTTAAATTGCCATGGTTCGTTGATGTCTTGGTCTATGAAGCCTACAGAGAGGAAAGATGGTATCTATTTACTAATTTTATTGTGCTTATTGAGATACTTACCAATCACTCAAGGACACCAAATACAAGGTATTGCACTCCTTGCAGCTTACAGATGCGAAGTGTGGAAATTCTTAAACAACTTCACACCCCATAGTGCTCTGGTGCATATCACATGGATCCCGTTACATTCCCTGAAACCTCTTGAGGTATAGCATGTAGTCTAGGAATACCTTCCAGGAATCATCTATACAGAAGATCCTGCACTTATTCCCTTCCCATTATGAGTCCTGGCCCATGAGAAAACAAAACCAAGGACTATGCACACTGTCCTCTGTTTTATTTTCTTGCCTTGTGTAGGTGAGTAGAGCCAGAGAGAGGAAAGCCTCATGAGTACTTGATGTGTCCTTTCAAGGCCCTGCATGAGTTGGTCACCTGCTTAACTCCCTAGCTTCATCTACTTCAGCTAGCAGTGGGGCCCCTCCTCATCATCCACACATCAATTAGAGTGGGCATCTTGCCTCCTGTCTCAGGGTCCTGGCACCCATGGATTCCCCCGGAAGACTCCAGTTGCATGTGCCATAGGTCTACAAACACTCTTGACCTAGTTCATTCATTCACATCACTGTCAAAGTATCACTTTCTCAGAAAAGCTTTCAATAACCCCTAGTCCAGGTCAGGTTCCTTTCTGATGAACACTAAAGATTATGATCCTTTCCTTCACTTACCTACATTTGTAATTATATTCACTGATAAAATTATTTGAATAATATCTGTCTCCTCAACTCAATCATACTCTCCGTGAGTGTGGACCTTGAGTCTTTTTGCTTACTAATCCTTTTTTGCTTACTTTTTGAGTCTTTTTGCTTACTGATCTTCTCATTCAACACTATCACTTTTTGCTTACTGATCTTCTCATTCAACACTATCATTTAATCCTATCACTCACAATTGCAAGCAACAAAAACCAATTCAGCTGATTTATAAGCTGGTATAGATAGTGGTTAAAATCTTGCATCTGGCATCAAGCTGCCTGGGTCTTGACTGCCACTTACCAGCTTGTGACCTTGGATGGGTTCCTTAACCCTTCCTGTGCCATAGCATTCTCATATATAAGAAGGGAATAATTAGAGGATCCACCTATTAGAACTCTAGTGAGGGTAAAGTAAGTTTATTCATGTAAGGCACTTAGTAAGAACAGAATAGAGCAAATGTTAAAATATCCAATAAATCTTAGCTATTAAGCAGAAAACAAATGTATTAATATTTATTTAAAATGTTAATATTACAATAACATGTTATTAAGAAATTATTGGGTAATATTCTATGATTCTGGAAAATGTAAAAATATAGGGATAGAAAACAGATCAGGGATTGGGGTGGATGAGAGTTGACTACAAAGGTTCAGCATGAGAGAATTTGAGACATAATAGAACTGTTCTATATCATGACAGTGGTGGGTACACGACTTTATACAATGTTAAAGTTCTTAGAACTGCATATCTCATAGAGTGAATTTATTGTATGTATATTTTTAAAATGAAAGGCTACTAAAGAGCTCACATAATCACTGTGATATTTGGAGAATTAGGCCTAGAAATTGAGCAGAAATAAAGAAGGCCAGGCTGTTGGACACTGGGTGCCAGGGATTGCACCACCACCACCACCAACCAGGGCATGGAATGTGAGAAGCTGCCCTTGGGGCTCATTACCCCCATTTCCCTATTTCCCCTGGAGACCAAATATTGATACTTTCATGGCAACCACCTGCCACCAGAGAGCTTTTCCACCCCTACTTCTTAGGCCACTAGCTACCAAGTCAAAGTCTAAGGTGAGTGCAAAAGATTAGCAGAGCCTAGATCATGTACACCCATCTTAGCTACAAGGGAGGCTGGAAAGATGAGTGTCTGTTTTGGCTTTATGATGACAAGCAAATGCTACCCCCAACAACATTAATAAGGAGGGAATTATCTCCAACATAGGAATAGGTTCAGATACTGGGAATCAAAATATGAAACTAAAAATGAATACAAAATAAACATGTCAATGGTAGTTTTCAATAAATACTTGAATCAGATTTACATTAGACAGCTGAAATCAGGACTTTCAGAAAAGCAGTTCTTAAGAACTTTAACAGTAGCTAACTATTTCTATCTCATTTAAATATAAACTGCATTTAACAAAAAACAGTTATGTTATTATGGAAAGAAAACTGAACCAAGAATCCATAGATCTTGAATTCACAGACAAATCCCTTGTCCATGTAAAGGTTTTACTCCTACATCTATAAAACAAGACCTATTGCAGAGGTGCTGTGAGAGTGAAATGAAGGGAAAATTATGAAGGAGTCTGTAAAACTCAAATCCTACATAAATGTAAGTTATAAAATAATAAGACACTTTTAAATGATTTAGATCTCTATGTATTGAAATGGTAAAATCTCCAAGATATGTTTGCTGGAGAAGAAATTTCTATCCTCTGCCTTGTATTTCTATATCAGCCTCTGGGGGAGGACTTAATACCACCTATGCTTCCCAGCCATGTGTCCACCCATGTTCTAGCTACTCTTCTGCCTGCTATGGGAGGAAGAATTGCTAACATCAGCCTCATTCTTGAATGAAATCTTACTAGTGGCGGAGGTACTTTTTTTTTTTTTTTGAGACAAAATCTCGCTCTGTCAACAAGCTCACTGCAACCTCTGCCTCTCAGGTTCAATCGGTTCTCATGCCTCAGCCTCCTGAGTAACTAGACTTACAGGCATGCACTACCACACCCAGCTAATTTTTGTATTTTTTTTTTTTTTAGTAGAGACAGGGTTTCGCCATGTTGGCTAGGCTGGTCTCAAACTCCTGGCCTCAAGCAATCCACCTGCCTCGGCCTCCCAAAATGCTGGGATTAAAGGTATAAGCCACTGTGCCTGACCACAGTTACTATTTCTTAAAGGCAAGAGTAGGTTTCATCTACTCTGTTGCTGTCTATTCCTACACTGTCAGTTCACAGAGCAAAGTCTAGCCTCTGAGGCAGGTTGCCATGCTCACCTATAGGTGGGGTAAGTACCTGGACTTAGACAGGAAGCAGGGAGCTGGAAGCCCTGCTTAGATTTCCAGGCCTCTTCCTCATGGACCATCACCACTTCATAGGGACCTCTTCCTTTTATACAGGTGTCTTCTGAGGTAAATCTGATTTAAAGATATGGGACAGCTGCTTAGCAATTCTGTTTTAGAAATTATTACTTGTACTTTGCCCTCTATTGGGCTGTTGTTTCTTATTCAAGAGTCCTGGAGAAAAGGCGGGTCAGCAGTAGGATTTAGTATTAAAATTCCAACCAACAAAACTACAAATATATTTAAGGGAGGAAAGAAAAGTCTTAGAACAATGTTCTAAGAATTACATTAGAGAATTACATTATAATTCTATCTCTATCTAAATAAATATGTTCCCAAATTCTAGGTATATGCTTCAGTGATTTTGAAAACACACAAACCACACTCTTGAATTATGCCTGTCATTAGAGAGGAGAAGGGGACAAATGGAGTTAAAGAGAGAAAACATGAAGAGAAGTGTTGACTTTCTCCTCTGTGTTTCTTCCGTGACTTTTTGCTGTACATTGTTTGAATTTTTACAATAAGCATGTTTTCATGTATTACGTGCAAGTGTTTATAAAGATAAAGTTTGTTTCTTTGTTTCTTGGTGGAGATAGGGCTCTCACTATATTGTCCAGGCCGGTCTCACACTCTTAGCTTCAAATGATCCTTCTGCTCAGCCTCCCAAAGCCCCAGAATTAGAGGTATGAGCCACCACACCTGACTGGTAAAGATAAAGTTTTTAATACACAGAAAAATAACTTGCTGAATGTCAAAAATCTAAGAAACAAAATCCTATACACCAGAGGTTTCCCTAAGCAAATATGTGGCCTTATTTAAACCAAACTCTCCCTCTCCTAAAAAAAATTCAACAAGAAATATGACAATCTATGAAAAACATCCTTAAAAGAAGATAACGAAAGATAAAACACAGAATAATTCCTACTTTAAGTTTCACTCTTGGTTCGCTTGAGTTGCTGTCACCTCTGGGCCATTTGTAGAAATAGACTTAAACAGTAAGTATTGTGAAGGATAGATACAAGATTATAAATTCTCTGAGAACAAAAGAGAGGCTGCAGTTTGCCAAAGCAGGAACTGATGTTTGTCTTCTGAGGTTAGGTAATGTTATTATCAAGTGCTACAAATGTAAATATATACAGCTAGACATACGGCACACATACATACATATGTTTATGTTATATATTAGTATGCTTCCTAAAAAGACAAACCATACATAGCCATCTTTGGATCAGAGTACTCTGTGAAGTATCACGTACCTAGTCCTCAACATAAATGCCTGAGCTATATAACAATATTTATTAACTGTCGTTGGCTAAAGACTTACTAGGCTAGCCAACTGAACCTACAACAACTTACTAGGTAGTTGTTATGACCTGAATTGTATCCCCACCCAAAATTTATTTTTTTAAATCCCAACCCCCACTACCTCAGAATGTGACTATTTGGATATAGAGCCTTTAAAGTGGTAATTAAGGTAAAATAAGGCCATATGGGTGAGCCTTCATCCAGTATGACTGGTGTTCTTATAAGGAGAGATTACGACACAGATACATAGAGGAAAGACATGTGAAGACACCAGAGAACCATGGCCATCTACAAGGTAAGGAGAGAGGCCTTAGAAGAAACCAACCCTACTCACACCTTGATCTTGGAATTCTAGCCTCTAGAATTGTAAAGAAAATAAATTTCAATTGTTTAAGCCACCAGTCTGTGGTACCTGTAATGGCAACACTAGAAAACTATCATCATAAAGTAGATAAATTATTTTATCCTACTTCCGGATTCTTTTGAGGTTTAAGAACTGGCAGTGTGCTCCAGTGGACTTGTAATGGATATCTGTTATTTGGCCCTACACCCTCTTCACTGTATTATGGTAATAGTACCTTGCTCTTCCCATGAGCTTTTATTTAAGTCAGGATGGGTCTTCCAAACAAAAGGTGAGCACATTGGCCCTGGAGAAGACTCCCAGCCCAAGCTTGCAATCAGCCTCTGTCTTAGAATCTGAAATCTGAGTAGAGTCACATAGGACAGAAGGAACTTGAGCTGAGGCATTTGAAGGCTAGTGCCCTACAGAGACTTTCCATGACTGATCACCGTACAGATCCCTTAGGACCCTGTTTGTTGACCTTCCCAAGGCCTTGAATTTTCAACTCTCCCTCTGCTTTTAAACCTGTGGAGCATACTTCTAATTCATTCCCTTTTTTGGCCTAAACTCACTAGAGACAGTGTCAGTTCTGCAGCCAAAAACACCTTAGTAATACACATATTATTTTGTACAGCCACATTTCTCCCATGATAGTCTCCTAATAAATGAGTTAATATTCTACTTTTCGACTCCATGAGAAAAAAATATTTGAAAATGCCTTGCAAAATAAAATTCTCCATTACATCTATCCAATGTAGGTATGTAACAACACTATTTCACAGATGAGGAAGGTCAAAGAACAGATGCTAATGTATGAACAAACTTTGGCAACACATCCACCAGAACCTACAAGGAAAATTAAGGGCAAGAGAAAACAGGATATGGAAAATTTGAAATGCAGTTCGGAGTTTGTACCTGCATGCACTATGGCACACAGCTAACGTGGAGGTGGAGAGTGACTGAGTACAGGAGTTTTGCAATGATACCTTTACCCTATTGAACTATCACAACCCAAAACCAGATGGTTGCTACAGAGAGAAGCTACCTCATCACCAATATGACTTAACATCATAACTTGGTAAAAGAATTTTAAAATCGTTTTTAATAGTAATGTTTCTCTAACCCTGGGCAAGTAATATGGAAAGAAGTTCTGTCTGTGCCAAAACAGTGATTTTCCACTATGGAAATCTTATTCTGCATTTATTATTTATACCACTGTCACATTGTTAGCATCAAGTTTATAATAAATGTATTCGCTCATTCACCAATCATTCACAATTTTAAAAATCATCTAGAGCCAGATAATAGAATTAAATCACTGAGTTAACATAACCCTTTTTCTACTTAAATTTTAAAACATCAATACAGTTTTCATTTACTTTTCCATTCTCCTTCAATCTGAACAATTAAATTTCATTACTTTTTTCTCTAATATCTGGAAGATTTTTACTTGTGGTTTCTGCTTTTTTTATCGCATTGACGAACTGCTACAATAGTTTTCCAAAGCTTTATCAGCCACAATACAAACTGATTTGATCATTCATAAAACTGGCATCATTCATGCTGCCAGGTTGCTGCCTTAATTAGCAAGTAGTAGGAATGACCTTTTACACTCCAATAAAGTAAATCACCTCCCAAAATAAGTTAACTAGTGGGGTCAGCAGGGAAGCCTTATTATAATGTCCTATACCTAAGGAAGTGTGCAGGTATCCCCACTACCAGCTACAGAACTAATACTTATTTCACCCAACTACATATCTACAAATCAAAATCTCCCTTTTTCATTCCCTTTTCCCCCTCCTTCATCTCTATTTATGAATATCTCCACTTCAGTGTTCTGGATCAATCAATTTTGGTTCAACAAATTAGTTCCCAAATAGAAAGGTACAGGAAAATAAAATAGCTGTAACTCAGGAGATGCTAAAAACCTCTATGGTGCTTTTTTCATTTATGTAACAGTTAACACTGCCCCCCAAATTCCCATCACTAATAACCATAAGAGAAGGTTAAGGGCTAGTCTCTCTACAACAACTCTTAAAATACGGCAGCTCTAGAAAATTAGAACATAAATAGCCATTCACATGTTAGGGACTCATATGCTAGGAATGAAAAACTCAGCAGCAAATAGCATAGACCTAGACATTTAGCTGTGATATGATCAGTTATCAGCAGAATCACAGATTTAAAGACAGAAATGAAGAAACTAGATGGCATAAGAAGTTATAATCTGGGAGGAGATTTTTAAAAGTCGGTGCAGTAAGGTGAACTGCTTCCATGAGAATGGCAGGGGAAGGTCCACATTTGTGTGGAATGTAAAGTTATAAATAAAAAAAATTGGGGATAAAAGTGAATGTTGATTTAGTGTGAAAAAAAGAAATAACGAATTGCTAATTTCTAAAAGCTGACATATATGACATACCTTTTTAATACATTTTTCTACCTTTTTTATTTACATATTCTTTGATCACCTTTTCAAATGGCAATAATTTGGTCATATTGTCTAGAAAGAAAATAGAATAGTAATCCAATCTTCCTTTTAGTCTGGTTGACAGATTTTTCTTTTTTTATTACTGATAGATTCTAAAACTTTCTTTTAGTTTCATCTTTTAGTTTACTTGTAATATCAAGTAAACTTTTAGGGTTGTTTGCCAATTTGAGAAAACCTCTCATTAAGTTTCTTTTATATGTAACTAGTTTTGGGTTCTATACAATTCCAACCTATTTCTCTGTGGTGCCTACATATTTTCAGAGCCAAGGACAGGTTTACATCACAATATGTTCTCTGGTCTTACACCTTCAAAACAAGCTGGCTGGTGAGTGGGCACATTACAGGAAGCCACTCCTACACACCCTTTAGTTTTGAAACCACATTTTAAATGTAGAACATACATCAGTAACTATTTTCTTTTTATAACATTTCTCTGAACCAAGTCACAAAATACAGAAGCATTTAGAGTAACACACAAATCTACAACTACTTTTAATTATATTCTATATAGAGTAAATCACATGAATATGCCACTAATTTCCTCCTCACCAGAGCCATTGGATTTTGTGATTCTGCTTTCTTCCAGGCCTTTTTAGGTAACAGTGCTAACCAAATTACCCGATTATTCATAAAGCTCAATGAAACATTAGATCATATTTATTTTCAATAATTAAATTCATACCCAGGTGCTGAACAAGAAAAGCACTCCTTCTTACATAAACCAAAACCAGTTTTAAAAAGACATTGCTCAGAAAGAGTGAATGTAATTGTATTAGTCCATTTTACACTGCTGTAAAGAACTGCCCAAGACTGTGTAATATTCAGAGGTTTAATTGACTCATGGTTCAGCATGACTGGGATGGTCTCAAGAAACTTACAATCATGCCGGAAGGCCAAGGGGAAGCAAGACACCTTCTTCACAAGGCAGCAGGAAGAAGAAATAATGCAGGAGGAACTACCAAACACCTACAAAACCATCAGATCTTGTGAGAACTCACTCACTATCACAAGAACAGCATGGGGGAAACTGCCCCCACGATTCAATTACCTCTACCTGGTCTCTCCCTTGACACATGGGAATTTGGGGATTATGCAGATTACAATTCAAGATGAGATTTTGGGTGGGGGACACAGTAATGAATCAGAGTATCCTACATTTAAAGCTACATGTAGCAATGTAGGCAGTTGCACACGTGTTCATTTGCAGGCTGTAGGGGAAGTTGTACCTTCATGTTATTTTATTCTTATAAAATTTTATGTTCTATCATAAACTACACAGTTTACTAAAGAACTGATAATAGTTCCCAAAGTGCATAATATTGAAGCTAGATTTTAAAACCACAAAATAGCAAGCTGCGGTGGCTCACCCCTATAATCCCAGCACTTCGGGAGGCCAAGGTGGGTGGATCACGAGGCCAGGAGTTCGAGACCAGCCTGACCAACATGGTGAAACCCCTTCTCTACTAAAAATACAAAAATTAGCCAGGCCTGATGGTGTGCACCTGTAATCCCAGCTACTCGGAAGGCTGAGACAGGAGAATCGCTTGAACCCGGGAGGTGGAGGTTGCAGGAGCCAAGATCATGCCATTGCACTCCAGCCTGGGCAACCACAAAATAAATAAAATAAATAAAAACAATATTTCCATAGAACTAATTGAAAGCATCCATTCACACTATTCTTATGATGGCTATGAAGTTTCTGATTTTATCCTTTGATTTTATAAAATTAAAAAGCTCTATAGGCATTTCTTACGCTAAATTTTATAGTTTACTGAAATACAGAGACCTAAAAATACTTCTTTATCATGCATTTGGTCCTTTAAAAAATTCCTTTTGGAAAAAAAATGTTTAGGAGTTCAAGACAAGATAAATGTTTTGAAACTCTCTTTGATTATAGACAATAGTAAAATGTTACTTAAAGTCAGCTACTCGCAATCGTGGATGCATATTAAAATCACCTGGGGAGCTTTTAAAATTCCTACTCTCCAGATCACACCTCAAACAAATTAATAAGAATTTCTGTTTAAGATCCAGGCAGGCAGGCCCGGCGCAGTGGCTTAAGCCTGTAATCCCAGCACTTTGGGAGGCCAAGGCAGGCGGATCACGAGGTCAGGAGATCAAGACCATCCTGCCTAACACAGTGAAACCCCGTCTCTACTAAAAATACAAAAAAAAAAAAAAATTAAGCCAGGTGTGGTGGTGGGCGCCTGTAGTCCCAGATACTCGGGAGGCTGAGGCAGGAGAATGGAATGAACCCAGGAGGCGGAGCTTGCAGTGAGCCGAGATCGCGCCACTGCACTCCAGCCTGGGCGACAGAGCAAAACTCCATCTCAAAAAAAAAAAAAAAGACGCAGGTATCAGTGCTTTTAAAGGTCCCAAGTAATTCCAAAGTGTGTTCAAAGCTAAGAATAGTTGTTTTACAGTGTGTTTATAATCAGCTGGCAGACACAAATACATTTTAGACAGGGCAAAAGAAAGCACTTTAATTTCCTATGATTGAATTCAAAGGGAAAAACTGTACAAAGTACCCAAGTTGAGAAAAGGAGTCATTCCAGAAATAATGAACCATCTGATTTGACTATAATAATGAAGCTCATAGGTAGGCTAGGCCCAAATGCTATGAGGAGTGTCCCAAAGTGGGATCCATCATATGCTGGTACGTGTGGGGCTAGTGAGAAAGAAATCCCTCTTCAATTCTCTTTCTCTTCTAGTCACAAGGAGATGACAGTGCCAGTGTCCCTGCAGAACATCTTCACGACTTACTAATAGTGCTTTTGAATGAGAGAGCCAGCCTTGGGCTCAGAGTATCAAATGAGAATTTAATAATTGTCTCATTAGATATTTAGCAGGTATTTTACAATTATGGCATGTGTTGCTTTTCCATTTATGGAAAGGAGATACGTTTTTCTTCCAAAATAAAGTTGTTTAAAGTCTTTTTAGCTGAGTCTTTTTAAATATTAGAAGTAAAAGTAGAATACTGATAGAATTTTTAAAGTCACAAAATGATAAATAATTGTTTTAAAATTGAGGTCCAAGCTGACTGAAAGCTATGGCCATAAAGGCGTGTTTACTAATCTTTAGACTCAGCCCCAGCATCACTTATTTATGAATGGCCTTACATAAAGATGCAATGGATCCACGTAATCAACATTGAAAAACTCATTTACATAAATTTCTAACAAACTGCAATTATGACCTATTGGTCAGTTGGGAAAACAAGGTAGTATGGGTCTTACCAACATACATTTTTAAAATAGAATATATTAGAAAATATCAGAGTATATCACTATCATACTTAGCAAGCATAAGGGTTATTTTGTGATACTTCTGTTTCATTTAGCACGCATATATATTGTAAAATATGTTTCTTACTGTGAGTCTCAGCTGAATATTAAAAACACTGCTTTGTGTATATTAACTGAAATGTTCAGGCAATCCTATAAGGGCTTTATTATTTTTATTGTTACTATTATTATCTGTAGACAAGAGTAAACTGAGGCTAAAAATTTTAAAAGTCATTCATTTGCTCCTGGTCACACAGAGAAAATGGAAGAGCCAGATAGGGACTTAGGCAGGGTGACTAACAGTTCATGCTCTTAAAACTGTTCTCTAATTCCATGAGTATCCTTCCTTCCCTTCCATAACTGCTAATTCATAGGTCCATGGGAGGAGGCCTGCCCTCAACCATCTATGGATGAATCTCCAAAAGAATTTGCTGTTTTGTTTGCTGACATGACACAAATTAATCTAGTTCCCTGTAAGAGGCTCAAGGATTTCTTAGCAATGTAATAATACCTGGAAAACATTGAAAAGTATGTCTGTGGTAGATTAAAGATGGCTATACATTCTTTGTTGCTCTGTCTGAGAGGAAGAGTTGATGTCCCTCCACTTGAATCTGAGACTACTATGACTGTTTAATCAATAGTGTATGGCATACGTGATGCTACATGGCATTGGAGGGTAGGTCACAAAAGGCCATGCAGCTTCCTTAATAACTGAAACACTTGCTCTTCAAGCCCTGAACCTCCATGTAGTAAGTTCAGCTACCCTAGGGCTTCCACGCAGGACAGGTGAGGTACACTCACTTAGGTAGACTATACCAGCTATGTACTGCCTCCTAGCCAACCCAGCTAAGGCCTCAGACATGTTGTGAAGTAAATGTGGGCCTCAGAGACCAGACCATTTATAGAGCAGCATTGAGAGACTTCTGCAATTTTTTCGTTTTGTTTTGTTTTGTTTTTTGAGACAAGAGTCTCATTCTGTCACCCAGGCCGGAGTGCAGTGACATGATCTTGGCTCACTGCAAGCTCCGCCTCCCAGGTTCACGCCATTCTCCTGCCTCAGCCTACCGAGTAGCTGGGACTACAGGTGCCCGCCACCATGCCTGGCTAAGTTTTTGTATTTTTAGTAAAGATGGGGTTTAACCATGTTAGCCAGGATGGTCTCGATCTCCTGACCTTGTGATCTGCCCACCTCGGCCTCCCAAAGTGCTGGGATTACAGGCATGAGCCACCACACCCGGCCTGCAATGTTATATAAAACAGAATAATCATCCAGCTGAGCCCTGTCCAAGATTTTGATCCTCAAAATGCAAGCTATAATATAAGGGTCATTGTTTCAAGCCACTGAGGTTTCGGTTAGTTTGTCAGGCAGCAGTAGCTAACTGGACCAGAACTTGGTACTTGGAAGTGGGGGTGCTTTCACAACAAAACCTAAAACATACGGCATGGACTTTAGGACCAGATGGGGTCAAAAACATATAGGCCCTTAAAGTGACCATTAGCAAAAGCTGGAAAGCCCTTAAGGAGAGCGTTAGTAAATTCTGGACAGGCCTCAAAGAGTTTGGCCAAGACTGGAAATGAAATTGTTATTGGAGGTTAGAAAAAGGTGACATGTTATGCAGAAGCAGCAAGTTTGCAACACTGTCACCTATGAAAACATGGAAAATAGAAAATATTCCTAATAAAGAGGTAGATTTGGCCAAGATTTGTTAGGCAAAATGTTAAAAAGTGCTAACTAGTTTCTTTTAGCCAAGTATGATAAGATATGAATACAGAAAGATGAACTGAGAAAGGAACTATTCTGTTTTTAAGCAAAATTCAGGGGAATGATAAAGGAACCAGCACATGCTAGGTTTGAAAATAAAACTCTTTCTCATTCCCAGCCTCTCCAGAGGACAAAAGGCTCTCAAAATAAGAAGCAGCTTCAGGATAAAGTTTACTTATTTTAAGGATAAAGATTACTTATTTTAAGGATGTGGCTATAAGACTTTCTGTTGACCCTCTCCATTAGACAAACAGACTTCTATGTCTAGTAGTGGCTTTGTCTCACAGTATCTTGACTGTCAGCCCAAGCTGAAGAGGAACTGCTCTTGAAGAGATTTGAGGGTGTGGCATTATCTAACAGAGTAAACCCCAACAAGATTTATAGAAAACCCACAAAGCTTTTAAGAAAATTGTACTAAAAAAAAGCACCATTGGCTTAGACTAAAGGAGACAAGAAAGTTAAAAAGAAGAGCCCATAGGCCACCCATGTTCTACAAAGGATAGAAAGCAAGTTGAGAAATCTATGCAACTACCTACATGGAGCATGGTAAACCAAAGGAAGGATGATCCAGGGGATAGAACTAAGGAGCCCAGAGGATAGAACCCAAAGCACAGAAACATACGCAGGGGCCAGAACTGGGACCTGATCATGGAATTGGCAACCTGTGCCCAGCTGGAGTTCAACTGCTGCCATACCAAATTACCACAAACTCAGGGGAGTAAGACATCATATGTTCTTTATCTTATCATTCTCTAGATTAGAAGTTATATACATTTTTTACCAGACTAAAATCAAGGTGTTGGCAGGGCTGCCTTTCTGGAGGCTCTAAGAGAGAAGTCATTTCCTGCTCATTCTGATTATTGGCAGAATTCAGTATCTTGAGATTATAGCATTGAGCTCCCCATTTTCTTGCTAACTGTAAAATGAGGGTAATTTTCAGCCTCTAGATGTCATGATATTCCTTAACTTACAGACTCCTTTTTCCATCTTCAAAGCCAGCAGCAGCCTCTGTCTGGCTCACCGTGCTGTCTTCCTCTTCCATTTTCACAGAGTCAGGTGATTAGATTTGGCCCACAGACAAACAAGAATACTCTTTCCATCTCAAGCCCTTAAACTGAATCACATCTGCAAAGCCCCTTTTGCCGTGTAAGGTAACATATTCACAGGTTCTGTGGGTTAGGACTGGACGTTTTTGAAGAGGCTTTTTCTTCCTGTCATAATAACTAACTGCTATAAGCCTTCTGTTGTCCTCCTTTTAAATGGAAATTCCTTTTTAAATTTTTTTAAGAGGAGGGAGCTCACTACAATGCTCAGGCTGGAGGGCAGTGGCTATTCACAAGTGCAATCATAGCACACACTATATCCTCAAATTCCTGGCTTCAAATGATCCTCCTACATCAGCCTCCTAAGAAGCTGGAACTACAGATCCATGCCACCATGCCGGGCTTCAAATGGGAACATCTGTTGTGACTCTCCTATCTCTGTCCTAGCAGGCTATGTGCAGGGAGTGGGCATGGGGAGGAGTGACAATGTGGGAGAGGGACAGATAATCTGCCTCTTTAATGTACACATGTTCAGAACAACTAGAACTGAATTTAGGAGCTGTATCCAAGGAACAACACATGAGAAGCCTCATCCACATCTGGATATGATTCAAATGAGGAGGTCCTGGATTTCGAGCTGATGCTATAATAAATTGGTATTTCAAAGGACCTTAGAAGGGAGGTGAGTATATTTTGCATGTGGGAGAGATGTAAATAATTTGCAAACAGAAGGAAGGCTCTGGTAAATTAAAGATGAATGCCAATTTTTTGCTAGTCTCCTCAGTGAGAGGTGGAGGCTACTTCCCCTCCCCTTGAGTCTTGTGACTGTTTTGACCAACTATGTTATGGCAAAAGTGAAGCAGTGTGACTTCCTGGGCCAATTATTATGCCTATCAGTGACAGGATACTGGAAAACGTTTGTGGAACAGATCAACAAATGAAGAATCTACCCTCTGTAGAAGTCAGGGCAGAGGATTACTTTAAGTATTAATCATTTCATATGGTCACATAACCATTTACTGAAGACTTAACTATGTGCCAAGCACTATGCTAAGTGTTTTTACATATGTATACAATTTTATTTGATAACTATTATATGAAATAAATACAACTATCTCTACTTTATAGGTGAGAGCAGAGAGATTAAGTAATGTGACTATAATCATACAGTTAGTAAGTAGCATAACTGGTGTTCAACCCTGAGTCCCTCTAATGCCAGTCATCTTCTTTCTTGCTTACTTTCTTCCTTTCTTTACTTATTTTTAACTTCCTTCATATAGCCAGAAGAAAAATACAAATATTGTGAAAGAGTATACTCTGTGAAAAGGATAGCTCCTTCCTACCTCTGACCCTAGTCTCCCAGTTCCCATTCTCAAAGAAAAGCACTACTGCTAGTTTCCTGTGTATCATTCTAAATATATCCTATACATATACAAATATATGTGTATCCTTTTTTACACAAATGGTAGTATTTTAAATACAGTTATTCAATGTTTTTCATATTACAAGATGTCTCCAAAGTTTTTATTATTTTATTTTTGTGGGTACATAAAAAGTGTATATATGTATGGGGTAAATGAGATACTTTGATATAGGTCATATGGTTTTGGTGTGTCCCCACTCAAATCTCACCTTACATTGCAATAATTCTCACATGTCAAGCGTGGGGCCAGGTGGAGATAATTGAATCATGGGGGTGGTTTCCCCCATACTGTTCTCATGGTAGTAAATAAGTCTCATGGGATCTGATGGTTTTATAAAAGGGAGTTCCCCTGCACAAGCTCTCTTGCCTGCCACCATGTAAGACATGACTTTGCTCCTCATTCACCTCCTGCTATGATTATGAGGCATCCCCAGCCATATGGAACTGTGTGTCAATTAAACCTCTTTCCTTTATAAGTTACCCAGGCTTGGGTATGTCTTCATTAGCAATGTGAGAACAGACTAATAGGCATGCAAAAAGTAATAATCACATCATGGAAAATGGGGTATTCATCCCCTTAAGTATTTATCCTTTGTGTTACAATCCAACTATACTATTTTATTTTTTTGAGACAGAATCTCACTCTGTTGCCCTAGCTGGAGTGCAGTGGCACGATCAAGGCTCACTGAAGCCTCAACCTCCCAGGCTCAAGTGATCCTCTCACCCCAACCTCCTGAATAGCTGGGACTACAGGCATGCACCACTACACCTGGCTAAGGTTTTTTTTATTATTATTATTATTTGTAGAGATAGGAGTCTCACTATGTTTCTCAGGCTGGTCTCGAACTCCTGGGTTCAAGTGATCCTCCTACCTTGGCCTCCCTTGGCCTCCCAAAGTGTTGGGATTACAAGTGTGAGGCACTGAACCTGTCCTCCAAAGTTTTTAAACAATATGCTATATCCCCATACAACAAAAAAAAAGGTAAAAACTTAGAAATCAGATAGTAATTTGAGGCAGTCTATTTATTTGTTTAAACAATAAAACATTAATGTGGCCAAAATAAATCAAATATTTTATTACTCAGGGTCTTTTTTTAATGAAATCTCTTAAATTATCTGTTCTACTCCTTGTAATGGTCAAGGGACATCAAGTATTAGGTTCACTAAGCAAATGGATAAAATATGTGATGTAACTTAAGTAGTAATATTAAAGTTATATTCAAGGTATAGACATCTATACCTTGAACAAAGGTCTTGAACAAAGGATAAATGGCAGAGGTGTAGTCTAACACTATTTAACTGATTTTAACCACTAGGCAGGGGAAATGAGGGATATAAAAAGAAAAAGTATGAACATTTCCACAGATTCTGAAATACTTATTTTTAAACATCCTGAACCTATTGCTAATCATCATATGAAAAAAATTACCTTGGCTGTCTCTTAGATAGGTTTGCTTCCATCTATTATTGATGCAAAATAAAATTTGAACAGAAGTTTTCTGAGGAGGTAGCAGAAAACTTTATTAGTATAAAACAAGAAAATATAAATTTTACAAAAGATGAAAGAAAGACTTTGCAATATGAAAGATCAATTCAATACTTCAAGAATCACTCTCCTGAAATAGGCATTTATGTTCAAAATATCAGAAAATTATCAAACTGCACTTTTCAGGATAAATTTGGCCAATAAATGTCATACAAAATAAAACTATCAATTAATAAAATCTGTCTTTCCATTAGTAGTAATAAAAAAATGGCCCAAATGTTTGGTATTATAAATTTTTCATCACACCTGAGTAACTTATACATCAAAGTGACACCATAAATAATATATATGAGAATAATCCACATTTGTCTTAGTTTGGATTTCCCCTAGCAGCATATTCTGCAACCAAGATTCCCCTGCAAGTTGTTGATTTGGGAGATCTAAGGAGACACTGGCAGAGTGAGAAGTCAGTGAAGTGTGTTTTATCAAAGCAGTTACCACTGTGGGAGACTTGAAGTTGGTGTAGAACATGCCCAACCTAGGGGCAAGAGAGCTGGCATATTTATCCATTGGCTCTCATGGTTTGAGGGCTGCTCCCTAGAAGTGTTGATTCATGGACCCTTCCCACCTGCTGGGAACACAGGCAGGGTGCTCAGCCCAGAAGAAAGCCCTAAGGCAGTAGCAAAACCACTGCACTACAGGGGTAGGACCTGAGGACATACAGACAGTTGCTGATATGAGATATTTCAGAGCACAGGTCAGCAAACATTTTCTATAAAGGACAAGAGAGTAAATATGTTAGGCTTTGCAGGCCATTACAGTCTCTGTCACAGCTATGCAACTGTGGAGTTACAGCACAAAAGCAGCCACAGACGATACATAAATGAGCACGGCTGTGTCTCAACAACACTGTATTTACAGACACAAATTTGAATTTCATAGAATTTTCATGTGTTATGAGATGTTATTCTTCTTTTGATTTTTTTTCAACCATTTAAAAATGCAAACACTATTCTTAGTTTGCAGCCATGCAAAAAACAGACTGTATTTAGCCTTCAGGCCACAGTTTGCCAATCCCTGTTTTAGACTATGAAGATATTTACCAAGCACTTATAAAATCTCAAGGGAGATGACATTCAATTTGCAAGAATATCACATGAGAACATTTAATAACCAGATGAACACAAAATAGCCCTAGTGTTTCAAAAAATAATTTATTTTCATGTTGGTTCACTGCTATATGCTGGAGTTACTGACGAATTATTAAATGCAATGAACATGTATACAAAAATCCAAGTGGTACAAATTATCTCAGACTTATTTAAAAGCTGATAGAGTTCATCTCATTAACTTGTTCTTTTAAGGTAGAGTAATCTTATATCTGATGACTACTAAAACAAAAATGAGGCCGGGCATGGTGGCTCACGCCTGTAATCCCAACACTTTGGGAGGTGGGTGGATCACTTGAGGTCAGGAGTTCAAGACAAGCCTGGCCAACATGGTGAAACCCCATCTCTACTAAAAATACAAAAAGTTAGCTGGGCATGGTGGTATGTGCCTGTAATCCCAGCTACTCAGGAGGCTGAGGCACAAGAATCACTTGAACCCGCAAGGTGGAGGTTGCAGTGAGCCAAGATCACGTTATTGCACTCCAGCGTGGGCAATAGAGCAAGACTCAGTCTCAAAAAAAAAAAAAAAAAAAAAAAGAATGACTATATCACAAAGTTTTTCAAGTGCACTGTGTTAATTTGCATACTTAAATTAACTGTGAAGTTTAAGTGATGCAATCTTAAAAAGCAACTGCATACTACACTGGGCACACTGCCCATAGGGTAGCCCTGCTCTGCAAGGAGCAGTGAAAAAAAAAAGGCAACTATAGAATGTCATTGTATAAAGGGATATCAGTGAACTGGCTGGAAGCTGGGGCTTCTTTGTCTTGGACTGTTTGCATAACAAACACATTTTTTTCCTTATTCTATTTATTTATTTATTTTTGAAATGGGGGTCTTGCTATGTTGCCCAGGCTGGTCCCTAACTCCTGGCTTCAAGCAATCCTCCTGTCTCAGCCTCCTAGACTACTGGGAGCCATTGCACCCAGACTACTTTTCTTTAAATTGTAAATTTACTTGGGTCAGGTGGGGTAGACCATGCCAGTAATCCCAACACTTTGAGAAGTCAAGGCAGGAAGATTACTTGAAGGCAGGTATTCGAGACCAGCCTGGGCAACATAGTGAGTCCCCATCTCTACGAAAAAACAAAACAAAACAAAAAATCAGCCAGGTATGAAGGCACATACCTGTAGTCCTAGCTACTCAGGAGGCTGAGGCAGGAGGATCACTTGCGCTCAGGAGTTTGAGGCTACAGTGAGCTATGGTCATGTCACTGCACCCCAGTCTAGAAAACAGAGTGGGACCCTGTCTCTAAAAAAAAAAAAATGTATAGATTGTGATTGGAATTTACTTGGAATTGGTTTCCAGGATGAAAGGAAGAAATGCTATAGATTACAGAAGAATATAAAGTCTCCTCCTCAAAGCTTCCCTTTATGCCCACACTATAGCAGGTAAAAGGGTCAGAGTACCAAAGAACCTAAGCTCAATACTGTAGGGGACCAACCTAACCTCTCTGATCATCATTCATTTATAGAATAGTCATTGAACACCAACTATGCAAAAAGCTCCTGCTAGACGCTGGAGATAGACACAAAAACCTTCCTGTTTGTAAAATGGATATAATTATGTGCCTTAAAGCAAGCATTCTGAATACACAGATAGGCTTCAAGACATTCCGCTGAAAAATATTTGTTGATTAAACCAATATTTCTCAAATACCTTCTATGTACCAAGCCCAGTGCCAAGCCACAGGCTTACAGCAAAAAACAAACACTAGATAAATTTGATGAACTCATAGGACCTACAGTATATAAAGGATACAGACATTTAATGGTAAACAAAGAAGTAAAACAATTATAGACGTTTCTAAGTACTAAGAAGAAAATGAGTACAATGCTGTGATAAAGAGAATAACAAAGGCCTTAGAAATTTTTGATTTTTGAGTTATAATTTGTCAGGAACAAATTTTTCTGAGGAGGTTTCATTTCAGCTGAGACCTGAGAGGAAAGATACAGAAAGTATTAAAAAAGATGATAGCAAGTGCAAAATCCTTTTGTGAGAAAGAACTTGATCTAGCTTTCAAAACTGCCAGCATGACCAACAGATATAAGGCAGAATGGAAATGGGGTCAGAGACAGAAGCAGGTGCAGGTCATGTAAAGCTTTAAGAACATGAAGATAAAATTAGAGAGTTAAAAAAATTAGAGTTGAGGCTGACTCCCAATTTTCTGATTATAAAGGATTGATGGTTACATGTAATTTGCAGAGAAAATGGAGACTGAGGAAAAGACAAGTTTGGGTCTATAATCTAAAATTTTACTGGTATATATTAGCTTGAGGTATGTACAAAAGCCCTAGTGGGAATGTCAAAAAGGCATGTAGGTATATGCATCTGGAGTTCAGAGGAGAGGTTTTGACTGAAGAAATACTTTGGGAGATTACTTAGCCTATAGGAATACTTTAGGGGAATCTTTAGCCTACAGGATTGCAGGTTCTGAGATTATCAGGGAAGAGTGCTACATTGTTCAATGAATATTTGCTGAATGAATAAATGAACAACTCATTTAAAATGTAAGTCATAAGAAAGAGAGACAAAATTTAAATCTTGACTGTGCCACTTGTAAGCTGTATGACCTTCTGTAAATCACTTAACAACAGTGAGCTCAATTTTCTCATCTGTGAAAAGGGAAACAATAATAACCAGCTCGCTTGGTTGGTTTTAGGATTAATGAAATTACAGTTATAAAGTGCTTAACAGTGAATGGCACACAACAGCCTCCAGTAGATGTTAACTTTCCTCCACTTGACTTCCACAATACCCAGTGCTGTAGGTGAAACTTCCTACTGCACCTTTACCAAGCAGCTCCTCTCCCCTTCTGCCTTTCTCCCTCCTTTCCTTTGCTTCCTTCCGTTACTGACTTGTGCGTGCTCTCTCTTTATCTTTCTGTGTGTGTGTGTGTGTGTGTGTGTGTGTGTGTGTGTGTGTGTGTGTATGTGTATGTGTCTTTCTGTTAAAACCCATTGAGTGCCTGCTACCTATATGTATAATGCTTCTCTTGGACACTGAAGATACAGCAGTGAACAAAAGTGTAGTAGCACAGAACACAAGCAATCTTGTGGTTTACATTACCCTAAAAATAGAATTAAACCAAAGACCCACTTAATCTAATTAACAATGATAAAAGTGAGTCACTACAAAAGAAAAAAAAATGACTTAAAAGCAGCCATAAAGAATGAAATCTTGTCCTTTGCAGCAACATGGATGGATCTGGAGGCCATTATCCTAAGAGAATGATCTCAGAAAACAGAAAACCAAATACCACATGTTCTGACTTATAAGTGAGAGCTAAACAATGGGTACACATGGACATAAAGATGGAAAGAATAGACACTGGGGACTCCAAAAGGAAGGAGGGTAGGACGGGAGCAAGGATTGAAAAAGTTACCTATCAGGTACAATGCTCACTATTTGGATAATGGGTACGCTAGAAGCCCAATCCCCACCACTACAAAACATGCGCATATAACAGACACATGTACCCCAGAATCTAAAATAAAATAATTTATTTTTTTAAATTGTCAGTAAAAAGAAGAGAAGCAAAGAAGTTTCCACTAGTTTCTAGAGAGGTAACTAAAAAATTCCACCAATATGAACTCTTCCCTCCCTTGGCATTTTGTTTACCCCATGCTGTGCCCCACCGAGTTGCTTCCTGGATTGTGAAAAGAAGCTCTAAGGAAAGAACGAGGAAGTATACAACTTAATGCAGAGCAACAATCACAGAAGCACTTTAATCAGGAGACACAGGAAACTTTTATCTTGAAAAGCTGAAAAGAAAAAGACTAAAAAAAGTGTTAATCCAGTTTTTCTGTCATAGCTTAATATGAGCAATTGCAATCATTCTGTTAAAATAAACGGCTTTCTCACAAAACTTGAGCATTTATGTCCTTAACCTCTTAGACACTTGTCCAGCAGTAAAGCTGGGACAACACTTCCCATTGGAAAGATGGTTGCGGAAATTCATTGAGGCCATCCACTGAAAGCATCTAGAACAGCCCTGGGTACAAAGCAGACAATTTTTTTTTATTATTATTATACTTTAAGTTCTAGGGTACATGTGTACAACGTGCAGGTTTGTTACATATGTATACATGTGTACACGTGTACAACAGCACATGTTGGTGTGCTGCACCCATTAACTCATCATTTACATTAGGTGTATCTCCTAATGCTATCCCTCCCACCTTCCCCCACCCCACGACAGGCCCCGGTGTGTGATGTTCCCCACCCTGTGTCCAAGTGTTCTCATTGTTCAATTCCCACCTATGAGTGAGAGCATGTAGTGTTTGGTTTTCTGTCCTTGCGATAGTTTTCTCAGAATGATGGTTTCCGGCTTCATCCATGTCCCTACAAAAGACATGAACTCATCCTTTTTTATGGCTGTATAGTATTCCATGGTGTATATGTGCCATATTTTCTTAATCCAGTCTATCATTGATGGACATTTGGGTTGGTTCCAAGTCTTTGCTATTGCAAAGCAGACAATTAACAATGTCACTACCAGCTCCTTCCCCTCTCCCTCTTGCATTTTTAAAATAAATTCTGATATTCACACACACACACGCACCCCTAGCTCAATCTTTTACAGAATTGTGAAAAAATAAATTTAGATTTTATTGAGCACGTCTAATTTCTTTTGGGGAAAGAGTCTTCTCTTGTATTAAGAAAAAGATAGCAGATTTATGTCTATAATGCTTTCATAAATAAATCAAATGCAAGTATAAAAGAACCTACTCAAGACTGAAATTCTGTCATATAACAATAGGTAACATAACAGAAATCTGTCTTTGATTTGTCTTCTCAAGTTCTGGAAATCAACATTTTAAATAATTTTATTTATTAATAGTGTTTATTGGAAAGTGCAGAGTAATTCACTTCTTAGTCATAAAAGAGAAGCTGAAAAGTTGATATTTGGCCACCAGATGGCGCCAAACCCCTAAATATTTTTGTGCCAGGCATTCAAAGCGCTCAAAAGTTAATTTAGAGCTAAAGGTTAGGCACTTGTTTATTGACTTTTATGCTTATATGTACAGCCATCTTGGAGAATCATAAAAAATAATTTCCCACAGATCACGACTCCTTTATGTGACCCTACCACATTCTTGCTTTGCTGTTGTCATTCTAATATATCTAGTTGAAAAAGTACTTTTCACCACCAGACCCTCACCACATAAGCTTAGTGAAGAATTTATTCATTAAACATTAAACCATGAATGATAAAAAAGTGTTAAATAAAATTTCTCCCAGCTCTCAAGTTTTAGTTATTTTAAATCCAAAACAACCCTGTAAAAACTGATTCAAACCAGCTTTCTAGGATCATTAAAGTTTGGGATAGAAAGTAAAACTGTTTCAGATGTATTAACGGGACATGGAAATTTCATTCTTAAGTACTGTGCATAGCTGCTTCTTTCCAAAGAAGTTACCCTTCATATGTGTCTTCTTCTCAACCTGCCAATCTCAGTACTGTGTATTTTTAAATCTGTTCTACATGTTTCTGGATGATACTATAAGATTTTGAGTTGTCATCTCATTGAAATGATTTCATTTTCAACATTCTATTTTTTATTTTTAAATGTAGGATACAGAATATACTGAAATTATAGATATTTGACATTTTAAGTTAATAAGTTAGAAATAATCAAAAAGAATATTAGAAATTTTCATTAAGAATTGAAACATATCAATATTGATAGGTTATGCAGTTATAATCTACAACTTCCAAAACCTCAGAAAATTAAAAAACAAAAGTTTATTTCTTGCTCACACTCCAACTTCACTGCAGGTCATTTTGGGCTCCTCCACATCAAACTCACTCTAGGAACCCAACTAAGGGGTCAGTCACCAACTGGAATATTCCTAGTTTCTATAACACAGAAGAAAAGAGCTAGAAAATACATACTTGCCCAAAAAGCTTCCATCTGGAAGTGACACATCACTTTCACTCACCTCTCTTTGGACAAATTAGTCACATGGGTACACCAAACACCAGTGGACCTGGAAAGTAGAAACCTGGAAATAGATGATGAAGAGTTGCTATAATTCATAAATATTAAATCATTATACCCATATATAACAATGTTTTGGGGCTACTATGATAAAAAAAATTTTATAAGAGTTTCTATGTCCTTACCAAATCTTCTTTGTATTTTCAATCTATGTAGGGTAAAAGATTAAAGAAAATGTAAAAAGTTCTTCTTTTTACAGATATTAAAACTGGAGAGAAAAGACATATTTGAAAAATAAAAATTCTTGGGACAACCAATGCCAGAAATTTTGACAAATATTCTCATAAGTGCTAAAGCAGATGAGTGAGGAAGCACAAGGTGTTAGTTAAAGAGTAACTGAAAGCAAGGAGATTTTATCTGGGTGTCACCAGAAGTGCAGCATTTGTATTGAAGTAGCTGGAGGACATTAGAAAAAACAGACAGACAGACAGGAATAAATGAGGATGTTAAGGAAGAATTTTACAAAATCTCTACTAAGTTTCCCAGATCAGCAAACATTTTCAGAGACAGAGAGAGAGAGAGAGAGAGAGAGAGAGAGAGTGTGTGTGTGTGTGTGTGTGTGTGTTGGAGAGAAGTGGGACGGGTGGGATAGTGGAAAGAAATCAATCCTCAAAGTTGCCAACTCACTTTTCCCAAGGAAAATTTTTTTAAAATTCTTCCATCAACTATCAACTCAATTTTATGAAGAATATTTTATCACAAAAAGCTAAAATAATATTGGAATTTTAATTTTGAATAATTTTAGCTTTATACAACCCTAACTTTATCATGTTACTGTGGACCAGTAAAAACTTTGTCACAAGCCAGTTTCTGTGAATAGCTGACCTGAAATGGAAAGTCCAAATTGAGATTAATAATTTCATCCAGTTGGCAATGAACAACTACTGTACATCTTTAAGTAGAGAGCTGCCTAGAATTGGGGGATGGAGCTGGAAGAAGGAATCTAGAAGAAGTGAGAACTTCCAAAATGACCCTGATGTAACCCTGAAACTTATGGGGACCTAGATTAGGATGCAGACAGAGAAAAAGGAGAGGAGTATTTTAGAAGGAAAACCAAAAGGAAACCTTAAAAATAAGCCTATTTTCCCACTGGAGGAAAGGTTTAGTTTGTTTTGGTTTGGTTTGGTTTTAATGGTTTGTATAACAAACAGAGTTCTTAAATGTCTAACACATCAAAATGGTCCATAGATCTTGAAAAAATGCTACATAAACAAAGATATAATCCAGTAATGAGAAAGAACAGTATTTCAACATCTTCCGCGGGTTAGGGGCTATTACTTAAACCTTCATCTGGTAGACTTGACCCCTGGGGAAGGCAGCAAACTGATCTTGTTTATGTAACTCTGATCTCACTTTTGTTTTTACTTTTATCATGACCCATTCAACCACGCAGCTACATGAAAACAATACTGAGGAACAGCCATGTACTAAAGTATGAGATGGTTATTTGTACCTTTGCAACTCTGAAGAAGGAAAGCATTACTTAGCTTAGACTACAAGTATTTATCAAGAATTATTGAAACTGGCCAGGCGCAGTGGCTCACGCCTGTAATCCCAGCACTTTGGGAGGCCGAGGTGGGTGAATCACCTGAGGTCAGGAGTTCGGGACCAGCCTGGCCAACATAGTGAAACCCCCGTCTCTACTAAAAATATGAAAATTAGTCGGGGTGGTGGCAGGAACCTGTAATCCCAGCTATTCGGGAGGCTGAGGCATGAGAATTGCTTGAACCCAGGAGGCGGGGTTGCAGTGAGCCGAGATCATGCCACTGCACTCCAGCCTGGGCCACAGTGTGAGACTCTGTCTCAAAAAAAAAAAAGAAGAAGAAGAATTTATTAAACTAAGAGCATATTTTATCTGCAAGTAGTTTTAACCTAAGTAAATCACAGTACTTTTCTTTGTAGTAAAATAATACTTTATTTTTCTGGGGAAAAAAACCTTGTCTGCATTAATTAACTTTTAAAACATACTTCTTTATATAGGGCATTCTTCTCCACCGCAAATAAATCAACAGATGGCATCATTTTTTTAAGATGACTAAAAATCCAACATCCAATCAAATTCATTATATTGTTATGCATCATTTTGGAAAATGCCTACTGCCATATGTTTTTAAACAATAACAATAGTAAATTTCCCCTCTGTTTTAAATGTAAAATATTTCAAGCTCACCAAAACATTCAGGGAATAATAGAAATATCCAGGCCAGGAGCAGTGGCTCACGCCTGTAATCCCAGCACTTTGAGAGGCCGAGGCAGACAGATCACCTGAGGTCAGGAATTCGAGACCAGCCTGGCTAACATGGCAAAATTCTGTCTCTACTAAAAATACAAAAATTAGCTGGGCATGGTGGCAGGCGCCTGTAATCCCAGCTACTCGGGAGGCTGGGGCAGGAGAATCACTTGAACTCAGGAGGTGGAGGTTGCAGTGAGCCAAGTTTGCGCCATTGCATTCTAGCTTGGGTGACAAGAGCAAAACTCCTTCTCAAAAAAAAAAAAAAGAAAGAAAGAAAAAAAGAAAAAAAATCTAAGTACCTCCCGTAAGTTTTAAACATAAAACAGAAAATAAAATAATCTGGGCACCTCCACATACACACTAATCAGATTTTTTTTCCCATCCCAGAGATAAATACTATCTCAATTTGATGTGTGTCATTATTATCACACATGCTGTTGTGACTTTGCTACATATGTAAGCATCCATAAGCAATATACAATACTGTCTGGAACATTTTAAAACTTTATATATAGCCTTTCCCATGTTCATTTTTTCACTCAACATAACGTTGAGATTTAGCCACAGGTTGACACATATAACTATGGTTCATTCATATTTTCCATCACATAAAATTTACTTAATCATTCCCCTGTTTAACAATTAGATATTTTTCCATAGTTGTATTATGAACAATGCTGCCATCACTGTCTTGTCCCAATCTTCTTGTATGCACATGCAACACTTTCTCTAAATTCCACATCATCGCCCTGTACAGCCTCTCACCAGCAGTATAAGTTCTTTCTTCTCCTCCACACCAACACATCCTTTTATGAAATTTTCTGATTTCATGCAATCTGATGTGTATGAAATGATGTTGCATAAAGATTTTAATTTCTTTTTTCCTGATTACCAGGGAGATTAAGCATCTTTGCCTCTTCATCTCTTTACCTGTTTCTCTATTGAGTTGATTAAGTTTTTTGTTTGTTTGTTTTTGGAGACAGGGTCTCACTCTGTTGTGCAGGCTGGAGCGCAGTGGCATAATCATAGCTCACTTCAGCCTTGATTTCCCGGGCTCAAGCGGTCCTCCCACCTAAGCCTTTCGAGTAGCTGGGACCACAGGCACAAGCCACTGCCCAGCTAATTTTTCAATTTTTTATAGAGGTGAAGTCTCATTGTGCTGCCCAGGCTGGTCTCAACCTCCTAGGCGCAAGCGATCCTCCAGTCGGCCTCCCAAAGTTCTGGGATTACAGGCATGAGCCACCACACCAGGCCTTTTATTTCTAATTTTGTAGGTATCTCTATATATTTGCAATATCATTTCTTTGAAAGTCAATAATAAGCGCTATAAATATCTCTCTCAATCTATGGCACATATATTTACTTCTTAATGCTTGTCCTTAATGCACATGAAGTAATATTAAAGAATACCCATGTATGTACTCACTGTGCAGATTGCTTTCTTTTGCTTTATGGTGTTTTTTATATCTTGTGTCTTTTTTTTTTCTAAATCACTATTCTGAGGGCATAAAGAATTTTCTTCTAGAATTTTTAAAGCTGTTCTTTCACACTGAAGTCTTTTATACACCTAAAATATATTTTTTTAGTATGATGTTAGGTAAGAATTTAATTTTATTTGTTTCCATGTGGGTGAAGAATTGCCCTGGCATCATTTATAGAATAATGCTCTTTTCCTTGATTTTTATAGCATCTCTTTCATATATCACATTTCTAATACGTGAGCATCTGTTTCCAAGCTCTCTATTCTCTTCCAGCCAGCAGGGAACTTAAAAGAAACAAAGCTTTATCTCACTCTTATCATTCATTATCTAAATTTTTCTGTAAGTTAAATATAAATTACAAGAAACGTTACATCTTCAAAAAGAATGAGAAATGAGCTTGATAAAATAGGTCTATGCTTTATTTTCATCAACTTTTCAGTATAAATTATAATACAAAACTCTGATTTCCTAAGAAATGTTCCACATTCTTATGATCATTTGAGGTTAAAACAATCAATTTGAGATTTTTTTCCTTTTCCTTTTCCTTTTCCGCCTGGGGTGTCAGTCAATGAAATGAACACTTTTCCACAATGGTAAAATCTGCTGAGGAAGAGAAGGGGACAAGCGGGGAAAGAACACACACCACAGTTTGAGTTCATTGCTCACTTTATTTCTTCTGTCTTCTGGTTCTTCTGTTGTTTGTTAGACTTTTTTCCAAAGTGTCTTCCTCAAATGTGATACCCCATTTAAGAGGCTGAATGATGATGTAGTATGGGATCTCCGGAGCCAGATCAGTTTCATCGAGTCCTGGCTCTGTCATTTTCTAGCTGTGAGACCTCGGACATTTACATAACATCTCTGTGCCTCAGTCTCCTCACTGGTCAAGTGTAGATAAAAATGAACCTACCTCACAGGGTTACTGTGAGGAACAAATAAATTGGTATAATTAATATATCTAAGGCACTGAAGAAGTAACGTAACTGTCAATAGATGCTACTCCATTGTCTTCTGGCTGCCTGGGTGGTACTAGAGAACCGATAACCAAATCTGAAATGTTTTCCTATCTAGGACTTGTTCTTTCCGCCTGAAGTCTTACAACATTTTCTATTAATAATTGGCAACAGGAATTTTATCATTATATACTAAGTATGTTTCTCTTCGTGTCTCCAGTCTGGAACTTGGTGAGATATTACCATCTGCAAGCACTTTTTCTTTCTTTTTTTTTTTTTTTGAGACAAGGTCTCTCTCTGTCGTCCAGGCTGCAATGCAATGGCCAAATCTCAGCTCACTGCAACCTCCATTTCCAGGGCTCAAGCAATCCTCCTGCCTCAGCCTCCTGAATAGTTGGGACTACAGGTGTGCACCATGATGCCTGGTTAATTTTTGTATGTTTTGTAGAGACAGCTTCTCACTATGTTGCCTAGGCTGGTCTTGAACTCCTGGGCTCAAGCCATATGCCTGCCTTGGCCTCCCAATGTGCTGGGATTATAGGCATGAGCCACCACTCCCAGCCTTTTTCTTCGTCTTATGGAAACTGTCTTGACTATTTATTATTGGCTTCCTTTTTTCTTCTTCTGGAACTACTATTACTCACATGTTAGGCCTCCTGGACATATTTCCTAAGTATCTCCCCCAGATTTCCATCTTTTTATATTTTTACTCTGTACTTCAAGAAATGTCTTGGTCCTGATTTCTAGACAACTATTTCAGATTTCAACAGTGAGCATAGCATCTCCTCCCCCAGTTCCTCTACTAAATTATTTATTTGGAATTTTTTCTTAGCTCCAGAGAGCCTCTTTTGTGCAACACTTTTATTTCTTTGGGTGCTCTTATTATTTTTGAATTCAAGGTTTCCTTTTTCTTCTCCCAGAAGTTCTATTTCAGTGATTGTTCTGCTGGGTCAGCTCCTCTGGCTCCTGACCCTATTTAAATAGGATGTTATTTTTCCTTTTGGCTCAGTTGGTTCACTTCTGGTTGCTAGAGAACTCTGTATGGCAGTGGTCTTGCAGGATGCAAGGCAAAGATCATGTCAAGGTGGCAAGTGGAGGAGCAGGCAGAAAGCCATTGCCCTTTTGCAGCAACTGAAGGAAGCCACCCTGTTATCTGGCCTCTCAAAGATCTCCCAGCCTCAACAGCAGGGAAGACTCAGCGAACCCATTAAACTCCTTCTTGACTTTTTGGAGGCCAAGGAGACTGAGTATACTTGTGCTGAGCCTGTACTTTCTCCCTGAGACGGCCAAAGTCTCCCCTGGATCCGTGGCTTTCTGGTTCTCCTCTGCCCTCCCAGCCCCAGGGCTTCACAGCTTACCTATACTCTTGTTTTCTGAATTGGGTTTAAGAAAAGCACCTAGACTGGAACTGGGTGTGGAAGTATACCAAAAAATATTCCAGTCACCATCTTCCCAGTATCCCCTTATGTAATTTATAAAAAATAAAAGGAAAAATGCTTTTAAAAAAACATTCACAGAAGTGTACAAGGTAGGATTCTTATGGGGAGGCCAGTTTTGTTATTTCTATCATTTCCAAATATTCTAAAACAAATACATATAATTTTAATAAATAAGAAAGTGTTGGGGCTGGGTGTGGTGGCTCATGCCTATAATGCCAGCACTTTGGGACGCCGAGATAGGTGGATGGCTTTGAGCCCAGGAGTTCGAGACCAGTCTAGGCAACATGGTGAAACCCCATCTCCACTAAAAATACAAAAATTAGCTGGGTGTGGTGGCAAGTGCCTGTAGTCTCAGCTTCTCAGGAGGCTGAGGTGGAAGGATCACCTGAGCCCAGGGAGGTCAAGGCTGCAGTGAGCCAAAATCGCACCACTGCACTCCAGCCTGGGTGACAGTCAGACCGTGTCTCAAAAAAAAAAAAAAAAAAAAAAAAAAAAAAAGAAAGAAAAGAAAGTTTTGTCCTACTATTCATGTTAAAGCCACCAGAAGCTGTTGGTGGCTTAGACCATTTTAAAAATCTAAGTTTATTATTGGCCAAAACATGTCACATGCTTCAAATTATAAATGTTACTATTATGATATATTTCAGTGAATCCGAATACATTTATAAACCAAATTACTGAATTAAACATTAGGATTAAAATGAGATCCAACAAATATTTCACCATAATATGATACCTTAAGTTGTTATATGTGATGATTGACTGCAGATAACTTTATCCAGATTTCATAGAATTGTTAAAGGTCATGCTGTTAGCAATAGCTCACCTCTACAAATGGCTAATGAAAATTTTCTATTTCAATAGGTGAAACACTATATTGGAAAAATGCCTAACTTGAGGGATAATAATTTCTATATATTATTAACTTTGAATTTGTTCTTGTCACTTAAAAAAAACATGTGCATGACTTAAAAATTCAACCAGTACAAAAAGGTACACAATGAGAAATAGGCTTATCTACTGCCCAGACTTCCCAGTCTCCTTCTCAGGTCATAACAGTTTCTTGAGTACCACTCCATATATGCATTTAAATATCCTTCTAAAAAATGCAAACATACAGTACACACTATTCTGCACCTTGGTTTTTTTTTAAGCAACAATATTTCTTGGATATCATTTCATATTTTTGAATGGCTGTGTGTAGTGATCCATTTCTGTATAATCAGTAAATATGTTTCACATATCCCTGACCACCCAAAGAGGTCATTTTTTTTTTAATAATGAAAGCTAACACTTGCATAGCACTTACTATGTACCAGGGACCTTCTATGAGGTAAGAATTATTATTATTATCTCCATTTTACTGATAAGGAACTGCGGTTCAAGGTTTTACAAATAGGGGAGCCAGAATTCAGAAAAGATTTGATATAATATTCTATTCAAGTTTTCATATTTTTATACTTTAGAGATGTATTTAGTCATTATTATTCTCCTGTATTGAAAAAGATACCCCAAAGTGACTATTTGTCTTTTGCCAACTGCTGCTATTTCTGACATGATTTATTACAGTTTCCCTAAGCAGAATTCCTTTCCACATTCATATATCCTCTTTTGCGTGGTTTGTAACAGGCCAGCGCCTTCATTCTGCCCTGCAAAAGGCCCAACTCCTGAAGACCCTAGCAGTGCTTCTATTTCCCA
This sequence comes from Homo sapiens, assembly GCF_000001405.40. Lineage (NCBI taxonomy): Eukaryota > Metazoa > Chordata > Mammalia > Primates > Hominidae > Homo > Homo sapiens. Next base: position 91,410,911 of record NC_000005.10, on the reverse strand, counting down.
GGCCATTTCCTTTTCTACAGCTTCAGAGACTCCAGCTCTTTCCTGTTGACATGATGTGTATGTAACAGGTCCTCAAATAACATCATTTTGTCCACATCGTTTTGTTGTAATGTTGGTAGAGGGAAAAAAAAAATCAATTCCCAGAAGAGCCACTGTCCATGCAGAGTTTGCACGTTCTCCCCATGTCTGCATAAGTTTTTCTGGGTAGCTTGGTTTCCTTCCACATTCCAAAGATGTGCATGTTAGGTGAATTGGCATGTCTACATGGTCCCAGCTTGGGATGGCGGCCTGGCCAGGGCTGGTTTCCGCCATGAGCCCTGAGCTATCTGGATATGCTTGGGCCACCTGTGACCCTGAACTAGAATAAGTGGGCTGGAAAAGCAATGAATGAATAAATGAATGCAAATGATTATAAAATAAACATGCGTAAAGTCTACTGTAATCATACAAATGCATGACAATAAATGATGCCATCTGAAGGTACTCACTGAGCCTGCCATATTGGTTGTTTTTGAACTGCCTGGTGGTAGGAGTTGCTCCTAACAATTTTCACTATGCAAACTTTTATTCCTTGATTTAACTCCCCACCACTATATCAATATCACTCATTGATTCACCAAAAATTGGGTAAATAATTATCTTACTTGTTTTTATTGATCTTTCTTAAATATACATATAGCTCACATTTATTTCAGTGTTTAATATTAGAAGTGTCTTGGGTCTTTATTTAGAAGTTTGGTGATATTTTCGTGACAAAAATGTGTTGTAGGAACTTAACTCTTGTTTATATCAATTAGCCTATGGTAAAATTGGGGTTTTTTGGTCAGTTTTTTGAGACAGTCTCACTCTGTCACCCAGCCTGGAGCGCACTGGCACAATCTCAACTCACTGCAACCTCCACCTCCCAGGTTCAAGCAATTCTCCTGCCTCAGCCTCCCAAGTAGCTGGGATTACAGGTGCGCACCTCCATGCCAGGCTAATTTTTTATTTTTAGTACAGACAGGGTTTCACCATGTTGGCTAGGTTGGTCTCAAACTCCTGACCTCTAGTGATCTGCCCACCTCGGCCTCCCAAAGTGTTGGGATTATGGGCGTAAGGCCACGGCGCCTAGCCTAAATTTGTTTTCTTATATGTTGTTTTGCTTAAAGTCGAAGTTTCCAGGAAGTTATCCACATCGAGGACTTACTGTACCTAGAAGCTCTTCTCATAGGCTAGTGGATGTTAGACTAACTGTAAGTCAAAGTAAATTTGAATAGCCATTATCTCTCAGGGGCTTATTTTCATTGTGTTTTGCAGCTTCCTTGAGTGAAGAACAGCTGAGCTGGTTTCAGTGTCAAATGGAGCCTTGGTGGTGACTCCAGGGTTACAGTAAGATGAAAGTCATCACTCTTTCCTGCCCTGCTCCCAAGGCAGACATCGCTAATCAATCCCTGCACTCTATACTGCTGAGATCTGATTAGGTTTCACTATATTCTCAATATAGTGTTCTAGGAAACCACTCCCAAGTGACCCTCTATATCTACATAGTCTAAGATTATGCTATACAAGCTTTAGGCCAAATCACAAATGAAGCAAATTGCATTCTTACATATTGGCATTTCCTTTTCATTATACATAAAATGATTCAAATATTTTGCTTTTGTTACCTCTCCTATTTTTCAAACTTTATTTTTGATGGGTGTAATATTATTACTTTATTTTATTTAGTCTCTAAACATGGACAATTTGTCTTTTCAATTATAGAATGCTTTTAAGTGTATTAATAACAACTACTATTCAGAACAGGGATCTCTGAAGAACTAAAAATTAAGACAAAATAACCATTACTACAGTTTAGTCACTGAGTTCTCATATTTAATCCAAATACATCTATTTAAGTGACTAGTCTGTCTGTAATCAGGGCTTTGCTGAGTTCATTGAATGAATTCATCTGTGATATCTCAGATATGCACAGTTACAAGAATATCAGGTGGTAGCTGCACTTGCTGTGAAATAATATTGTGCAATTTTATATCTTGCAAGGATGTAATAACTTTTGTTTACTCTAAGTATATGACTAACCATCTAATATACCCTGGATTCTGGTCACTAGAAGATAATGTGTCAGCCTAAAAAGGTAAATAAAAATTAGTTTATATTTTTTGTGATTGAAATGGAAACAAGTCTATATTACAGGAGTATATTTATTTAAGTTTAACAAGAGGCCTATGGTCTAGGGAATGCTGGTTCATGAGGCCCTAGTTGGCCTTACAGAGGTGCTTCCTCTAGAATGCACTTTGCCAAAATAAAAAGTTGAAGATTGACCATGGGCAACAGAGAAAGAGCTGGGCTTTGGAATCAATCACTGCTCAGTCTTTACAGGGGTATACTTATTTAAGTTTTAACAAGAGGCCCATGGTCTAGGGAATGCTGGCTCATGAGGCCCTACTCTGCCTTATAGTGGAACTTCCTCTGGAAGGCACTTTGCCAAAATAAAAAGTTGAAGATTGACCATGGGCAACAGTAGAAAGAGCTGGGCTTTGGAATCAGTCAATCACTGCTCACTGTCTTATTAGTTATATGATGCTAGGTAAGTTATTATTATTCTAGAGCCTCCATTCCTTTATCTGTGAGATGGAACTAATATTCTCTAACTTAAAATGATGATGTATAAAGATTAAAAGTAGGTATCTTTTTTAAAAGACAGAGTTTTATTGGTTACTCATGAAGTTTTATTTCTGCTGTTTTTGTTAGAATCGAAGCTGAGAAGACAGTGCTGCACAGGCCTGGGTCTGAGAAGCGACCTCTAGAGTTAATTACCAAAAAGTCTACAAAGCCAGATTGAGTGATTGGCCTCCTATCCAGTTTGGATCTCTAACTCAGGATTTCAGACCCCCACATTGGCTTGTTCCTTCCAGGTAGCCATGATTCCCCAAATGCTGATACTTGGGATGCATGCACAAACATTTATTTCCATTCTGTCACCCAGGTGTCTACTGACACTTCTCTGCTACTCCAGCACCTGCAACTGCTCACACTGTCTCTGTGCTTTAGTCTCTTTGTAGCTTCTCCACTACCTGAAATTACATTCTAAGCTTACAGGTTAGCCTGTTCATTATTCAACTGTACCATTAAAAATATAAATTTCATGAGGGAAGGCAATTTGTGTCTGTTTTTTACCACTTGATCCTCAGTGCCTAGGAAGTGGCTGGAACATACAATGAATTCAATAAATATTTGTTAAATGAATAAATAGCTTAAATAATATATTCACTCTGTGCAGCTAAACATAAAACTCAGCTTTCATTCAAGAACTATTAAATAATTCACTCACACAAAAATATTTTTGGGCAATGTTGATTTTACTAAAGATTTTGTGTAGGAAATGGAGAAAGGATTTATACTGGCACTCTTCATTAAAAATTGCTCAACCTCATAGATAACAAAAAGAATGCAAATTAAAAGTGCACCAAGAAGCCTGAGGTATTAGAGGTTATGAGGAGTGAAGAGAACTTCTGCTACAGATTAGAGTGTGGAGGAGGGAGTTGCCAAGCACAAAACCCAAGTGCCTGACATAAAGTATCAAAGTGAGAAAGGTATTTATGTAGGAGGAGGCAACAGTGTGAGACTTGTTACCTACAGGGATGTTGATGAAATATGTAAGTACATTAAGAATAACATGAGCCAGGACTTCGACTGTGAGAGAAGAGTGTTAAAAATATGGAAAGGGAGAAAATTAGAATGGATCTGGTGATGTTGGATAGTAGTTGAAGGAATAGGTATCAACTAGTAGTTGTTTATATATGGAGATAGTAACCAATGTCAGTATGTGTCTGTTTACTAAGAGGGCCTTGGAAAAGACACACCCCAATAGCCAGCAACACACATAGAATTCAGGCTTCTTTTTTTTCTTTTCCTTTTTCTTTTTTTTTTCTCATTCCGTTGCCCAGGCTGGAGTGCCGTGGTGCGATCTCGGCTCACTGCACCCTCCATCTCCCAGGTTCAAGGGATCCTCCCACCTCAGCCTCCCAAGTAGCTGGGATTACAGGCACCCACCATCATGCCCGGCTAATTTTTGTATTTTTGTAGAAACAGGGTTTCACCATGTTGGTCAGGCTGGTTTCAAACTCCTGACCTCAGGTGATCCACTCTCCTCAGCCTCCCAAAGTGCTGGGATTACAAGTGTAAGCCACCGCACCCAGCCACACTCGGGCTTCTAAATATCATTCTCCATTAAAAGGTTCCTTGAAGAAATGGCTGATTCCATGTCCAGAGTAGGACAAGTATAAGATGAGCCTAGAATATCTCTTTAGACAAGAAAGCAAGGAAGTTCTGACAGAATGATAGCGATAAGTCAAAAGCTGTGCAGGAGCCAGCTTGAAGGAGCTCCCACCAAACAAATCTGGGACAGTTCGAACATCAAGACAAACAATGATAGGAATGGATTATGACTATTGATTATTATAGAAACCTATTAGTACATGGTGATGTAACCAAAAGAACCAATTTATCAACTGAATTTTTAATGCCAAAGTATGTATTACATAACTTCAAAGTACCCTACCACAAACACTTAATAATTACAAAGGAAAAAAAGGCTAAGTTAGAGTGGAGAATCCTGGCACTCACCACCCTAGTCAAATGATCAGAGTGAACATCATCAGTAATGGGATAAAACAAAATCATGAACCACCTGATAGGTTGCAAGAAGAACAAGGCATCTTTTCTGTCATATTTTTGCCAAAGATGTGCAATCTGAATTGAGTTCAAGGAAATGTCAGGTAAACCCAAATTAAGGGACATTTTACAAATGTCTGGTTTATCATCTTTAAATGTACCAAGGTCATAAAAATGAAGGAAAGCAGAAGGAACTGTTTCAGATTAAAGGAGACTGAAGAGGTAGGGCAGAAGCTAAGCACAACACATGATTCTGGACTGGATACTTTTGCTATAAAGGACATATTAGGGACAACAGGCAAACTGTGAATGGAGTCTAACTCCATTTGATGTCAGTAACATATCAAAGCTAATGTCCTGATATTGATGGTTTCACAGTTGACCCTCCATATCTACAAGTTCCACATCTGTAGAATTAACCAACTGTGGATTGAAAAATATTTGAATTAAAAAATGAAAATAATATAAAAACAATACAGTATAACAACTATTTACATAGCATTTACATTGTATTATATATCATAAGTAATCTAGAGATGGTTTAAAGCAAGCTTGTCCAACTCACAGCCTATGGGCCACATGTAGCCCAGGATGGCCTTGAATGCAGCCCAACACAAATTTGTAAACTTTCTTAAAATATTATGAGTTTTTTTTGCAATTATTTTTTAGCTCATCAGCTATCATTAGTGTTAGCGTATTTTGTGTGTGGCCCAAGACAATTCTTCCAATGCAGCCCAGGGAAGCCAAAAGATTGGACACCTCTGATTTAAAGTATACAGGAGGATGTCCACAGGTTTTATGCAAACATGACACTATTTTATATAAGGGACTTGAGCATCTGAAGGGGGGATCCTGGAACCAATCCCCACAGATACCAAGGGAAGACTGTAGTTTGAATATGTAGGAGAATGTACTTGTTTATAACATATATAACCTAGGGTTATATATTCTGGTGTACAAGGATATTATGTTGGCAACTTACTCTTAAATAGTTCCATGGGGAAAATATTCTTTATACTTGCAACTTTTGGATACGTTTGAGGTAGCTTCAACATTTTTTAAAATTAAACTTAAAAAACTGAAAATTAAGATATCATTTGTCAGCTATCAGATTTGTGGAAATGTAAAAGTTTGACAATGCACTCTATTGGCAAGGCTGTGGGCAAATAGACCCTTTTTTTTTTTTTTTTTTTAGATCTGGTAGCCCTCTGTCAACCAGGCTGGAGTGCAGTGGCACTCCAGTGATCATAGCTCATTGAAGCCTCAAATTCCTGGGTTTAAGGGCTCCTCCCACCTCAGCCTTCCAAAGAACTGGAATCCCAGGTCTGTACCCCCATGTCTAGCTAATTTTTTAAAATTATTTAAAAATTTGCTGTGTTGCCCAGTCTGGTCTCAAACTCCTGGGCTGAAGCAATCCTCCTGCCAAAGTGCTGGGATCATAGACATGAGTTCCAGCACCCAGCCCAACACTCTTTTATTTATTTTGAGGCTATAAATCAGCAGAACTCCTTAGGAGGGAAATATTTATCAATATTACAATAGCATATGTCCTTGATCAACAATACCACTACTGGGAATTTACCCTGTGGGTATGCATGCACTAATGAAAAATAAGATCTGTATAACATTACCCATTTTAATATTGTTGTAAATGCAAATAATCAGGAAAAAAAGTTCATAAATAGGTTAAATTATGATACATTGATAAAATGGAATAGAGTGGGGTGATGAAAAAGAATTAGAAAGCTCTATGTAGTCATAGGAAAGGTGTCCAAAATATATAGCATAGTGAAAAAAATTTAAGGTACAGAACAGTATATACAATGCGCTAAATTCAGTGTCAAAAAAGCAGAGAAAAATAAAAAGCAATATGCATGCTTGCTTATATTTGCATAAAGAAATTCTAGAAAAGTACATAAGAAAACAATATCAGTGGTTACTTGGTGGATAGACAAGTGAGAGCAGTGAGGCCCCAGGATGGTAAGGAGACTTTCTGGCCCACGTTTTTATACTTCTGTTAACATGGGTCTCTATCATCTATTCACGATATTAATTTTGAAAATCTCTCATTAGACATTTTTGTTTCCCAAATTCTTTCCTTTAACCAAGCAGCTACTTCCCATTCCTCCCGACATAAATGATCCAGCAAGCTGGCCCTCATTTCTTTTCTCAGTATTCCCCAGAATCTCACATTCCATTCTCCTCATAAATATCCAGCAACATCGCCCTGTCCCAAATTCTACCTCCAAACCTATTTACCAATCTTTAGGGAAATGAACAAAACACAGGCTCCTAAATGAAAGGCAATTTGTCCTTATTGGTTGGGGATAGGTTGGGGGGTAAGGGAGAACTACCCACAAGCAGTTTATTAAAGTTTTTTCTAAATACAGTACATACAATCTTTGCCAAAGAGAAACTCTGATGAATGAGATTTGTTCCACCTCAATGAAGCACTCATTTACTCATGAGTGGTGCCCCTCTATCCACACACACAGTTTTATCCACCCTAGGACCCCCTCCTGCTTTTCATTTTGGTGGGTCCTGATCTGCATGTACCACCATCCCTCTTAACTAATGCTGAGCTAAGCTGCATCTGTCTTTAAATAGGCCAAAGGCTCTGCCCAAATTTGGAGAAACATTTAAGAACTAGTCAAAACTAAGGATTTTTGGCTCAAACTCAAGATGAGAAGGATAAACAAACCCTGCCCAAATGGAATCTAGTTTGATATATTTTCCTGCCTTTCTAATTAAAGCCAAATGTTTTAATATTTCCCAAATTACCTCTGATGAAATCTACTGTATCATTTCACCTTATAAAAGCAAATAAGTTTATATTTACAGTTAATAATTTTATTTCAATGCATGCTAGTTTTTCATTTTATTTGCCATGAGGTGTCATGAACCTCCACTATGGGCTAACTAATCTGCTCCATGGGCCACACATGTACCAAAGAATTGTGGGAACCAGAGATGGTCAGAATACAATCTCACACAATCTTATACCTTTTTTTTTCTCATTGTCAAGAATACAGAAGAGGCCAAGCACATTGGCTCACACCTGCAATCCTGGCACTTTGGGAAGCCAAGTAGGATCACTTCAGCCCAGGAGTTCGAGACCAGCATGGGCAACATAGTGAGACTTCATCTCTATTTTTTAATAATTTAATTTAATTTTAAAATAATACAAAAGAGCCAGGGGAAAGGATCTCAGTATATTAGGGATCAGTTGACATTAACAGTAGAAAGTAAAGTCTTCTGACTTGATATTTCAAAACAATATTAATAATAATGATCCTAAACATTTTAGCAATGCATTTCAGAACCTACTATAGCTTTGTCCCATTTGATTTCCATAATTTGAGGTGGATATAATTATCCCCATTCTATCAGTCAAGAAATGAGGACTCAGATGATAATGAATTTCTCCAAATCACACAATGAAGAAGCAGCAAGACTGCAAGGTGCCTAAATTAGGCTTATCTTCAATGATCTGAGTAAATCTCTATGATTATTAAGTTTAATGATTCTATTAGTAATGGGTATTTCCAAGTTCAAATGAGTTTAAAATTTTATAAGGCTATCTAATGCCTCGAGAACATTGTCTGTGGAGGCTGGGAATTCTACAAAATAGGAGCTAAAAAGGTTAATTTATTCTGACAGAAGGATGATTAACACTAGGTAAGATTACCTATCTCTAATTAACCTAGTCCATTATTGAGTTCTTAAGAAGGATATGGATAGCAAAAATGTCACTCAGAAAAAATTCAGCTGAGAAAGTTTGAAGACAGCACTGCACTGGGAATGATAATTGTTATATTTGTTAGCCATTGGGTATGCTTAAAATCATTTTCATATTTAAGCCAGAACCTAAAATACTTCTTTACTCAAGCCTCTTTAAGGGAACTATGAGGCTTAAGATTAACAAATACATTTTAGCATTAACTTAAATTTAAAAATGCCTATCAAAAATTTTAAAAGGAAATCTGTTTTTTTAAAATTAATCTCAAACCTGCTTATACACAAAGGCCTTCTAATAAAGATCATTAAACATTTTACTGAGTTATGTTCTTGACCAGTGATTTCATGATAGGCTTAACCTCTCTCCCTCACTCTAACACCCATGTTTTACCTACTACGTTCTGACAGAATGTAAAACAAAACAACTCTAATATTATTCATTAATAGTACTTTTGGGGACCTTGAAAAGTTAATGCTACTTTAAAGTTTCCTAACTTAAAAATCTTAAGCATTGAAAGGATCTGGTTTACTATATCCTGTGGGTTAGAGTTTGTGTTTTTTGCTTTTCATTATAGACCACAGTATCACATAAGAATGGATATCATTTAGTTTAGTTTTATGCTACCAGGCACAGTGGCTCACGCCTGTAATCCCAGCACTTTAGGCGGCCAAGGTGGGTGGATCATTTGAGGTCAGGAGTTCAAGACCAGCCTGGCCAACATGGTGAAACCCCAGCTCTACTAAAAATACAAAAATTAGTCTGGTGTGGTGGCACGTGCCTGTAATCCTAGCTACTGGGGAGGCTGAGGCACAAGAATCACTTGAACCTGGGAAGCAGAGGTTGCAGTGAGAAGAGATTGCACCACTGCACTCCAGCACGGGCAACACAGCAAAACTCCATCTCAAAAAATAAAATAAAATAAAATAAAATAATAAACTGTTAAAAGGGATTTTTTTCTGTTATCTTGGAATTGTTATTATGACTGAAAAAATGATGACAAAAATTCATAAAGATTCTAGGCTGTTAAAGGCCTCTCCAACCACTGGGCCGGAAACCTCTCTAAAGGCTTATTCAGATGCAAAGGAACCACATCTGCTACTCCCAATCAACATTTCAGCCCTGAGTGAGTGAGCAGGAAAATATTTTCCCTCAACCCACTAGAAGCCAAGTGAAGAGGGAGTTTCAAAGGAATACAGAGTGGGAGTGCTTGCACAGAGGAAAGACTGACAGCTACTACCTAGTTGAATACTTACAGAGTTGGGAACCTAGAGACTCACCCCAAGTCTGACTTCAAAGTTCACTACGCTGAGTGAGAGAGTCTGTGGGAGAAACTGACATGTGTCTTTTGGAATTTGGAAGCATATCTGAACATCAAGAATTGCGCCTGATTCTTTCCTGAAGATTTTGAAGATGGAAGACTGGCAAGCAAACCCCGGAAAAGTGGAATTTTTTAAAAAGACCATATTGTGGGGCGCTTTAAAAGAAGGTGAAGAAAATGTCCATCCCATTCTAGGTTTCCTTATTTTTATGGACTGAATGTTTGTGTCCCCCCACCCCCAAAAATTGATATGCTGAAATCCTAATCCCCAATATGATGGTACTAGGAGGTAGAACTTTGGGGAGGTAATTAAGTCATGAGAGTGGAGTCCTCATGAATGGGATTAGTACCCTCATTAGAAGAGACATGAGCTTGCCCTCTCTGCTGTCCAACATCTAAAGACACAGCAAAAAGATGACCATCTGCAAACCACGAAAAGTACTCCCACCAGACACAGGACCTGCAGACACCCTCATCTTAGAATTCCAGCCTTCACAACTGTGAGAAATAAACATTTGTTGTTTAAGCCACTCAGTCTATGGTTTTCTGTTATAGCAGCCCAAACTGACTAAAACAACATTCATTTACCAACGGGTACAGAAGGAGGACTTTCAAGTTTGACTCAATTTGAAGGAATATAAAGAAGGGAAGAGAAGGCCGGGTGCAGAGGCTCACACCTGTAATCCCAGCATTTTGGGAGGCCAAGCTGGGCAGATCAAGAGGTCAGGAGTTCAAGACCAGCCTGGCCAACATGATGAAACCCCATCTCTACTAAAAATACAAAAAAAAAAAAAAAAATTAGCTGGGCATGGTGGCATGCGCCTGTAATCCCAGCTACTCCAGAGGCTGAGGCAGGAGAATCTTTTGAACCCAGGAGGTGGAGGTTGCAGCGAGCCAAGACTGTGCCATTGCACTCCAGCCTGGGCGACAGGGTGAGACTCCGTCTCAAAAAAAAAAAAAAAAAAAAAAAAAAACCGAAGGGAGGAGAAAAGCACAAGCCCTGGGGTTACCTAACAGCTGCTTCTTAATGGAGTTAGAATGCACACCAAAGGCAAAACTAAAGGGAGACATGGGCCCCTCTCTCTGCAGACATCCTCATTGATACAGTGAATCAAGATGAAGCTAAACAATCCTAAAAATTGCAACAAGTTATGAGACCACCAACAGCAATAAAATCATACAAAGTCTTGAGGGGAAAGACACTGCCTCATCTCCAATAAGCAACCCCACCATCTCTAATATTCCTCCTCCCTGACAAAGGAGTCAGATACTAATAAAGGGAGCTGAGGAGATTGTATTTGAATCAGACTTAAGATTGAATTTTTACACTGGAGTGAAATTAGTTTGGCTTTGTTTTGTGTTTTTAATAACTAAAAATGATGAGAAAGTTGTGGAATGTGACCAAGAAATTGTCTTGAGAGACTCTCTACAAAGCACTATTGAGAATTGTGATTGGAGGAAAAACAAACATTACTGTATTACTATATACTAAGTAGAATGTACTCAATAATACTGGTTATACTAAAATGTTGACTTTCTAAAGCAGGCTGGAAGGGGTGTGTTTTTGGGGAAAAGTTATACATAGTCTTCATAATAGTAGACAATGGAAAAAAACAACAACAACAAAACCAAAGTGAAATATAGGGCTTATGTAAGCATATTTCAAAATAAGTTTAAAACTATATTCATATTTGATTGCATTATATAAGTTGAAGACACAAACTTATCTATATATTTCTCAAAAGGAGACATTTTTAGTACTATAAAGCTTGGCTGTGTATATGATCTTAGTTTTCAAAGCACCATTTCATACTTGTACTTATGAGCAAGAGAACAAACTCTCATTTCATATCCACCGTGTACGCGACGGAATCTAGACCATAGAAAATGTTCAGACAGTGATTTCAAATTAATCTATCACTTCCTACCTGCTTCTGCCCTTTGCTATCATATATAGCAATATTTTGGTCATTAATCCATATTAATTAAAGATCAGAGAAGGTGGATAGTTTTAATTATTTTTACAATGTACATGTATTATTTTGTAATTCAGAAAAATTAAACTTTAAAAAGAATTAGTATTTTATTCAATGTCTCCCTCTTCATACCAACTCATGCTTTATTTGCATAAGCTCAGTACCCACACACAAAATCTACAAATGCTGAGCATCTGTTGGTTTTGCCAGTGTTGCTTCCATTCTCCTTCTTCTGTAAACGGCATCTCTGTTTTCCTTTGAGGAACTTCCCAAACTCCATTTCATATAGTCTTTTTTGGGGTTTTTTGTTTGTGTTTGTTTTTGTTTTTGTTTTTTGAGATGGAGTCTCACCCTGTCACCCAGACTGCAATGCAGTGGCATGAGCTCAGCTCACTGCAACCTCCACCTCCCAGGTTCAAGTGATTCTCATGCCTCAGCCTCTGAATGGCTGGGATTACAGGTGTGCACCACTATGACCAGCTAATTTTTGTATTTTTTTAGTAGAGACCGGGTTTCACCATGTTGGCCAGGCTGGTCTCGAACTCCTGACCCCAAGTGATCCACCTGCCTTAGCCTCCCAAAGTGCTGAGATTACAGGCGTGAGCCACCGCACCCAGCCAATTTCATATAGTCTTGATAGAATAGTCAATCTCCTGCCCAAGGGGGTGGGCACAAAATCTAAGCAAGATCATTTAAATCTTAACCTTTCTTCTCAGTATTTGAACCCTAAGCAGTAACAAGAATGAACAAATAGTAGAACTAATTTTTCCCAGTAGTGATACTGAAGGTGTCCATTACTTTCTAAAACCCTGGACACCAAAGCTGCAATAGTTTCTATATCGCTGAAGCATGATTTTTTCTTCAGACTGAGTTTTAAATCTGTGAGCTACCTGATATATTTATAACAAACTCCACTTCCCAACCTCCACTTCACCCTTAAGTTAGAGTTGGTTTCTGATTGTTTAAGACTAAACCACACAAAAACCTTTGGGATAGGACATGACCCATCTACTGTCCTTCTTCCAGATTCCATCTCTCTTTACTTTCCTAATACTTTACAGAACTCTTCAATATTTCAACATCCATTTCCTTCAATTCAAGCTCTCCCTAGTCAATATCCTCAACTTACTTGTCCTAGGTATTTCTACTTAACTGTTTGCCTAATAAAAAACTGCCTTTTCCACTACCAGCCCTGGGGGCTGCTGGAGAAAACCTGACAGTCATTAGGGTTGGTGTCTGAATTCATTTTCAGTTTCTATTCTCAGTTAGGTTTTCCATAGTGATCAGAAGCCTTTCTGGTTTCCTGCTCATTTCACTTCTCATTCTCCACAGGATTTTCAGAATTCTCTTCAATCTCCTTAATCTCCAACTAGATCACTCCTTTTCAGCAATGTCTGCACAAATAAAGTAAAAGCCATGGGATGGAAATTCACTCTTCTTCCGGCCAGAAGACTCTCAAACCAAGTTGTATTCAAGCCATTCTTCTCTCCCACTCTGAATTTAAGTGGGAATGCAGTCTTCTCTTGCACTTAAGACTAATCCTCAGAATTGTGCACCAGACCCTATCCCTTTCTTCCTTCTGAGAGAAGTGGCTTTATCGATTACTTCTGTCTCTTCTGTATCTTTAACCTCACTCTCTAGATTGGCTCCAAGGCGATTACAGGTAAATATGATGAATGCCATACTTTTTCATCAAAAACTCCTGAAGGAGTCTCCTTTTAGCTACTGCTTTATTATTCTTTTCTCATTCTCTACTAAATTAAAGTAGTATCTGCCCAGCATGTAAAGGATGGTGATAGAGACAAGGAGCCAGCCAAGGGTCCCCCGGCAAAACCCCACTTTCAAGCCTAAAACAGCCTGAGGCTGAAAAACTGGACTGCCGGTCCCAGAGACTCTCTGACTGGCCTGTGCATTGGGAGGATGGAGTGGAGCCTTAGGACAAGGAGTCTGGCCTCTGCTGTTCCTGGGTGGTAACCTGGGATTCAATCAGTGAGGTGGAGAGCCTGTTGGCAGAACCCAACGAATTCCATTCCTCACCCTTCTGTGTATCTGTGAGCCTAATCTTTCCTGGTCATGTGACAAGAACCAATATTTTTCCTACAACAGTGGGGCACAGGAAAAGGGGGAGTGGGAGCAGTGTGTAAGCAAAGCCCACCTGATACAGGGTTCAGAAGGCACCACACAAAGGCCAGTCCAGCATGGAGAGGTCCAGCCTGGTTAGGGTGAGGATACATCCACTAGAGGGGCAGTCTGAAACAGGGTGGCAGAGCCTAGGTAGGGAAAGAGGGCATCCACATTCAAGGGAGGATGACAGTGGAAACAGGAGATTGATCACATGCAGGGGGGATTGATCAAATAAGTCAATATGACAAGTCCAATGGGAGCCTGGTTTCTCAGTGTCAAAAAGAAGGTTACCTATATGGAAAGGGAGAAAATTAGAACAAACCCTGAGGTGTTTGATTAGAATTTATGGTATCAATGTACACTCATGGTTTTACAGATAGAGACAGACAGACAGAAATATAGATGCAATTTGCAACTGTGTGTCTATACATTCATATGTACATCTATATATATGATAGCTCTCTCCACTGGGGACAACCTCAAAGTACACCACACTCTAAAAGCAAGGTGTATACCTAGTGCTCCTTCAAAGACTCAGGGCTAACTTGGAGAAATGGCTGATTCCAGGGCTAGGCAGCGGAATTGCAAGATGAGCTTGTTAAGTACAAGAAGTACAGGAGAAGTACAAGATGAGCTTGTTTCATATGCCAGAAAAAAAGAAGGTAGTCGAAATATGATGGAGACATGTCATAAGCCACTTTGAAGGGATTTCTACTAGCTAAATTGGGCACAATTTGAAGATCAAGATAAATAACAATAAATTAAGGCTCATATGAATCAATGGTCATATAAATAAACAAACAAATAGAAAGTTTGATAAGAAATAGGATACTTGCAAAGTTTCAAAAAACTTCCATACAAAATACTTACAAATTCCCTAGGGTCAGGGTGGGGAACCAAGTAGTTGAGAATTCAGACAGACACATCTTTATTCAAATGATCATTAGTAATGGGACAAACCAAAATTGTACATTATCTGACAGGAATCAATGAGGAGAAAACAGCATCACTTCTGAAGTGTTCCTATCAAAATCGAATCATTCAGCCTTTTTCAGCTGAACCCTAACACATAGTGACTATTTGCTCAACTCTCTCAAGAATGGTACATAATTAATGCCATTCTAAATGTGTTTTTAAAACTTAATTATTTCATCCAATACATGCTGTGGTAGTTAATTGTATCTGTCAACTTGACTGGGCCCCAGGATGCCCAGATATCTAGCTAAAGGTTATCTGGTTGTGTCTGTGAGGGTGTTTCTGGAAGAGATTAGCATTTGGATTGGTGGACTGAGTAAAGCAGATGGGCCTCCCCAGTGTAGGTGGGCATTATGTAATCCCCTGAGGGCCTGAAGAGAACAAAAAGATGGAGGATGTTTCAATCTGCTTTCTGATTGTTTGCGCTGGTATGTGGATCTATTCCTCCCCTCACCACTCCTAAGTCTTAAGACTTATTCTGAATTCAGACTTGTATTAGGTTGGTGCAAAACTAATTGCGATTTTTGCTATTACTTTTAATTAAAAGTAAATTAGTTTTACTAATTAGTTTTGCACCAACCTAATACTAAATTACACCACAAGCTTCCTGGATTTCCAGCTTGCAGACAGCAGATCATGGGACTTCTCAGCCTCCATAACGTCATGAGCCATTTATTTGTTATTTTTTAACAAATAAATTAATTAATTCCGTTTTTTCTGGAGAACTCACTAATACAGATTTCTTAGGGTGTTAAGCCTTAATTCTCACCCAGAACCATGGTTGAAAAAAAAAACAGGTTGAACTGTACACAGAGGTACAATCTATAAAATATCTGGTCTTCAAAAGGGTCAAGATCATTAAAGACCAGGAAAAGTTACATTGCTGCTCCCAACAGAAGGAGACTAAAAAGGCCTGAAAACTATATGTAACAGGTGATTCTAAACTGGATCCTTTTGCCCTAAAGGAGAGTATTGAGACAACCAACAAAACTTGATTGGGACTTCAGTATTAGATGGTAGTAATGTCTAATGTTAATGACTTGATTTCCATGGTTGCACTATGGCTATGAAGGCATAGTCTTTACTGGCAGTGAGGCATCATACTGGCAACTTACTTTCAAATGGTCCAGGAAAAAAAGTCTTCTGTACTGTACCTGCAAATTTTCTGTATATTTTGTATTGTTTCAAAATTTAAAAAATAAAAAATGAACAAATATAAAACTGAAATTCATCCTCCTCCTCCTTCCCCATGTTCCACATCTCAGCGAGGAACTCCACCATTTAGCAAGTTGCCTAGGCCAGAAATCCAGTGTCATCCTTGATTACTCTTCCCTCTAACATTCAATTAACACCCTTCCTCTATACCCATATTCAATTACACACCAAGATATGATGATTTTACCTAATTATTTCATTATTTTAATAAATAATTTTAGGCCAGGCGTGGTGGCTCACGCCTGTAATCCCAGCACTTTGGGAGGCCAAGGAGGACAGATGACGAGGTCAGGAGTTCGAGATCAGCCTGTCCAACATAGCGAAACCCTGTCTCTGCTAAAAATACAAAATTAGCTGGGCGCAGTGGTGCACACCTATAATCCCAGCTATTCGGGAGGCTGAGGCAGGAGAATCACCTAAACCCAGAAGGCAGAGGTTGCAGTGAGCCAAGAAAGCACCACTGCACTCCAGCCTGGGCAACAGAGCAAGACTCCATCTTGGAAAAAAAAATTAAAAAATTAAAATAATAATAATTTTAAAAATTAAAAAATGTATATAATATTGTTTTGAAATCATATATATTTTAGCGACCAGGGTTTTGCATACCTGACTACTGAATTTACCAAATTTATGAATAAAGAAGTGCCTCTACAAAGAAATGTTTTTAGAGATTTTAATTTTTAAGAGGGACATCATGTATATATATATATCTCAACATATATAACAAAATATTCAGTAATCAAGGCCTTTGAAATAAACCTTTCTATTATCTAGATGCAAATCTATTCAGAACACTTTAAATGTCAGCTATATAAGCTATATACTATGTTAAAAATACAGATAAATAATATTACAAGTTTCAGTTAGCTTCCTCTCAGGTATTTTGCTCTTTGCTGTGGTACACAATTGCACTTTTCCTTAGGTCCAATTAAAAGCAGGCTGAAAGATTCCTTGTTCATCAGTTTTAAATAATATACCAAGTGTAATATAAGCAGAAAAATGCTAAAAGATAATATATGTTTTTCGTTTGTTGTTTGTTTTTTGAGACAGAGTTTCGTTCTTGTTGCCCAGGCTGGAGTGCAATGGCACGATCTTGGCTCACCACAACCTCTGAGTCCTGGGTTCAAGCGATTCTTCTGCCTCAGCCTCCTGAGTAGCTGGGATTACAGGCATGTGCCACCATGCCCAACTAATTTTGTATTTTTAGTAGAGACAGGGTTTCTCCATGTTGGTCAGGCTGGTCTCAAACTCCCGACCTCAGGTGATCTGCCCACCTCGGCCTCCCAAAATGCTGGGATTACAGGCATGAGCCACCGCACCTGGCCCAATATATGTATTTTTAATATTGCTTTTTAACCATAAAATTTTACTTTAGCAAAAGCTAGTAATCCTTATTTACTTTAACTGAAATCAGATACTTACTTCACAATAGTGACCCTGTGGCAATCAGCATACATTTATGAAAATGATGGTGTGAACCTAAGTCTTATTTTTAATTCATCAGTGTCATGGTTTTCATGTGGTTATCCAGAAAAACTACTCATCAGTATCTACAATCATACAATGAAAAATTTCTTAAAGATAACATTCTACTATCAATCTATCCCATATTAATAAACATTTATTGAGTGCATATGTGACAGGCACTATGCTACGTGTTGGAGATATGAAAATGTTTGACATTTGGGCACTAGATAAGACAAGGAAAGTGCCCTTGAGAGGCTTGGAATATTATGGAAGAGATAATATGTACAAACTATGTATAAAATTGTTAAGGAATAGGATTTTAAAAGGCGTTGTGAACACAAAAGAAAAACATATCCAAACTAAGGGAGGGGAGGATGGTTACAGAAGCCTTCTCAGAAGAGGCCATATCTTATCGATAAATAGTTCTATAGTACTTGCTTGAACTATAGCCTAATGATCAAAAACAAAGGTTCAAATCCTACCACTACCATTTACTAGCTATTTCAGCTTGGGGATGTTACTTAATCACCTTAAGCCTGTTTTCTCTATAAAATGGATTTACCTCATTGAACTCTTAAAAGGACCAAACAGGATAATGAGTGAAAAGCACAGTGCCTGCCATAAAATATGCCATTATTGCGGCTGTTAACAATATGATGTGATCTCTTTCTCTCTCGCACGCACACACCCCCCCAGTCAACAAATAACCTCATGGATTTTGGACTTCTTAGCTAATGTACCCATGTCCTATACACCTAGAAAGGAAAAAAACTGCTTCACTCCACCACCACTTGCCGCTCCTCCCACTCCTCTCATCATCTGTTATCAGCCAAGCTTCCCAATCCCCTGAAAAGTTTTCTTGACTTCCTGTCATTACCAGACATGCCTGCCTCATGTTCGCTCTTTAATGCGAGCCTAACCACCTGAGGTGTCTCTGGACTATCTAATATGACTGTCTTCTCATCCCTCTCTGTCCCCACATCCACCAGGAGACATATCGTTGTCTGCCCTTCACTCTCATACTGCTCCCCTGATGGGACTTCCTTAATGATGTCTTGGTGATTTTTATGCAGTTCACTAAACCATCTTTGCAGTTATTCACCACCACTATCTCCTAGCTACTGGCCAATGTTTTATTTCATTTGGGGTGACCAGCAAATTTTAAGTAACTCAAATTATGTGCAAATGAACATATGACAACAAAAACATTTACAAAGTAAAATAAAAAATCACTGCAGAGACAGACCAAAAAAAGAAAAAAAAAGCAAAGTGCTTAGAACACAAAATCACTAGGGCTTGTGAAAATGAGAAAGGTTACTACTATACTACTATAAATAGAATTAACAGTATCACCTTCTGTTCTTTCCCATATTATCCTCTTAAGCATCAAGAATCTATGTTACAATCGGCCGGGCATGGTGGCTCACATCTGTAATCCCAGTACTTTGGGGAGGCCTAGGCAGGCGGATCACTTGAGGTCAGGAGTTCAAGGCCAGCTTGGTCAACATGGTGAAACCCATCTCTACTAAAAATACAAAAAATTAGCTGGGCGTGGTGGCAGGCACCTATAATCCTAGCTATTCGGGAGGCTGAGGCAGGAGAATCTCTTGACCCCGGGTAGGAGAGGTTGTGGTGAGCCGAGATCACCACTGCACTCCAGCTTGGGCAACAGTGACAGAATGAGATGAGACTTTGTCTCAAAAAAAAGAATCTATGTTACAATCTTGCCCTGCAACAATCTCCCATTGGGCACTTGACCATGAAGGGACTCAGTCTTAAAGGTTCTTCTCTTCTTCTTCATTCACTGGCAGAAAGACCCAAAAGACAAGCAAGGCTCAGCCCAGTATTCTTATCCATTGACTTTTCTGAAGGCTTCTTCCAAGTTTTACCAAAACAGACCCAAATAATAGCAAAATAATAAATATAAAAATAAATCTAAAGGACTTATTTGTAATCAAATGGACCACCAGTACAAATAAAGTATTCCTTATTTCTAACTGTAAAAGATGATTTGGACATTAGAACTATTAGATAAAATGATATCTACTCTAGCTTTCGAATTCTGTTTTTAACCTGTACCTTACCAAAAAAAGTATTAGTTTATTATTATTTTAATGAGCCCTTCCTTTGGAACTTCCAAAAATATTTTGGCTTTACTAAACATTACTCCCACTTTCTAAAGACCAGGACTGAATAAATTATTTTCATCTGTAAATTATTCATGATTTAATTCTGTTCCTCACTTTGGATACTTTGTTATATGCATCTTTACAATAGCATGCATATCCCTCTGCTTGTAAATTCCTTCATATATGTTTCAAAGTCCAAATTAATAAAGCATTAAATTCCTTTCTATTGCATTCTCTTCAGCAAAATAACTTGAAATTTATACATAACTACAAAATATTATGTCAATTTTGAGCAAGAAATTTCAGTTGCCTCATGTTTTCACTAAAATGTATTGGTTTAAAAACGTACTTTATACTTGAATGAAAAAGACATTTGTGTTACAAAAACAATAAATGTAAAACCAATTGCTGGGCCAGGTGTGGTGGCTCAAGCCTGTAATCCCAGCTCTTTGAGAGGCCGAGGCAGGTGAATCACCTGAGGTCAGGAGTTCGAGACCAGCTTGGCCAACATGCCAAAACCCTGTCCCTACTAAAATACAAAAATTAGTCAGGCATGGTGGACGGGGGGTGCCTGTAATCTCAGCTACTCGGGAGGCTGAGGCAGGAGAATCGCTTGGACCTGGGAGGTGGAGGTTGCAGTGAGCCAAGATTGCACCACTGCACTCCAGCCTGAGTGACACAGCGAGACTGTCTCAAAAAAAAAAAAAAAAAAAAAAATTGCTGATCATCAAGGGAATTTGCTAGGTCATAGATTAAATGTGTGATTTTAAGGTTTAGCTGTCACCTAACCTGTTTCCTGACCCTGAAACAAAATACTTAGAATTCTGAGGGTAGCAAGTTCTCAGCAAACAAACTAAAATTGCCCCTCCTCCTTACAGCTTTCCCTTGGCAAACAGTTCCTTTATCACACCTACTTCTTTTTTTTTTTTTTTTTTTTTTTTGATATGGAGTTTCACTCTGTCGCCCACGGTGGCATGTGGTAGCACGATCTCAGCTCACTGCAACCTCCTCCACCCACCAGGTTCAAGCAGTTCTCCTTGCCTTAGCCTCCCGAGTAACTGGGATTACAGGCACCTGCCACCATGTCCAGCTAATTTTGTATTTTAAGTAGAGACGGGGTTTCACCATATTGCCCAGGCTGGTCTCAAACTCCTGACCTCAAGTGATCTGCCCACCTCAGCTTCCCAAAGTGCTGGGATTACAGTCATGAGCCACCTCGCCCAGCCTTTTTTTAAACTTTTATTTTAAGTTTAGGGGTACAAGTACAGGTTTGTTACATAGGTAAACTTATGTCATGGGGGTTTGTTGTACAGACTATTTCATCAACTAAGTATTAAGCCTAGTATCCATTAGTTGTTCTTCTTGATCCTCTCCCTTCTTCCACCCTTTGAAAGGTCCAGTGTGTGTTGTTCTCCTCTATGTGTCCATGTGTTCTCATAATTTGGCTCCCACTTACAAGTGAGAATATGCAGTATTTTGTTTTCTGTTTCTGTGTTAGTTTGCTAAGGATAATGGCCTCCAGCATCATCCATGTCCCCATAAAGGACATGATCTCATTCTTTTTTTATGGCTGCATAGTATTCCATGGTATATTTGTACCACATTTTCTTTATCCAGTCTATCATTGATGGGCATTTGGGTTGATTCCATGTCTTTGTTATTGTGAATAGTGCTGCAATAGCTACTTCTTCAAGTAAAAGTCCCCAACACTAGAAAAGACAGTAACATAAAAACTGGGCTGATTAAGGATAGGTGAAAAGCAAAAATTCTCCCTTACAATTTCTAAATTATGATAACATAAAGATAATAATTAATAGTACATAAAACTAACTTTAGGTGGTGAACTGTTGGAAAAATATTCCATTAAACAGTACTGAGAAGTTAGTGGCAGTAAATGACAAGTTTTAGGGTTTAAAAAATCATTTATAATAGTGATCCCCTTCATCAACACAGAAATGTGGATACCTAGAAGGGCAATTATCTCCAGGTAAGGTATTGAATATGAAATTCCAGCTAGCTATATATAAGTTTGATATTTAAAAACTGGGAACTGGTTCTTTTCTGTTGTACTTTACCACAAAACTCAATATCCATCAAGAAAATATTTTATTATAAAAGACAAAAAAGGTCGGGTGTGGTGGCTCACACCTGTAATCTCAGCACTTTGGGAGGCCAAGGTGGGCAGATCACCTGAGGTCCGGAGTTTGATACCAGCCTGACCAACATGGTGAAACCCTGTCTGTACTAAAAATACAAAAATTAGCCAGGTGTGGTGGCCTGTAGTCCCAGCTACTCGGGAGGCTGAGGCAGGAGAATTGCTTGAACACAGGAGGTGGAGGTCAGAGTGAACCAAGATCACGCCACTGCACTCCAGCCTGGGTGACAGAACCCGACTCTGTCTCGAAAAAAAAAAAAAAAAAGGTAAGAAAATAACAGATGTTGGCAGGCTGTGGAAAAAAGGGAATGCTTATATACTGTTGGTAGGAATGTAAATTAGTTCGGCCACTGTGGAAAGCAGTTTGGAGATTTCTCAATTAACTAAAAATTGAACTACGATTCGACCTGGCAATCCCATTACTGGGTACATACCCAAAGGAAAAGAAATTGTTTTACTGAAAGACCCATGCACTTGTATATTCCTTACAGCAGTACTCACAATAGCAAAGATACGGAATCAACCTAGATGCCCACCAATGGTGGACTGGATAAAGAAAATGTGGTACATATATACCACGGAATACTATGCAGCCATAAAAAAGAAGGAAATCATGTCCTCTGCGGCAACATGGGTGCAGCTGGAATCCATTATCTTAAGTGTATTAACACAGAAACATAAAGCCAAATACTGCATATTCTCACTTACAAGTGGGAGCTAAACACCAGATACATATGGACATAAACATAGGAACAACAGACACTAGGGACTACTGGAGCAGGAGTAGGAAGGGTTGAAAAACTACCCATTGGGTATTGTGCTCACTACCCAGGTTATGAGATCAATCATACCCCAAACCACGGCATCACGCAGTATACACATGTAACAATCCTGCACATGTACCTCTGAATCTAAAATGAAAGTTAAAATTTAAATAAATAAGAAAATAAAAACAAAAATAGAATGGGTTCTCAGGTTGCTTAAAGGCAGGGAGTTGACTTAATGACTTTAATGGGCCTCTTCAGCCCTTTCATCCCTGGGAGAGTAAAATATTTCAAAGTAGATATGCTATGCTATATAAGCTACATATCCTATATAAAATTATCAAAATGTTGGCCAGGAACGGTGGCCCACACCTGTAATCCCAGCATCTTTTGAGGCCAAGGCAGGCAGATCACTTGAGGCCAGGAGTTCAAGACCAGCCTGGCCAACGTGGTGAAACCCTGCCTCTACTAAAAATACAAAAATCAGCAGAGTATGGTGATGACGGCCTGTAATCCCGGCTTGAATCCAGGAGGCAGAGGTTGCAGTGAGCTGAGATTGCGCCACTGCACTCCAGCTGCGCAACAGAGCTGTCTCAAAATAAAATAATCAAATGTTTGAAAAAAAATTTAAAAAAAATTTTTTTGAGACAGGGTCGCACTCTGTCACCTAGACTGGAGTGCAATGGCACGAGCTCAGCTAACTGCAGACTCAACCTTCCAGGCTCAAGTGATCCTTCTACCTCAGCTTCCTGAATAGCTGGGACTAGAGGCACATGCCACCACACCTGGCTAATTTTTGTATTTTTTGTAGAGACAGGGTCTTGCTATGTTGCCCAGACTGGTCTCAAACCACTGGACTCAAGCAATCCTCCCACCTTAGCCTCTCAAGTTCTGGGATTACAGGCATGAGCTACCACACTCAGCCAGAAAATATTTTATTACAGCAAATAAAATTTTACCCTCATTATATAAAGTTGTGCATAGTCAAAAGTCAAAATTTATAAAGTAGTTCAGAAAAGAAATTTAGCATTCCTAATTCTTTCTGTAGACCAGATGCCATTTGAGCTTAGATGAATAAACTTTACCAACTCATCTTCTACATGATAATATGCACTGCCATAGCTTCACTGGCAATGCTCTTCTTTAGTTGTACATCTGGATGGAAATACACCAAAATGTTAACAGTGGTGTCTCTGAATGGACGGACAGTAGAATTATGGGTGATTTTCTTTTAATCAAGAAATAAAATATAACAGATTAAATGGTGTTCACATAACACAAATTATACTATTTATTAATGAAGGATATCAGAATCCAAATTTGATAGTGAGTTTCATCACAAAATCCATAACATATTTAAAAGTCTATTAAGTATGAAGAACATAACAAACATAATATGCGTTATGTTTGTAATAGCTCTCAAAGCTAAAAAACAAATACTACTCATTTTGCTAATAATACAGCAAGTCTTCTGTCCAGTCTGCATGCCAAATTTGCTGCACTGTGACGATATTAAAGAGTTAAGTCAGAGTTACAAAATCTTGAAATACAGAATTAAGACCAAAGGAAAAAAATCCCCCTTAGTCCCATAGCACTCGAGCCTATCAGCTGCTAGTTAAAATAGATTAAGCATAGATTTCATATTTTTCTTTATGAAACAGATTCTGACTACTGGTAGGTTTTTTTTTTTTTCAACCAAACACCAAAACTTCCAGTTGAGATGGCTTCCTTTTTTTTTAAAAATAAAAATATTGAGCATGTTGATATAATATGCAAAAAACTCCAAACTTGGCAGTAATCTTAACATATCTCCTCAATATCATACAACTTGACAGCAATGATCATTTATCAGTCTTTGATAGAGTTCTTGAGATTGAGTTCAAACTTTAATATATTAAGGTGAAAGAGCCATTTGACTCAAAAGCTAATATAAAAAGAGATTCCTACTTAAGCTCTGAAGAAGCAATGAAAGGGGAAGGGAAGCTAGTTATTCAGTCTAGTTGGAATTTTACTCAGTAGTGCCAACTGCATCTAGTGGAGGGATTAGAAAAAAGCAAAGGAGATAACATAGTAGTGGGATGTTATTCTGGGCACCAAAAGCACATGTAACTGCATACTGGCAACAGTGAGACAAGCTAACAAAGGGGACAGAAGATGTACTTGACAGGATTATAGAGAGTTAGCAGATGAGTAGGAGGAGATGGCATATGAGACGTAGGCTGGGGAGAAGTAGGAAAGAGCCTTGATGGTAAAGACGAATAGTTTAAATATAATACAAAATACAATAATGGCCCAGTGAAGCAAGCTGAGAAGCCCAAGATAATGTCTACAGTACAGCATTTCAAGCTGTCTAAGGAGTAGCTATTTAGACAAAAAATCTGAAAGGGGGAAGTTATGAAAGCGACAAGAGAAAACATTCAAAATTTGGTCCAAGCGTTTTTGTTTTTGTTTTTGTTTTTAAGAATTGAAAAGATAAAGCGAGACCAGGCGCAAGCGGCTCATGTCTATAGTCCCAGCACTTTGGGAGGCCAAGGCGGGTGGATCTCTTGAGGCTAGGAGTTCAAGACCAGCCTGGCCAACATGGTGAAACCCTGTCTCTACTAAAAATACAAAAAGTAGCCAGAGGTGGTGGTGCGTGCCTGTAATCCCAGCTGCTCCGGAGGCTAAGGCAGGAGAATCGCCTGAACCCGGGAGGCAGAGGCCGCAGAGAGCCTAGATTGTGCCACTGCACTCCAGCCTGGGCAACAGAGTGAGACTCCATCTCAAAAAATAAAAATATAATGAAAATGGCAGCTGGTAAGAATTTCTTGGAAATTTGCCAGTTACCTAAGTATTTAAGAAGACACAGTAAAAAGAAAATTTTAAAAATAGCAAAATAAATAATAAAGACAACTATTCAAAAGATCCTGAAAGCTTCAAACACAAAGAATAATGTACTACACAGTGACAGGAATGAAACATTTAATATTTTAAAACAATTTTCCAAACTACAAATAAATTTCTTAGACTTCTTTTTTATTAAATGCAATTCTGGTGTATTTATATAGCTAATTCTTATTTTTTCTGAAATGAGTTATATTCTAATTAAATAAATTTTACTAAAAAAATCCGAATTCAGCTGTTCACTAACCCTTAATAATTTTTAACATAAATGTAGACACAAATGTGCAATGAATTTATGTATTCATTATGGACTACACTTTTAAATCCATTCCTTGCTCAGTGGTTTTCGAATGCTTATTAAATATCATTGACCTTATGCTGAGGAAAAGCTGTCATTCTAGGAAATTCACCACTTCTACCACTAGGTGGAGAAAAAACACAAGTAGTATCTGTAATCAAAGCTAGTACAAGGCCCCAGGTACTTTACCTAGAATTTCCACCAGGTGTCAACCAAGAGGTAGGGAAAAGATAAGACTGTTTTTCCCACTTAAATATGCAAATTTATAATTTTATGCATAGCGATCTAAACTCTGAAATAAATGGCCTGCTCATTAATTGTCTAGTTTGCATATTTATACTCTTTATATATTGCTGTTGAGTCCAAGATATTGCCTTGTCAACTAAAATCCAACCCCCAAAAGCTTAGTTTCTTTTGAAATAAAACAGCAAGACCAATAAGTTTAGTTTATTGTGACTCATAGGCTCAACCTATCCATATACACTACGCAAAAGAATCTAAAACGTTTAGACACGGACAGCCAAAAATCTTCCAAGGTATTTTTGGTCATACATATATATATAGAGAGAGCACCAGATTCATATTTTTTCTTTCTACATTTCTCTTGTAAGGCAGTTCTGTTGATTGCCAGTAATCTAGATGAGTTTATGCTGTTATGCTCTGAATCCCAGTGTGATGTGACGAAAGCACTGCTATTTTTTACCAAACATTCACAATAAAAAGAGAAATGTACCTATATTTAAGATGTATCATGAGAATTACTACGTTAAATGGTCCAAGGCTCTCGGCCGAAAATTAAAGCTTCACACAGTTAAATCCCTATTTATATACCAAATCATGCTTTTTAAAAACAATTTTATGCGCTTCACTAATTTCTAACAAAGATTTTCCGATTCTGTTGCAAACAATATGTCAGCTAAACCACTATGTCATATGCCTTTTATAAGGTAGTACTTTTTTAGGCCGAACTCTATTCTTATTCCTCTGGACACAGGAGTTGTAATCATGTCTTACTCTGCAAATCTAGCCGTAGGTGGTGTCTTAAAAGGACTTTTTCTTCCTTCGAGGAAGTGATCAAGCTTCCCCCAGCCCCCACCCGTGTCATCCTGGAAACAACTTGGTTGTTTTTCGGTGCTAATTAAGCAATGTAGGAGAAAGAAGTTGAGGAGACAGCAAAGCCTATTGATTACATTGTACTTGCTTCTCTACCTCGCTCTTCAAAGGATTAAGGTTCCTTTGACCTCGACTGAGTTCATTTCCAACCTGCCTACAAAGTACTGGTTTAAAAAAAAAAAATCCAAGCAAAGTATGCTCTTGTCTATGAACAATATTTCTTGTCCGGTTTTATTACGTTTTCTTTGGAAATTCGTTAGATTATGCTCAACAATCGGCCGCTTGCCCAACCGGTTTCTCCCTTCCCCCATCTCTCTTCACACATCACTTTTTCCTCCTCCCATCCAGGCAGTTGGTAAAACGCTGCAGTGCCGGTAACGCACGCTTCGGGCTGGTCGCTGCAGTTTATCCTAACTTGGCTTTGCAAACTCCCCACCCAGCCCTTGTACCCTCGCACCCCACTCTGCCATTATCTTTCTAGTAGAGTGCGCTCGGTAACGGGCTCCAGATAGCACGTCGAGGGTATACGGTAGCCTGCCTACCAATAGGAGCCCACAATGAAGAGAAGTCAGGTTCAGCCGGCCAGCAGCTCCAGTATCTCCTTCCCCTAGCTCTACACCTACTGTACCCGGGAGCGAGCGGGCAAGGGAGCGAGCGCGGCGCGGCGCGGCGCGGGAGGGGGCGCGCAGGGAGGGCGGACAGCAGCCGCGGCCTGCGCCTGCGCACTGGGGTTGTTTTTCACAAAGCTGCTCTTAAAGTGAGCTGGCAGCTTTTAGCCGCCCGTCTTTGTAAGGAGACCACTGAGACGAGCGGGAGCGCGGAGCAGCAGCCTCTGCTGCCCTGACTTTTTAAGAAATCTCAATGAACTATTTGTAGAGAATCACTGATCCGGCCTGCAAGCATTTTGCACGGCAAAAATATCGATCAGTGTTAAGTGAAGATCACATTTTATATGCGATCTTGACTTTTTTGTCTTACATTATATTTTTATAGATTTTGTTATAAACATGGTGCTGGGAAAGGTGAAGAGTTTGACAATAAGCTTTGACTGTCTTAATGACAGCAATGTCCCTGTGTATTCTAGTGGGGATACCGTCTCAGGAAGGGTAAATTTAGAAGTTACTGGGGAAATCAGAGTAAAATCTCTTAAAATTCATGCAAGAGGACATGCGAAAGTACGCTGGACTGAATCTAGAAACGCCGGCTCCAATACTGCCTATACACAGAATTACACTGAAGAAGTAGAGTATTTCAACCATAAAGACATCTTAATTGGGCACGAAAGAGGTAAGTTTTTGTTATTCATAAGTCATTGGACTCATTTTCTTTGGAAACGTACCTTTTCAGTTTTCTGAATTAACGTGATTCTACTCCTAGCATAACTAAGCAGTTTGAGAAAGGTTAGCAAAGTTGGAAGGTTTGGATTCTCCTTGACGTTCATCGTGTGTTAAGCCGTAATGCATGCAGGCATCTGCAAAGTGACTGCAAACTACACTTATTCAGCTACCTCTGTACCCGGCTCGGTCTGTGCCACACGCACTTGTAGTCCATTTGCACCTTACTTATAAATTCTGTTTGAATCCAATTCAGTCGTTTTACTAATATATTTTCAAATGAATTGGTAAAAGCTGCAGTCTTAGATTTTTGCCCTTTTACTTGCAACCTAAGATGTAAAAACTGAACTTCGATCAAGAAATGTAATAACATTTTTAAGAGACTTAATGGGTGTGTTTCATTTTTAATATTGGAATGCAAAAGACTTTAAATAATTGATGACTGTTCTTTCATAAAAGATTTCTGTGGCTTATTTTGACATATGGTATCAACACCCCACGTGTTTTTTCTCTATTCTTTACCATTCCTTTAAAAATTTACACCCAGCATTCCTTATTTTAAAGGAATGACTATCTGTCATTATGATAGGTATCGAGTCAGGTTTAGAAGCCATTTAGGATCAGTAATTTTCTTTTCCGAGCATCATGTCTAACTTTGGAACGTGCATTCAATGAAACCCATGCCAGTCAAATGGAATTGAAAAGTATAGGGCACACTGGATTTGATTTTTGGTTAGAAGAGAGAGATAAAGGGTTGTCAAAAGGAGAAGGAGTCCTGAGATTTCCAATCTATTGTTTAAATGGTTACATTGTGGAAATATAGGAGACTCTAGGCTTGTTTTTCTAAGTTTCCACCCTTTGTTAGAAGCGGTTCAATCCTGTTTCGGACCAGTTCTGGGGGGTGGTGAGGAGGGGCGCTTGTTCTGCTCTCAGCAGATTGGTTACACGCGTCAGGTGGTGGCGATGACTTAATTCCTAGCCCAAGAAGAATATAATGTTAAAACTGGTTATGTAATTTTTGTGCCTCTCCTTTTTAATGCAGTATTTAGTTCAGATGTTGGCGATTTTTCAGAAAAAAAATTAGAGACATATTTTACCTTATTTTTTATATTAAAAACGTACATCCTGGAGAAGTGCTGATGACTAAGGCAAGTGAGAAATGAAGGATGCTTTGAGGGACAGTATTAATGCATTATTTTTGAAACTATTAAGGTGAACTCAGTTCTTTAGCAGGATTTTCGTAGTTAGATACAGGTACTTTGCATCCTGAAATAACTAATTAATCTCTCCAAGTGTTAACACTGATAGGAGATGCAAATGCCTAATGACAGCCTTGGTATTTGTTGAAAAGCAGATAGATGACTTTGTGTTTGTACCTTTCTGAATATTGCAGCCTTTTATGAAACGGATGAAAGAAAACAGATTTTTCCTCAAGGGGTTAAGACTTGCAGTGGGGAAAAGTAGAACAACGAGATGTGAGGACAAATATAATTTCATTAGTTGCACCATGATTTCGTGGTAAAGAAAACTAAATGCCCTGCACCCCCAACAAAATGCCCCCCAAACCCTGCAACGCGTAGACGAGCTCAGTCTGGAATAGTTTCAATGACTTGAAACTGGGAGCTCTCAAACTAGCCTGGTAACTGAGACCCCGCCCCGGGCGCCCGGGATAGGCGGAGCCAGGTTTGTTAGCCTGTTGCTAAGGCGATGGCAGGCGCTGATTGGATTGGGCGCGGGCGGGTGGGGAGAGTGAGCTCGCGCCGCGGCTGGGGCGAGGCTAGGAAACCGGCGTGCGCCGGTAAAGGTTCCTCCAGAGCGACCCCCACCCAGCCCGTACTCACGTTTGTTCCCGGGCTTCTGGGGGCGCCCAGCCCGTGTCAACATCATGTTCTGTCGCCCCTCTTTTGGGCCTCCTAAGGGCCATCGAAAGGAAACGACTTCAGGCTTTAACTGAGTAGAGGGCAGACGCTCCTGCCGGCCTTACAGGTGCTGGATGGCCATGGACCCAACTTTAGCAGAAAATCCTTTTCAGATGGAAGTTGGATGGGAAGGGTTGGCAGGACCCCCGTTAGCTATCTTCCGAGTGGGAGGTGTCAGGGGACTCCTGTGAACGCTTGTTTTCCCCTTAGCTGAAACAAAGCTTGTTCCCCGACCTCTCCAGTCGCCACACTGTCTACCTTGAGTTGACCTGAGGGGACAGAGCAAAGGCTGGCCCGAGGAAGAAGGAAAGTGATTCCAATATCGAAATGTTGGGGGAGGGGGGGGCTTCGACGGGTATCCTCTGCCCCCTCCCCCATCGTTTTCCGAAGCCTTCGGGCCCCCGCCTCCCCTTCGCCACCCCAATATCCCTTGCCGAAACTAAAGGTGTCAGAGTGGCCCGAGCCAGATGGAACCGGTCGCCGGCTGGGGCGTGTAAAGCGGAAGCGCCGCGGCTCGCTCGCCCCGCCCCCCGGCCAGCAGGCTAGGTTGCGCGGGCACGGGCGCGAGCGCCGCGCGACGTATGCCGTATGTATAGCGGGGCGCGCGGGCGGCAGCGGCGGCGGCGGCGGCGCGCGGGCAGGCCGGCTGGGATCTGCTCGCGCCGGTTTAGGCCGGTCCTCTCCTGCTCCGGTCTAGTTCTTGATTGACAGCCCGGCACTTGTTTACCACGGCGCGGCCGCCGCCGCTCGCTTCAATGAGACTGCTGAGCTGGCACAAAAAGGGAGCGAAGAGGGAAGAAAGGGAAAGGAAGGCGAACTTCGGGCGCCTTCGAGGGGAGCGAATTTAAATGGCCCCCAGCTCATCAGCTAGTTTTTGGTTCTGAAATCCGTTCAGGGGAATTTGCACAGGGGACGAGGAAAATTGTATGGAGACATAAGCGAATCACCATGATTTTTAAATGAAAGTATCGACGTATACATGCTTTTTTCCCCCTTTTTCTCGTTTAATATCAGGGAGGCATCACGTTTTTTGTGTATATCCAATACTTTGCTGAAGGAAAGTTAAATAATGTGCCAGTTTTTTCTACTCTGGGGGCTAATCGTAAAGGTTTCTACACCAAGAAAACTTTAAAAGATATTTCTGTAATTATTTAAAACGCTAAATAGGCACTTTAATGATCTAGAACCCCCTCCCATATTTTCGATTATATTTATTTTCATGCCACTTGAAAAAAAATAATTTCACCAAAAAAATTGGTTGTAAAATGAAAGGTCATCCCTTTTTTATAGAAACTGGAAACTATTAATAGTTAGACTTCATTTTTTTCAAGGATGTTGGAAAATATTGTTTCCTTATAAGCCGACACCACCTAAATGCGGTTCTTTGTAATTATCTAAGGTATAGTTTATGCAAGTTTTAGTCGTTGCTAGGACCAACTGAGTGTTGTGATCATTTTAGATCAATAAATAATTATTTTTAGTTCAATAAATAATTATTTTTAGTTATAAATCTGACATTAAAATCAATGTGTGGCTTTTTTTTTTTTTTTTTTTACTCCGTCTATTTGACAAGGTTTTCTAGTGGTTTTGGAGTATCTATTCTATTCACATCTGGTATTATTATTCCCTATAAACTGACATATTTTAAGAGGGTTGCATGAACAGTTTTTCTTTGATACATTATAGTCTTAATGTGATAAATTTAAGCAAACCGTTGGAGACAAAGGATAGCATTGTCTTACCATGATGTGAGACCCGAGCCTTTTGAGTATATATACTATTTTATAAACAGATGCTTTGCAGTTTGGGTCATTTTCCATTAGAAAAAATAAAAAGCCTGTGGGGTGTGAGTATTCATTATCCCCATTTTACAGATAAGGCAGCTGACGACAGGATTTTTATTTTGTCCAGAGGAAATGATGAAGTTAGAATTAGAACTCAGATCTCTCAGACTCCAAAGCTTGTTTTGTGGTCTTAATTGTTATGTAAGCATCTTTAAAGTTATGCCACCCTGCGGAGTATGTAAATGTTGAATAATAAATTCTTTGTTTTCTTTTTATGTTTGTTTTAGATGATGATAATTCCGAAGAAGGCTTCCACACTATTCATTCAGGAAGGCATGAATATGCATTCAGCTTCGAGCTTCCACAGACGTAAGTATTATAAATAATAGGCATTTTTATAGATACTTATGATCAGAGCATTATTTTAAAATTAAGTATTCTAAATTTAAACATTTTTAGTTGAAAAAAAAACCCTTTTCATTACTGAAACTTGCTAGAGGAAAACAATATATTAAACATAAGAAGCTATTTTTTAATCTAGCGTGGCAAAATTATAGAAAGCATACTCAATTTTCAGTATTCTTTCCTAAAGTTTATGAGGTTTTTAAAATAGGAATAGGGTTTCCTTTAACATGAGTGAATTGGAAGTTGCTAGTCGAATAATAACCACTTTATACTTAGTTTATTATCAATTATCATTATGAGAAAAGATAGACCCTATCAAGTCTTAGTAGCTTCAATTTATAAAAAATTCTATATTCTACTTTTTCTGCTAATACTAACCAATAGCAGTAAGTTTCGAAAATAAAAATAATTAGGAATATCCTAACTTTAGAAATGTTTTTCTTCTGATATGAACTTAATAGCTTCTGTACAAAGAACTATTGGGAAGGTCACACAAGAGATATGACCCAGGCTTAAAAGGAAACATGCATCAAGGATACATTAATATAAAACTTGGAATCTAGTAAGAAAGGAAAAAGGAAAGTGGTATATTCTTAAAGTAATGACAGATTGTTGGAAGAGATGATACAAACTTTTTAAAAAAAAATGCCTTTTAACAAATATTAAAACCTGCAAAATGGCACTTGTGGTGATTATTCTGGAGAATAAACAGATTACATAAGATTTTGTCAGGTGACAAATGTACATTAATTCTGCATTTGTTAATTCTAGTGCTTGAGATGTTATATATAGAGAGAGAAGTCATAAATGGTATTTTTTAGAAAATTCTATTTACTGTATTATTTGAGAATTTTATTTGGAATATAATGCCCTCATCTAATTTCTGAGAAAAATATTAAAGTCTGTTGATAGAATAAGGCCAATATGGGGCCTGAGTATTTTCAGCGTCATTTAATGTTAAAGTTCTATCCATAAACCAAAGTCATTTAACATAAATTTTGGATAACTATTAGCATACAGTTTAAGATTTTATTTCTCTGCTATACAAGTTAATGTGGGAGTCTAAAATGCAAAAAAAAAAAAAAATTATGAAAACACCAGTGTTTCTTATGCTAATCTAAGCTAGCACTCTTGTAAATAACTGAACATTGAGTATTTTACTAATGAAATTATGAAAAAGATACTGAACTTGCTAAAATAAAACCTTCCACAAGTAAAATCTGACAGAGTTAAAAAAAATTTTTTTTTATTCTCTTGACATAGATCAAGAGGACTATATCTTTTTCTTTTGAAGCCCGTAAAGTTAGAGAACAGCCAAACAAGAATTAGAACATGAGTAAACTGAGAGATACAAAAGTAGTTTTTCAGTAAACTTAGGAAATGTGAAATTTTTGAAACTATAATGACTATTCCAGGCCTTTTCTAGACCTTAGTTAGTTGCTATTAAAAGATGATAATTCCCGGCTAATGAGAAGTGGAGTACTATAGGGAATTTGGTCTGAATGTTTAACCAGTGTCTAGAATTTATCAGTAGAAATAGTTAAACCATTCTCAACTTTGTGTTTGAATTCTTGGCCTTTTCAAAAAATGCCCATTAAACTTTCATGATTTTGCCACCATCATTAAAAGTAGCCTCCTCTTAGTTTAAATGGATTGTATTCTTCTGGCTTTTTAAAGCAAAATTTTAAAGATATTTATTGTTTATTCTTAGTTGGAAATAGGAAGTTTTTTCCCCAGTGACTTATCCCTTTGGAAATTTTTTAAATTATATGTTTGATACCTCATTGGAACATAAACAATACAATATATTAACACTTCTATTCTGACCTACTGTGTAATTGTTAGAAAGAGGTATAAAATTAATATATTGACCTTTATATTCTGCACAGACCACTCGCTACCTCATTCGAAGGCCGACATGGCAGTGTGCGCTATTGGGTGAAAGCCGAATTGCACAGGCCTTGGCTACTACCAGTAAAATTAAAGAAGGAATTTACAGTCTTTGAGCATATAGATATCAACACTCCTTCATTACTGGTAAGAATTGACTGAATTATTTATTCTTTGTTTTTGGCATATAAATATTAAAGAATAATCAATCACCTAAACTATGCAGTTGTCATAATTTAAAAATACTGGTTTTCTTTTAAAATTTCATAAATATACATTTTCTTAAATACAGTCAAGAACACTGAAATTAATGAAAAATATGCTCATATTTTTGACATTGTAGTATACCTTTAAGTAAATATAAAACTAAGACCAGTATATGATATGAAGTATCTCTTACTCAGAGTATGACAGCCATAACAAAAAACAGATCTGGTCCTTGGATGATTTGAGTGGAAGAAGAGCAGTAGTATCTTTTATTATAATACAATATCACTTACTTGACAATATCATAATCTAAAATTTGTACTATACTTTGTTATTCCAATAGAGGGATAGTTGTCAAATAATGGGGAATCATTAGTTTCATTAAAAAACTCCTTTTTTAAAGAAATCTATTTTTAATTGCATTTGTCTGAAAATAATTCAAATTTGACTTAAAACTTTATTTGATTTAAACAAATGGTAACATCTTTAAAGCACATAAGAAATGGGCATTTTCCTTTTTTACATATTGATTTTTTAATAGTCTCAGAGAAAGATGTTAACATTTGGAATTATAATCAGATTGCTTTCTTTGCTGCCTTTTTAAGGCAGTTTAAATGGAATGTGGAAAGGGTTTTTTTTATTTGGTTGGTTTTTGATTACTATATTTGTAAATAGTGTGAGCTAAAAAACTATGTTTATGGGATAGGCTGTAAACCCTTTACCTTTTTTTTCTAATTGAATGGAAATTTATATGAAAATAAAAGTAATGGTATAATTCAAAACCATCGGTTAGTTAAAAAATAAGAAGTATGTCTGGATACAAAAAAAAAGCAAAACCAGTTGTAATTTTTAATTTTCCATAAATTTAGGGTTATATTTTAAAATATTCTGGTATTGATTGTACCAATCCATACACTGACCTTTTTCTCTTAATTTTTTTCTTACAGTCACCCCAAGCAGGCACAAAAGAAAAGACACTCTGTTGCTGGTTCTGTACCTCAGGCCCAATATCCTTAAGTGCCAAAATTGAAAGGAAGGGCTATACCCCAGGTATGTAAGAGGTAGATTCCCACAAAAAACTTTTCTTCACTTAGCTTTTGTGTTTAAATTTATAATATGACTACTAAATATAAACATAATATAGTATTCTTTTGTGAAATAACAAATTGTGCTTATCCATTTGTTTTTTTCACAAAGTAGAATGTAGTTTCCTTTTTCAAATAGCTACTGATTAGTTCATTTCTATGACTCAAGTTATTTGCAGTTCCTGGGACATCTTTTCATGTATGTTAGTTGCACTTTCTTACTTTAGCTTTAAGAATCTTGAC
Organism: Homo sapiens; assembly: GCF_000001405.40. NCBI lineage: Eukaryota > Metazoa > Chordata > Mammalia > Primates > Hominidae > Homo > Homo sapiens. The sequence continues at coordinate 91,375,232 of NC_000005.10, read as the reverse complement.
TTCTTTTGTTGTTTTTTTCTAACAGTAGATATGTATATATTTTTCCCTCTCTAGGTGAATCAATTCAGATATTTGCTGAGATTGAGAACTGCTCTTCCCGAATGGTGGTGCCAAAGGCAGCCATTTACCAAACACAGGCCTTCTATGCCAAAGGGAAAATGAAGGAAGTAAAACAGCTTGTGGCTAACTTGCGTGGGGAATCCTTATCATCTGGAAAGACAGAGACGTGGAATGGCAAGTTGCTGAAAATTCCACCAGTTTCTCCCTCTATCCTCGACTGTAGTATAATCCGCGTGGAATATTCACTAATGGTATGTACACATTTAAGAGGTTTTTTCCTTTCTTTTTTCTTTTTTGAAACACCTGTCACCCAGGCTGGAATGCAGTGGCACAGTCTCAGCTCCGCTACAGCCTCTGCTTTCTGGGCTCCAGTGATCCTCCCACCTCAGCTCCCAAGTAGTTGGGACTACAGGTGTGCCTATAGCCATGCCTGGATAATTTTTGTATTTTTTGTAGTGATGGAGTTTGACCATGTCGCCCAGGTTGGTCTTGAACTCCTGGGCTCAAGTGATCCATCCACCATGGCCTCCCAAAATGTTGGAATTATAGGCATGAGCCACAGTGCCTGGCCCAAGAGGTTTTTGGTGTTTTTTTTTGTTTTGTTTTTAAGTCTTAAAGTTATGACATAGTTTTGTCTTACATCCAGGATTTGATTTTTTTAAATTCCATATATAGTGACATATAAAATACATAACTCTTTATATAGTTTGACTTACAATTATACCTTATATGTAAATGTACTATACAGAATTATACATAAAAGAGAAACTTTTCATGTATGTAAGTTTAAAAATGAAGTAAATGGGGGTTTCAAATAACATTAAAATTGGTTATGAGTTTTTGAAAAGGAAATCATACTTGGCATTCTAAACTTAATATTTCTTTGCAATGTTTAGGTATATGTGGATATTCCTGGAGCTATGGATTTATTTCTTAATTTGCCACTTGTCATCGGTACCATTCCTCTACATCCATTTGGTAGCAGAACCTCAAGTGTAAGCAGTCAGTGTAGCATGAATATGAACTGGCTCAGTTTATCACTTCCTGAAAGACCTGAAGGTAATTTGATAATACACGTCTAAGCTTAATCTCTTACTACTATTATCAAGAAAATTATTTTGCCTCTGATATTTTATGACCCTAGATGAACATAATCTTTTCCTAAAGAAAGTAGATGTGCCCCTAATATTCAGTTTTGATTATATGTCTTCATAGTTTTGATCACCAAACAATAATTATTTTACCTTGACGTTGCTTTTTAATACCTACTATTCTGTGTATTTTGACATGCATAAGAACATGCTGTTCGAATTGCGTGTATCTTTTTCCTTCAGCACCACCCAGCTATGCAGAAGTGGTAACAGAGGAACAAAGGCGGAACAATCTTGCACCAGTGAGTGCTTGTGATGACTTTGAGAGAGCCCTTCAAGGACCACTGTTTGCATATATCCAGGAGTTTCGATTCTTGCCTCCACCTCTTTATTCAGAGGTAAGTACCTACTCCTTAAGTATGAAATGAACTGGCTATCTTGGGAAATAGCATTGCAGGCATTTTTTTTTCTTAATGTTATTAGATCTTGATTATCATGTTAACAGAACAAATAATTTAAAACAACAGATTAAAAGTTAATATTAGGTTCATCAATATTTACTAAGTTTGATGCAGAGGTAGGACTGTTCACTTATTAGGGAATTAAGATAATGATCTAACCTCATGTTGAATTACTAATTTTTTTTTCTCTTAAACTTTTATCTTGAGACACATTTTTTGAAGGAAGAATTTTGTATATCCAAGCATCAATAGGAAGAACTAGCATTTTGCAAACACTGATTAAATAGTAGAATTTATCTTATTCATGATGCTTTTCCAATTGCATATTTTGACATTCTCAGTCATAAGAAATAATGTATTTGTGATAACATCTTAAAACAACATTCCCACATGGTTAGACTATTTTCGTTCATCTCATATTGATGGCAGCTAAGCACTTAAATGTAAATAAAACATGGCCCTTAGGAGAAACCCACAGATTACTGAGGAAAACAAGCTAAGAAGCAAAATATTATGTAATAATGTGATAAAATGCACAGCTCATTTGAGAAGCAGCTTATTAGGTCTTGGGCATCAGGTGGGGCTTCTTGAAAAGGTGACTATTAAGCTGAATTTTGAAGAATGAGTAGTCCTCAAAAGGCAGGAAGAACAGTGTATGTAAAGACAAGGAGTGAGTAGGTGGGGTGTCCAGTAATTTCAGGATATTTCAGAGTGACTTTAGCCACTAGTACACATTTTTAAGGGGTTTTGGAGTTGGTTTTGATACCAAAATAATTCTGTAAATTACTAGAATCAGCTTTTTCTTTTGGTTACTGTAATTTACATAGCTGTTTTACTCTGAAATATTACTCCCAAATTAAACATTAGGGGATTGTTCATCATATTTCTCTTTTTTTTTATTAACACCATAACTGGAAGGGTCAGTTTTCCTTTGGTTGTGATGATATGAGATCTTCTTCATTCATTGATTATAGAATATTCAGAATTATTGATGAGACATAATTTTTTCTATTTATTTTCTAATACATACAATTTCTATTAGATGCTAAAAGTGTTCTGCCACTTGTTACAGATTTTGTCATTACATTTTTACTTGGACATTTCTGTCTTGCTTATTAAGTCAGTCATTTCTGGCTTGATTTGAGGCTTCCTGGCTGTCCAAGGAGGCATTTTAAAAAGAATGACAATCTAAGTATAGTTCACTTTTAAGCAATTTGTGGGAAAATTCTGCCTCCTTTTAAAAAGCACTAAAGATAATTTACAACTTTTAAAACCCTAAAATATGTTCAGGGTGTGATTTAACTAAAAGTTATTTGGCTTTTTTCCTTCAAAAATGTGTTTTACCTAAAGCTTCTGAGGCAATTTGGGTTGTTCCACATTTAGATGCAAGTGGATGGGGTCTCGTCCAAAAGCTCTTTCAGTAAAAAATATATTAAACCCAACAATTTGCTTTTCTATGACCATTCTCTTTGTACTTGAGAAGCAACTTTTCATTAAAAATATGTGCATATAAAAGTCACTCTGAAGATAAAGAAGGTGGGAGGAAACCTCTTGAGTGTTTTGGGTTCAGCAGTTTTATTTCCTGATACACTGCGTTTTTGGCCCTCTGTGGGATTTTACACCCATGAGTTATTACCTCACATAAGCACATTGTTCATGTGAGTAAACAAATTGTTTGCACATTGTATAAACAAAGAGCATTGTTTATACGATTTCATTTTTCCAAAGTCAGAGGAAGCGATGAGTTAACTTTTTTGTAGAAGGATGAAAGGGGTGCTTTACAAAAGAAGATGATTGCTATGAAGATATTCTACGTTGTGTATTTAGGTCTTAATTAAGTACTACTAAAGTACTGAGTAAAAGTCTTCATTCACTGATAAAATTTTACTGTTAATTTTTGTGAAATAGGGGACTATTCAGACATGCCTTTATAAAGCTTGTTAATCTAGTAATTAAATATCAGGTACTGTAGGTACCAACACCCTTTCCTCCCCACATAGCATTTCACGTATGAAAAGAGAATAATTGGATATAATATGCTAACAAGCTGTGTTTGCTCTCTGATTACATTTCTTGACTAGTATTCAGAATTGTAGTCATTTGCTACATTCTTCCTAGACCTCATGAAATAACTCTGTAAACTTTTTTTCTCATTTCTTTCTAGATTGATCCAAATCCTGATCAGTCAGCAGATGATAGACCATCCTGCCCCTCTCGTTGAAGGAACACTTGGTTGAATCAAGTTGATGTGGGTTCCGAACTGTATCTCTTCCGGCTGAGGACAGAGAAGTATCTTGGAGACACGTTTCAGAGGAAGTGGAATTACTTTTGCCCAGAAAAATGGCGAATACATGAAACAACCAGTGATCATGCTTTAGAAGCCTACAGCAACATTCTGAGACTGCTCCAACATGCTTGAAGATCTAAGCTTTTCTCTTTTAAAACTGGCACATACTCAGAGCAGTCTTCTTAGCCTATGGTCGTACGTGTCAAGACATCACGTTGTAAAGAGGGATGATTTCCTTCTTTTGATTTGAAAATTTGCACATGCTCAATGCTTACATTGTGCGGTTCGACGTCACTACAGCTTCTTTTTTTTTTTTTTTTTTTTTCTATTTTTGCCAGACTCTTGATACTCTTAAAACTTGTTTGTGGTCAGCACAACAAGGAACAAAACAAAGCTTTGAAAAAACTTTAACATGAAAAAACGCACTGACATTTTTTTTTATTTAATATAGCCTGGACTTTACCTGCGTATGCACATGCTCAGAATTGTCTACTAGGCTGACTATGTATCACCTCTTCAGCTTGGATCCAATTGTGGATTTATTTACAAACATCAAATGCCTTCAAGCCAATCCTTTTTGCTGTATGTTTTGCAGCCTACTGTAGTAGATACGCAACAGATAATGTGGGAAAAAAAGAGATAAGAGGAGGAAGCTAATAAGAGACTGTCAAGATTGTATACCTTCTTGGTTTCTTTTAAGAATTTGTTGCCTTTCTACTATTACAGCAAAGCAGCATTTTGTTACTGACTGCCTAAAATCACTTAATCTCAGGTGAACGCATCACTTGCCAAACTGTTGGAATGCTATTTGTGTTTTGTTGCACTGTTTTTTTCGTTTGTTTGTTTGTTTATTTGGTTGGCTTTTTGGAGAGGGAAATTTGGAAACGGGACATACACAAAAGTTACACACCCACATTCCCTTTTTATCATGACATACAAGAAGAAACTAGCAGAGCTAAGAATGGAGTGAAGAAAGGCAGTATGGCAGGCACCAGCAAAGAGTTGAGGGCTGTTGCTCTTAAAAATTATTTTTTTTATTATTATTTTGAAAGTATGGAAGTTTTCCATTCACTGGGGAAAGGAGGGAAAAGTGCATTTATTTTTATACAGAGTTACTTAATTACCTCCAAAACACATATGTTGGAAATCGCTTTTGCTGGTGCAAAGTATATTAATGAGCAGGAATACATACATTGAGGTTATGAATAGAGAGCTCAATTTGTACCTTTGCTGTCTTGCTCAAGCTTGGTATGGCATGAAAACTCGACTTTATTCCAAAAGTAACTTCAAAATTTAAAATACTAGAACGTTTGCTGCGATAAATCTTTTGGATTTTTGTGTTTTTCTAATGAGAATACTGTTTTTCATTACCTAAAGAACAATTTGCTAAACATGAGAAATCACTCACTTTGATTATGTATAGATTACATAGGAAGAACAATCACATCAGTAAGTTATAGTTTATATTAAAGGTAATTTTCTGTTGGCTCATAACAAATATACCAGCATTCATGATAGCATTTCAGCATTTTCCAAGGTACCAAGTGTACTTATTTTGTTGTTGTTGTTGTTGTTGTATTTTAGAAGGAATTCAGCTCTGATGTTTTTAAAGAAAACCAGCATCTCTGATGTTGCAACATACGTGTAAAATGGGTGTTACATCTATCCTGCCATTTAACCCCACAGTTAATAAAGTGGCTGAAAATAATAGTAGCTCTGGCTTGGTGCTTGACCTGGTTAAATACTGTCTTAAAGCTCATACAAAACAAATAGGCTTTTCCATAAGTGGCCTTTAAGAAAACATGGAAGACAATTCATGTTTGACAAATGCTGACAGGGTGAAGAAAGCCCAGTGTAAAAATGAATCGCGTTTTAAGTGATTCGGTTAAAGAGTTTGGGCTCCCGTAGCAAACTAATACTAGATAATAAGGAAATGGGGGTGAAATATTTTTTTATTGTTGAATCATTTTGTGAATGTCCCCCTCAAAAAAAGCTAATGGAATATTTGGCATAAAGGGCATTTGGTGGTTTTATTTTTGTTTGAGGGGGATTGTCAGAAAATCCCTTTTCTCTCTTACGTCTAACTGACTAGGGAACAATTGTTGATATGCATAGCATTGGAATACTTGTCATTATATACTCTTACAAATAACACATGAAGCAAGAATGACCAATATTCTGATAATTGGCACTGGATCACAAAATGTGATAAAACTTTAAATGTATAAAACTTTATCAAATAAAGTTTTATTTTCCCCTTTAAAATGTATTTCTTTAGAGGCATTACTTTTTTAAAAATATTGGTCAATTCCTGACATAAGATGTGAGGTTCACAGTTGTATTCCAGTATTCAAGATAGATTCCTGATTTTTCAATTAGGAAAAGTAAAATCCAAAATGTTAGCAAAACAAAGTGCAATATTAAATGTTTGCTTTATAGATTATATTCTATGGCTGTTTGTAATTTCTCTTTTTTTCCTTTTTTATTTGGTGCTGAATATGTCCTTGTAGGCTCTGTTTTAAGAAAACAATATGTGGGAAATGATTTAATTTTTCCTATTGCTCTTCCTTGTGGAAAATAAAGTGTTTTGTTTTTTTCTGTTTTGTATAATTGTTTGGAGATTTATTTGAATCTTGATCATATTAGTAACTCACCATACATGCAAACACATTAAATTAAACTATTAAACTCTATTTTAAGCCATTCTGGGTAAGAATTGTATCTAGGTCTGTACTAAAGAAAATTACTGACCAACTCCTAGGCTAAAGTAGTCCTCCTGTCTCAACCTCCGAAGTAGCTAGGACTACAGGTGCACACCACCACACCCACCTAATTTTCTAATTTTTTTGTAGTCGTGGTCTCACTATGTTACCCAAGCTGATCTCAAACTCGGGCCTCAAGCGATCCTCCCAACTTGGCTTCACAAAGCACTGGGATTACAGGCGTGAGACACCATGTCCAGACTCTAAATTTCAATCTTAAATATGAAGCAAACTTAACCAGGTAAAATAATTCACTTTCAGGCACCAATTCCTTCTCACTGTGTTGTGTTCAAATTACCAGTATTTCAAGAGTACATAAACATAACATAGTTTTTTTTTTTTTTAAGAGAGTGTCTCACTTTGTCACCCAGGCTGCAGTGTAGTGGCAGGATCTCGGCCCACTTCAGCCTTGACTTCCCAGGTTCAAGCAATCCTCCTGCCTCAGACCCCCAAGTAGCTGAGACTACAGGCATGCCCCACCATGCCCAGCTTATTTTTGTGTTTTTTGTGGAGATGAGATTTTGCCATGTTGCCCAGGCTGGTCTCAAACTCCTGGACTCAAGTGATCCACCCTACTTGGCCTCCAAAGTGCTAGGATTACAGGCACAAACCACCACGCCCGGCCTAAAAGTTACATTAATTTCTAATTTTTGAAGAATATTTCTAAATTTCTTTAAATTTTAAAAACAGTGAATATTCTTTGTCTTAAAAGAATCTTAATTTTATAGTGTCTGATAACCTTAGAAGTACTTTTGGAATCACATTTAGAATTTTTCTTCAGTGTTTATACATTAATGCATGAGTTATCAAGTTGTATATGGGCCTTACTATATGATTCTCCAATATTTCTTCCCAAACATATATTCACATGCAAGGTATGTTACAAAGAGGCATCTAGACATACATTTTGGGTTTTTTGTTTTGTTTTTTGAGACAGGGTCTTGCTCTTTTGCCCAGTCTGGAGTACAGTGATAAGATCACAGCTCACTACAGCCTTGACCTCCCAGGCTCAAGAGATCCTCCCACTTCAGCCTCCCCAGTAGCTGGTACTACAAGCATGTGCCACTATGCCTGCTAATTTTTTTAAAATGTTTGTAGAGCTGGTGTCTCTCTATGTTGCCCAGGCTGGTCTCAAATTCCTGGTCTCAAGCAATCCTGCTGGCCTCCCAAAGTGTTGGGATTACAGGCAAGAGCCACAGAGCCTGACATAGACATACAAATATATACATTTTGTATACATTTATAGCTAATTAATTTTAGGAAGTACTGGCATCCTTTTCACTCAACCAGAAGCCAGTGATAACATAGTAACGTCTTAATACATTAAGGAATAACAAGCCAGGCGCATAATTCCAGCACCTCTGGAGGTCGAGGTGGGCAAATCTCCTGAGGTCAGGAGTTCGAGATCAGCCTGGCCAACATGGGAAAATCCCGTCTCTACTAAAAATACAAAAATTAGCTGGTCGTGGTGGCATGTGCCTGTAATCCCAGCTACTCAGAAGGCTGAGGCACAAGAATCACTTGAACCCGGGAGGCAGAGGCTGCAGTGCGCCAAGATCATGCCACTGTACTCCAGCCTGGGTGACAGAGTAAGACTCTGTCTCAAAAAAAAAAAAAAAAAAATTAAGGAATAGCAATGACAGTGTGGAAGAGGGGAGTTGTAGAATGAGAAGGGTAGACCTAGGTTCTGGGTTCAGTAAGTTTAGATGGAGCATTGAACAAAATGCAAGTTGATTTCCTTATCTACAAAGTGGAAAAGTAGCTACCCAAGGTCATTTTCACCACTGGAGGTATGAGCTTATACATCTTTTTTTTTTTTTCAAGACTGGGTCTCTATCCTCCTGCCTCAGCCTCCAGATTAGCTAGCACCAGAGGCATGTGCCACCATGCCCAGCTAGTGTTTTATAGAGACAAGAGTCTTGCTTTGTTGCCCAGGTTGGCCTCAAACTCCTGGCCTCAGGTGATCCTCCCCCTTCAGCCTCCCAAAGCGTTGTTACACATCTTTTAAGTAAGAAGATAATGCTGTAAATAAGTTATATTGGACAGTCACCACATTGCTTCTAGGACTGTATTAGAATACTTATAGACGTTGAGTTCAACGTCCCTCAGGTTACATAAGAGCATTAATTATATTCTGTTTTTGCATTAACTCAACTACACTTTGATCAAAGTCCTATTGCCATTAGTTATAATTTGTTGAATGGCTGAACTTGGTATATTTATCAGGACTTCTGGTTGTAGGATAGCGAGAAATTCAGACTAGCTTAAGAAAAAACTGAATATATTAACTTGTAATTCCAGGAATAAAATATATTAAACACATCTGAATCCAGGAATCCAAATAATGCCCCGAGGACATACTCTTTTAGTGCTTCATCTTACCCTTTTTTATATTGGCCTTATTCTTTCATATTAGCCTTACTTTTTCATGTTAGATGGACCAGGAAAGATGACCCCTTTTATAGTTGAAGGATGACATACCACCTAGAGTCCCAAATCACCTTTTTTTTTTGGAGTCAAGGTCTGGCTCTGTCACCCAGGCTGGAGGAAAATGGTGCGATCTCTGCTCATTGCAACCTCCACCATCTCACAGGCTCAAACCATCCTCCCACCTCAGCCTCCCAAGTAGCTGGGACTACAGGCATGTGCCACCACACCAGCTAATTTTTGTATTTTTGGTAGAGATGGGGTTTTGCCATGTTGCTCAGGCTGGTCCTGAACCCCTGGCCTCAAGCAATCTTCCCTCCTGGCCTCCCAAAGTGTTAAGATTACAGGCATGAGCCACTGCACCTGGTGCCAAAATCACTTCTTAAGAGAGATTGTGATTGGCCAATACCTGGGTCATATTTTATACCACTTAAAATGGGTTTCTCAATAGAAAGAGTTCTGTTTCCAGAAAGGACAAAGTGATTACTACAGTCTTGCTATTTCAAGTGATGTCTAAACCAGCAGCAATGGCATCCCGCAGAAGCTCATTAGAAAAATCGACTATCAAGATCTACCCTAGAACACTGACCCACATGACCCAGGTGACATTTTTGAGATAGAACTTCGTAACTACTGAAATAGTAGGCAGTTATACCTTCAGAATTTTTTTTTTTTTTTTTTTTTTTTTTGAGACAGAGTCTCACTCTGTTGACCAGGCTGGAGTGCAGTGGCACAATCTCGGCTCACTGCAACCTCTGCCTCCTGGGTTCAAGTGATTCTCCTGCCTCAGCCTCCGAGTAGCTGAGATTAGAAGTGCGCAACACCACGCCTGGCTAATTTTTGGATTTTTAGTAGACACAGGTTTTCGCCATGTTGGCCAGGCTGGTTTCAAATTCCTGACCTCAGGTGATCTGCCCACCTCGGCCTCCCAAAGTGCTGGGATTAAAAGCGTGAGCCACTGCGCCCAGCCTTACCTTTGGAATTTTTATGTCAGTAATCAACATTTCTCAAAACTTCCATTACAAAATAATGACATAATTCTACCTCTTCATTTTTTGATATCAAAGTCAATACAGAAGGGAGACAAATGTTTCCAACTAGACAAAAACTTTATTAATATAGTTTATTTTGACTTTTGAGAAATATAATCTGCAATATTTTAACAAAAAATAACAGAAAAATAATGGGGAAATGAAATAAATGAATGAATATGGAAGGATCACTGCAAATCCAAGACAACTAGTGGTTTGAAAATCCAAAGGTATGTCTACCTGGAAATGGAACCAGTATCACTCTATTTGACTGTTAGACAGCATAAAGTTAAACATATAAGGAAAAAAAATTTTTTGAACCACCTTCGCAATACCAACTTAAATATATGATATCAAGATAGTATATCTTGACATAGCAAAAAAGCAATAAAGTTGCTTTGGAATAGTTTCTAGCATTTACATGTCAAAAATATTTATCCTAAGGTAATTCAAGAAAACAAATGTTTACGATGTTTATATTACAAATCTCTAATACAGCATAGCTAATTCTAACTAGAAATGATTTTTTGCTACTTCTGAATTCAAGACCTAGATAAGTTCTCACATCAATTTCCTGTCCAAATAATAATTACTACTTCTGGCATTGGTAGGTCTCTGGGGAAGTTAATAAGACAGTAAGTTAGAACATAACTTTGTACAATTTAGAAGTCTGTTTACTAGTTACATAAAACAGTCTTACCAGTGAATAGAAGGAAATGAGAGATTAAAATGTACTCTCTTAATTTTTTTTTTTTTTTTTTTTGACAGAGTCTCGCTCTGTCACCCAGGCTGGAGTGCAGTGGCGCAATCTTGGCTCACTGCAACCTCTGCCTCCCAGGTTCAAGCAATTCTCCTGCCTCAGCCTCCTGTTAGCTGGGACTACAGGTGCCAGCCACCACGCATGGCTAATTTTTGTATTTTCAGTAGAGACGGGGTTTCACCATGTTGGTCAGGCTGGTCTCGAACTCCTGACCTCAGGTGATCCGTCCACCTCGGCCTCCCAAAGTGCTGGGATTACAGGCATGAGCCACTGTGCCCAGTTTACTCTCTTAATTTTTGACCTTATAAAATGATGTTAATTTCACCAACTCATGGCTGCAGTGGCTCACACCTGTAATCCCAACATTTTAAGAGGCTGAGGAGAAAGGATTGCTTGAGCCCAGGAGTTCAAGACCACCCTGGGCAACACGCAGAAACTCTGTCTCTACCAAAAATACAAAAATTAGCCGGGAACTGTGGTCCCAGCTACCTGGGATTCTGAGGTGGGAGAATCACCTGAGCCCCAGGAGGTGGAGGCTGCAGTGAGCAATGATCATGCCACTGCACTCCAGCCTGGGCAACAAACAAAGTTCACCAACTCATAGATCTAACAGTGATGATAAAACTAATGATAGTCAAAGTATTATGCAGTAATTATTTTAGATAATGTGAATTTTTGCCAAAGGAAAAGCTGTTTGATTCTTATAGAATATAGGAATTTATACTTATTAGGTAATTTTTGTCAAATTAATTTACAACTTAATAAGAGAAAGGCAAATTGTTAGAATAAGCAGTCAGGATCTGGTTTATTTGCTTTTTTTTTTTTTTTTTTTGCTTTTTTTTAGGGAAATTCCACATTTCCACCTTCTAGTGCAAGGCACACTTTTATAATCCAGACAGCTTGACAGGTCTGAATCCCAAAGCATAGTATTAAGATGGTTAGAATAAAAGGAAAATAGCAGGAAACTAAGATAACAGCACACGCATCATGCAAACTAATAGTATGCTGGTAGCCTATAAAAGCATATACAGAACCTACGGCAATAAAATCATACATGCTTTCTTCTCCAGTTTGTCAATTCCAAATACAAAAGCAGAGGAGAAAATGTTATGTTCCCTCTCTTTCACCATTCTTCCTCCCATTTGGAAAGCCAATTCTAGAAAATCTTTTGTGAGGAAAAGCCATAGGAATCCATGCTGTGTAAGGGAAGCCACAGACAAATGCCCCAGGCTGGTGAGCTTTCATGAGTCTTGAGCAAACTGATCAGCAGACTGATCAGGAAAATCCTGATAAATTCTCTCATTGACTTGCTCCCTAGGTTAGTTTCCTGTGGCTGCTATAACAAATAACCACAAAGCTTAGAAAAATAGAAATTTATTCTCCCACAGTTCTGGAGACTAGAGGTTGCAAAAACAAGGTATTGGCAGGACCATAATTCCTCTGAATCCTGTAGGGAAAAAATATTTGCTTGTTTCTCCTAGCTTCCGGTGATGGCTGATGTTATAGTTTGGATGTTCGTCCCCTGCAAATCTCATGCTGAAATGTGTTAGTGTTAGAAGCAGAACCTGACCGGAGGTGTTTGGGTCATGGAGGCAGATCCCTCAAGAATGGCTTGGTGCCTTTCCCAGCGTAATAAGTGAGTTTTCACTCTATTAGTCCATGGGAGATCTGGTTGATAAAAAGAGTCTGGCACCTCCCTCTCCCATCACTTTCTTGCTCCTTCTCTCACCATGCTTGCCATTTGCCTTCCACTATGATTGAAAGCTTCCTGAGGCCCTTATCAGAAACAGATGCTGGTTCCATGCCTTTTGTACAGCCTGCAGAACCATGAGCCAAATAAACCTCTTTTCTTTGTAAATTACCCAGCCTTGGGTATTCCTTTTTTATTTTTTTTTCTTTCTTTACTTTATTTCTTTTTTAAAAATACAGAGTCTGGCTCTGTCGCCCAGGCTGGAGTGCACTGGCACAATCATAGCTCACTCACTGCAGCACTGCAGACTCAATCTCCTGAGCTCAACTGATCCTCCTGCCTCAGCCTTCCAAGTAGCTGAAACTCCAGGTGTGTGCCACCATACCCAGCTATTTTTTTTTTTTTTTTTTTTTTTTAGGAACAGGGTCTCACTATGCTGTTCAGGCAGGCCTTGAACTCCTGCCCTCAAGCAATCCTCTCACCTCGGCCTCCCAGAGTGCTGTGATTACAGTCATGAGCTTCCATTCCCAGCCAACATTCCTTTACAGCAACACAAAGTGGATGGACTAACAGCTGGCAATCCTTGGCATCTCTTGGTTTGTAGATGCATCACTCCAAAATCTGCCTCCACTGTTTTAGGGCCATCTTCTCCCTGTGTATCTCCTTCTCTCCATGTGGCATTCTTCTCCCTGTGTCTCTTTCTTTTTTTAGAATATCAGTCATATTGGATTAAGGGCCTACCCTACTGTAGCATGACTTCGTATCAACTAATCACACCTACAATGACTCTGTTTCCAAATACGGCCACATTCTGAGGTATTAGGGGTTAGGGCTTCAATATTTCTTTTTGGAGGATATAATTCAACCCATAACATTCTCCTTCTCTCCCCAAAATAAAACATGATAACAGTGTAGTACCCATAGGGAAGAGCTTCCTGTTTAGAGTAAATATAGTTAGCTATTCCTAACTTTATAGAGCAGATTCAATCCTGAACTGTAAAATCAATAGAGATTAAAGGAAACTATTTTTTTTCTAGACGCTGGTACTGTGGTGGGTGAGTACTCAAAATGGGAGATAAATAACCTGAGTTCTGTGTCATTAATCATCAGAGAAATGAAAAACAAAACCACAATGAGATTGAATGTGGCTTTTGTTGTGGAAAGAAAAAAAAAACCACAGTGAGATATCATCTCACGTCAGGCAGAAAGGCTATTATTAGAAAGTCAAAAAATAACAGATGCTGGCGAGGTTGCAGAGCCAAGGAAACACTTATACACTGTTGGTGGGAATGTAAATTAGTTCAGCCACTATGGAAAGCAGATCGGAGATTTCTCAAAGAACTGAAAATAGAATTGCCATTCAACCCAACAATCCTATTGCTGCATATATACCCAAAGGGAAAGAAATCACTCTACCAAAAAGACACCTGCACTCACATGTTTATTACAGCACTATTCACAATAGCAAAGACATGGTACCAACTTAGGTGCCCATCAATGGCAAATTGGATAAAGAAAATCTGGTACATCTACACCATGGAATACTGTGCAGCCGTAAAAAAGAATTAAATTGTGTCCTTTGTAGCAACATGAACGCAGTTGGAGGCCTTTATACTAACTGAATTAACACAGAAAGAGAAAAGCGAACACTGCATGTTCTCACTTATAGGTGGGAGTTAAACACTGGGTACAAAGGACATAAAGATAGCAATAACAGACTCTGGGGACTCCAAAAGGTGAGTGCAGGAAGGGTTGAAAAACCACCTATTGGGTGCTATGTTTTCTTTTGGGTAATGAGATCAATAGAAGCCCAAACCTCAGTAACATGCAATGTACTCCTGTAACAAACCTGCACATATACCCCCTGGGTCTAAAATTTAAGAAAGAAAGAAATAAAGAAATGTAAATTCTGGTCCACATCCCCTAAGCGGCCCAATGAACTTGAACAAGTGATTTAAGTTCTCTGGGGGCCCCATTTCCTGTTTCCTAACCTACAAAACAAAAATCTTTTGAGACCCTTCCAGCAATATCTTTCTACTTAGACTGCCTGATATAATGGAGTTAAAATACGATAGCCTTGTATCCAGGCTTTAAGATTTCATATTATTGTAACATTTATAATTTCCCTAGATTTTAACCAATATTGCAGTTTAAAACTTGCACAATTTAACTCCAGTCACCTAATGGACAAGGCACTGGCTTAAAAATAATAATTAATTAATTAAATTTAATTTAAAAGTAAAAAATAATGAATAGAATAAAAAATTAAAATTAAAAAATTAAAAAATGTTAAGACAAAAAATAATAAAAAATTTTAATAAAATAAGTAATAAAAAAGTAAAAAAAGAAACAAAAATAAATTAAAAATTAAAACAAGAACTTACACAATTTCATTTTACTCTAGGAAATAATTTGTGCTACTATGTAGGCCACTACCAAATTTCAAAACAGCTGAAGCTCACCACATTCTTTCAAGGCTAGCCACAAAATTATCCAGTGACCACAGTGTTCTGGGAAGTATACTGAACTAAGAATTAATAATCCTTAGCCAGGTTTGGTGGTTCACGCCTGTAACCCCAGCACTCTGGGAGGCTGAGGTGGTAGGATCGCTTGAGCTCAGGAGTCCGAGACCTGCCTGGGAAACATAGCAAGACCCCAGCTCTATTTTTTTTTTAATAATTTGTTTAATAAATTTTTTTTTATTCTAACTCCCAGTCTTCTTATAGCCAACCAATCACAATGCAAGGCACCCATCAGTAAACTCCCTGGATGTTAGTTTCTTCATTCCTCTCAAGACAAGTGAAAGTTTTCCATGACTTCTGAAATTTCTTCTAGCCAAATATTCTATGTCTTTTCAATGGAAATGAAATTCAGGAGAGATCTTTCTTTTATAATGCCACATACTATGTAATTTGGGGTTGGTTTGGTTATCTCATTATAATTCCACTTAAGGTAACTAAAATATTCCTAATTCCAGCATGAAGATATGTATTTTTGCCTAGTGTTAAGTAATTTTAATGTATAAGCCAAGATATAAATTTAAAAATCTCCAGGAAATTATTAGTAAATAATTATGTATTTACTACTACATAATTATGTATTAGGAAATGTATTTGATTTTTCTTTTTTCTGTTTTTTTTTTTTTTTTTTGAGACAGCGTCTTACTCTGTCACCCAGACTGTAGTGCAGTGTCAGGATTTCAGCTCACTGCAACCTCAGCCTCCTATGTTCATGCAATTCTCCTGCCTCAGCCTCCCAAGTAGCTGGAACTACAGGCATGGCCCACCACACCGGGCTAGTTTTCTGGGATTTTTTTTGTTTTGTTTTTGTTTTTTTTTTTTTTCGAGATGGAGTCTCATTCTATCACCCAGGGAGGAGTGCAGTGGCACGATCTTGGCTCACTGCCACCTCCGCCTCCCGAATTCAAGCGATTCTCCTGCCTCAGCCTCCCGAGTAGCTGGGATTACAGGCACCTACCACCATGCCTGGCTAATTTTTGTGTTTTTAGTAGAGACAGGGTTTCACCATGTTGGCCCGACTGGTCTCGAACTCCTGACCTCAGGTGATCCACCTGCCTCTGCCTCCTGAAGTGCTGGGATTACAGGCGTGAGCCACTGCACCAGGCCAATTTTCTGTATTTTTAGTAGAGAGGATTTCGCCATGTTGGCCAGGCTGGTCTTGAATTCCTGGCCTCAAGTGATTTGCCTGCCTCTGCCTCCCAAAGTGCTGGGATTATAGGTATGAGCCACCACACCTGGCCAGAAATATATTTGATTATACATTATAACTTATGTATGTGTGTGTGTGTGTGTGTGTGTGTGTGTGTGTGTGTGTGTGTGTGTACACAAAGCTTAGGAAACTAATTTGTAGAAAGAGCATTTGAGTCTTAGTTGGTATAAGAGTTGGCTGGTACTCAGGAGCCACTGCAAAGCCACTTGCCTGCTTATTTATGGTAAAGGTACTGCTGACTCTGGCTTACATAATGAAGGGAGGGAAACAGGAAGACCATAAGGTAAGCAGAAACATTCCTTCTAAGGGAGGTTGAATATTTGTCTGTTCACCTTAATGTCATTTACTTCCATGGTAATCTCCAATTTAGTCTTAATGTTAGAGTCTTTCAAGAGGAAAAAGGGATCCTGGGATATTTCTATTTGGGACAATGCTACTCAAGTACAGAATGGAAAAGCTTGGAGAAAATGGTAGCAAAAAGTCTCTGCTAACAATCCCTCTTATTACACAGCACGATTTCTTTCCAAAATGCCCTTGGTTCAGCTCTAATGAAATACAACGTAATAGAGTTTTGTTACCTTAGAGTATAATCTACATGCCTCTTTGACACTTAACTTTCTTGATTCAATAAAGGAGAAAAAAAAGTTCCAATTTAAGGAAAATCGATTAATGCATTAAGTTCTCTAAGGTACTATTCTTTAGCACTGTGAAGCACTAGCTTACAAAATAACATCATAGGAATCAAAAAGCTCTAACCAGGTAGTACTTGGAGCATATATTCTGAAATTAGGGAAAAGTTTGTATGTTTGTCTTTCTTAATCTCCTTTCTAAACCCATGTAAAGTGATTTGGGAAGTGGAAAATGGCACACATATTTTCTTGGTATGTCATATAAATATTGTCCTATCAAGCTCTTACAATATGCCAGGTATTGTGCAAGGTCTCCTTATGTACATTATCTTATTAATCCTTACAACAACTTTCAAAGATTAGTATTTTGTCTATTTTTTTTAGTTGGGGAAACAACGTTCACAAAAAGATTGAGCAACTGTCTCAAATCACACAGCTGTCAAATTAAAACTAATCCACATCCAGGATTGTCGGAATTTAAAGTCCTTGCATTTTACTGTCACACTACACATATCAATTAACCTTTTATCTGACCCAAGGCTTTGTCTTCAGAAATACCCCATTAGCATAAAATTCATGCATCCCACAACAAGACTCCACAAGAACTAGACATCAGAGTGGTAAATATTGCCAGTTGGAGAGAAGAGATTAGAAGACCTGGAATTTCAGGTTCAACTGTGAGCAGCATTGAGCTCCTAAGGGAGGTCCAGATGGGAATAGGAAATTTAAAGGCAGACCACTACACACTGTTTTCACAGAAGTAACTACGGCTGGACTGTCAGCAGCAGCTGCTGGTACAGAGAGAAAGGTCAATGGGAGTGGACCTGCCAAGGGGTGGGAGAGGCCAATGTAAACGCAGGAGAGAGGACCTGATTCCAAAGGGAAAACTAGGTCGCAGCGCAGTGCTCTCCCAGGCTCCTTGCCCACTGGAAATGCCTCAGTGAATGTACCTGGACTGTCTGACGGTCAGATGACGCCTCTGAAAACTGAACTAATTAATCCTTTCATGTGATGGGAGAATCTCTTCAGCTTTTCATTTCTTCAGTGTTATGAATAATAAATAATGCTCAAAACACTTAATTAAACGGAAGTGGAAAAACTGGTTTGACTTCAAAACATCCCTGAAAAAAAAAACAAACAAGCAAATGAAAAAGCAACCCAGCAGTTCACAGCCTGGGCAACATGGCAAAATCCCATCTCTAAATTTAAAATATACGCAGACACACACTTATATATAACATAGTATGTATATATTTTTTTCTTTAAATCCCTAATGCACATTAGGCTTTTTGAATTTTAAACTTCTAACATTCTTTCAATTATCAAGTCAATCAACAAACATTTATTTTACTTAGCACTAAATGCTATGTATAAACTGAGAAAATTAGAACTGGATCCATTATATTTTCAATAGTTTCCTGCTATTACGCCATTAACTATTGCTAGATCCTTCTTGGTGATGGTGATGGTTTCTAAGGTCTTTTCTTACATACATCACTCTTCATATTTTCTCAAAAAGATCATTCATTCCCTCAGCTTAAATTATCAACCCTGTGACGATTTAAACATCTATTGTCATCAGTCCGACTTTCACTCATCTCTTTACCCTTATTATTAACATCATTACAGTTATTTTACTTGGTAAATTCTCCAGTTTCTCAAAATAAATATTTCTAAAATGAACTCCTCATCCTTCCTCATATATCTAACCACATCCCTATACTTTCCCTCCTGGAATTTCTGATTTTTGTTAAAGGAACCACTCTCTTCACCCGTTCACTCCACTGCCTCAATTAGAAAGTCCGTTTTCTGTGAGAACAAGATGGTATTTGGCCCGTTTCCCTCCATTACCATTGCTACTCTCTTGGTCTAGGTTTCTGTCCTGTCACACACTCCTTACTCCCTTCCAACCATTCTAAAAACCCAGAATAAGTGTCAAACTCCTCCATGAAGTTTTTTTGATCAGCCGGCCACTGGTGACTCATGCCTATAATCTCAGCACTTTGGGAGGTAGAGGCAGGAGGATCACTTGAGCCTGGTTCAAAACCAGCCTGGGGCCGGGCGCAGTGGCTCATGCCCGAAATCCCAGTACTTTGGGAGGCCAAGGCCAGCAGATCACTTGAGGTCAGGAGTTCGAGACCAGACTGGCCAACATGGTGAAACCCTGCCTCTACTAAAAATACAAATATTAGCTGGGCATGGTGGCATGCACCTGTAATCCCAGCTACTCAGGAGGCTGAGGCAGGAGAATTACTTGAACCCAGGAGGCAGAGGTTGCAGTGAGCCAAGATCATGCCACTGCACTCCAGTCTGGGTGATGGAGCGAGACACTGTGTTAAAAAACAAAATAAAATGAAAAAATACAGCCTGGGTAACAAAGCAAGACCCCATCTCAATAAATAAATACATAAAAGTTTCCTGGCCCCTTCCAACCCTTATTGATTCCTGTCACTCTGGAGTGCCCTCAGCATTCACTCTACCTCACAGCATTTGTTCTTATTTACAACCTATTGGTCTTACCTCCCCAAAAAGACAATAAGCTCCTGAAAACAGGAACTATATTAGTTACTTCTTTTGTACTTCTTCCCACCCAACCCTTCAGCTCTCACAATGCATGGATCAAGCTGAGTACAAAACAGATGCTCAAAAAATACTTGGGCAATGATTAAGACAGATGCTCAAAAAATACTTGGGCAGTAACTTCGGTTACTGATATCAACTGAATTATGTCCCCCCGAGATTTATATATTGAAGCCTTAACCCACAATGTGATTGTATCTGGAGAGAGAATCTTTAGGAGATAATTACAGTTAAATGAGTTCATAGGGTAAGGCCCTAATCTGATAGGACTATGGCTTTATTAAAAAGAGGAAGAGAGGCTGGGCACAGTGGCTCACGCCTGTAATCCCAGCACTTTAGGCAGGCCAAGGCAGGTGGATCACCTGATGTCAGGAGTTTGAGACCAGCTTGGCCAACATGGTGAAACCCTGTCTCTACTAAAAATACAAAAATATTAGCCGGATGTGGTGGCACATGCCTGTAATCCCTGCTACTCAGGAGGCTGGGGCAGGAGAATTGCTTGAACCCAGGAGGCAGAGGTTGCAGTGAGCTGAGATAGTGCCACTGCACTCTAGCCTGGGTGACAGAGTGAGACTCAATCTCAAAAAAAAAAAAAAAAAAAAAAAAAGAGGAAGAAAGAGAAGGAAATCTGGCCTCTCTGTCACGTGAGGACACACCAAGAAAGTGGCAGTCTGCAAGGCAGGAAGAGGGCCCTCACTGGGGAACTGAGTCAGCCTGCACCGTTTTTTGTTTTGTTTTGTTTGTTTGTTTTAAGGTATATAAACTATTAACAGACAAGGCCTACAGACTTATTTCTTCTTGGACACACCCACAGTACAGCCACGGTAACAAGTGGTCTTAGTGTACTGGCCTCGGACATGAAGGCCCCAGAAGTGGCACAGCCCTCTTTGGGCCCAAATCTTCTTGGGTCACTCCAGGTCTTCATGGAGCTTGTTGTCCAGACCATTGGCTAGGGCCTGGCTATATTTTCCATCCTTTACATCCTTCTGTCTGTTCAAGAACCAGCCTGGGATCTTGTACTGGTGTGGATTCTGCATCATGGTGATCACACATTCTACCTCATCCTCAGTGAGTTCTCCCACCCTGCTGGTGAGGTCGATGTCTGCTTTCCTCAACACCACATGAGCATATCTTTGACCCACACCCTTAATGGCAGTGATGGCAAAGGTTATTTTACACCACTCATCAATGTTGGTTTTGAATACTCTCAAAATACGCTGGAACTTTTCAGGGATCACTAGAGACATGGCAGCAGCACAGTGGCAGCACGTAGGCCTCCTGTGGAAACAGCCTGCACCTTGATCTAGAACTTCCCAGCCTCCAGAACTGGAAGAAAATAAATTCATGTTGCTTAAGCCAACTAGTCTATGGTGTTTTGTAATGACAGCCCAAGCTGATAAAGACAAGAAAGTGGGGATGCTGGTGTTACCAGTGCTGCTTATCTTCTCCTTTTACTATTAAAATTTCACCTTTGGCCAGGCGTGGTGGCTCACACCTGTCATCCCAGCACTTTGGGAGGCTGAGGCAAGTGGATCACTTGAGGTCAGGAGTTCGAGACCAGCCTGACCAACATGGTGAAACCCCATCTCTACTAAAAATAAAAAGTTAGTTGGGCATGATGGTGCACACCTGTAATCCCAGCTACTCGGGAGGTTGAGGCAGGAGAATCGCTTGAACCCAGGAGGCAGAGGTTGTGATGAACCAAGATTGCACCATTGCACTCCAGCCTGCACAGCAAGAACAAAACTCCATCTCAAAAAAAAAAAATCATCCTTGTGAAGAAAAGGGAAGGGCAACCCTAAAAGTATTTGTTTCTGTACGTGAAATAGCAACTGAGAGGATTATCAAAATTAATGAAGGTTCTTCCTGATTGCATAAGTTCTAACATAGGTGTCTCTGTCCAACTTTGTACCCCTCCTTCATGGTAATAGTGTTCCCTACTCCACAACTTTTAGCCTTGAGGTATGTATGAGCTAATAAACAGTGAGCCTTGGTTAGCTTAATCTTATCACCTTGGCCACCATGAATAGTTTGAGGATGGGCAAATGACCCAATACTCGCCAGAGGGATACAAGAATAATTTGGGGAGGATTTCTGGGAAATTTTCTTGCTCTTGCCAAACAGTTGTCAGGACAGATGTTCTCTCTTCCTCTGGAAATCGTTGTATGTCAAGTTACCTCAGCTGTTATTTACTGTGAAAAAAGCCAGGATATAAATGAAGCAGACACAGACAGGAGCAGAGTTGAGAGACTCAAAATAGAAGTCAAGCTGGAGCCCTGATCTGATTATACCTGAAACCTGACTGCCTCTTGCACTTTTTAGCTTTGTGAGCTAATAAATTTCCTTCATTGCGGAAGCCACTTTGAGTCTGGCCTTTAATTACTTGCAGCCAGAAACATCCTTCTGATAGAAGGGAAGGCTAAGCCCATCACAACGAGATAATTATTATTCACAGGAGAACACTCAGACCTTGTCACTCTTTGTATCTGCACCTGACCCAATTCGACCCCAAATGCCTTCTTTGTAAAGACATTTGTACGTCCTCTCAAGTATTATGTCTCTGCTAATTGCTAGTCCATCTCATAGCCTGAGGCACTTTACTCTGGAGCACATTAAACTGGAACGTACATTAATTTATCCTCTCGGATCAACAAACTAAGGTCTCTGATAGACTAAATGGAACAACAGGATGAACATTTGAGGAGACACTGCAAGGGAGTATATGTAAGAAGATCAAAACTCCACTAAAAGGAGTTGAGAAATGATTGTAAGATCACTGAAAAAAAAGGCCTTAGAAGCAGAATGGGAGCTCACAATGTAATAAATGGAAGCCAATTACAAATGACAGGAGGCCGAGGGGGATATATTTTTGTTATAGTTGGAATAATACACTTTAGCTAAACGCTTGTTGACCCAAGGGTCAGAAGGTGTTTGTTTGTTTTCTTCTGTGTGTATGTATGGTTTTTTGTTTGTTTGTTTGTTTGTTTGTTTGAGACAGAGTCTTGCTCTCTCACCAAGGCTGGAGGACAGTGGCATTATCTCGGCTCACTGCTACCTCCACCTCCTGGGTTCAAGCAATTCTCCTGTCTCAGCTTCCTGAGTAGCTGGGACTACAGGTGCCTGCCACCATGCCCGGCTAATTTTTGTATTTTTAGTGGAGACAGGGTTTCAACATATTGGTCAGGCTGGTCTCAAACTCCTGACCTCAGGTGATCTGCCCACCTTGGCCTGCCAAAGTGCTGAGATTACAGGTGTGAGCCACCGCGCCTGGCCATATGTGTGTGTTTTTAAATAAATTTTGAACACAAACAGAGAAAAGAGAATGGGTGGTGCAGGTTTTTGGGAAAGAGCGGATTTTAGTTGAAAAAGCAGAGGAAGCCCCAGACATTGCACAGTTTAGGCTTTAACCCTGTCCAAGAGGGCCATTAGTGCCTCAGATCTACTCAGTGCAGACCCTAAAGTCCTTCCCACCCCCATGAGCCACCTGTCAGGGTGTACTGAGAAATCAGCGAGGGGGAGCAGAGTCACTTAAGGCCAAGAGGAATTGTCCTGGGGATTGGTTAGTAGGCAGAAGAGAGAGAGAGAAAAAGAAGAAAATCCGCACATGGGGGTCGGATGCCTCCAGGTGAAGAAGGCGAGGCATAGAGATCTCTTAACCACTTTTTATGTAAGGAGGATGTTTCTGGCTGCAAGCAACTGAAGGCAAGACTCAAAGTGGCTTAGGCAAGAAGGAAATGTACTAGATCACAACGCTAAAATGTGCCAGAGTCACATGGCATCAAATATGTTACCAGTGGTAGTTATCCATATGGATCTGCAGCAACCTCAATTCTTGCCTCCTCAGAAGAAAGAATTTGACTAAGGAGCATAAGGCAGAAGGAGACCAAGGTAAGTTTCGGAGCAGGAATGAAAGTTTATTAAAATCTTTAGAGCAGTAATGAAAGGAAGGAAAGTACACTTGGAAGAAGGCCAAGCAGACGACTTGCAAGACCAAGTGCACCTGTTTGTTTTGTTTTGTTACAGATAAGATCTTCCTATGTTGCCCAGGTTAGAATGCAGTGGCTATTCACAGGCATGATCATAGTGCACTACAGCCTCGAATTCCTAGGTTAGAGCAATCCTCCTGCCTCAGCCTCCTGAGTAGCTGGGGGGACTACAGAGAAGTTTAATTTAAAAAACAAATCATTTTGAGTAGGAAAATCCAAAGAGGATCTAATTACTGCAGATTAATGAAGATCTATGAGGAAAAAGTTTAAAACTGGGATGATGTAGCCCAGAGGTCACCAACTTAAGTGCCTTCAATGACGAGATAGGTTCTGTCTAAGTGAATTGTGTGCAGGGGGTAGAACAGGGGATTTGGGCTCTGTCCAATGTACACAGGGGCTACTCAGCTCCAGCTGATTGGTGCCCTCTGGAAACATCAGCTTGTGTTACTGGATTTTCCAACTTTTTTCAAAAGCTGGAAATGTGTGTGTGTGTGTGTGTGTGTGTGTGTGTGTGTGTGTGTGTGTGTGTTGAGAAAGAGAGAGAGAGAGATCAGAAAAAAAAAATCATTTTCAGGACAGAAAAGGAAAGAAGAAAAAAGGAAGTCAGTGAGCCAATGAGCCATGTTCTCAGAATTTTCCTTTAGTGAAGTCATCCTAAAGGAGCCTGAGGATCAGACGGATCACCAGGGCATCATTTTCCACCTATGGTCACTTCTCCTCTTCACCCAACACCTGGAGAACACCCCATGGGGGCACGTGGAATTAACAGACAATGACCAGCCCTACCTTCAGTATGCAAAGGAAAATCATCTGAGGATTTTGTCAAATGCAGTTTCTTACTCAAGCCGGTCTGGGTGAAGCCTGAGATTAGCATTGTCCAAGCAGCTCCCAGACATGATGCTGCTGGTTCACAATTTGAGCAGCAAGATTTTAGAGCATATTTTTCAAACTTTTTTGACCACCACTGCATTTTACTTGGCAAGCTAGAATACATATACAAATGTACACATATAATTGAAACAAAAATTTCAAAAGATGAAACTTATTTCATTACCTGGGTGTACCCTGATGTTTTTTATTCAGTCCCACTATTGTACCCCATTCTATGATGTTATATTTTATTTTGTAAATGTTGGTCATGACTCACTAAATAGATGTTATGGCCCATTAATAGCTTATGATATAGACAAGCCTGGACAACATGGCAAAATCCTGTTTCTACCAAAAATTCAAAAATTAGCTGGCTGTGGCGGCCTGCACCTGTAATCCCAGCTACTCGGGAGGCTGAGGCATGAGAATCACTTAAACCAGGGAGACAGAGGTTGCAGTGAGTCAAGATCGCATCACTGCACTCCAGCCTGTGCAACAAAGTGAGACTCTGTCTCCAAAAAAAAAAAAAAAAACACTTCTATTAAATTTATATTCAAACCCTTTATATTACTTTTTATCATTTAATTATTTAATTTAATTTAATTTTTTCTTTAGAGATAGGGTCTCTCTCTGTTCCCTAAGACTGGAGTGCAATAGTGTGATCATGGCTCACTACAGCTTCAACCTCCTGGGCTCCAGCAGATTAATTAAGATCTGTGAGAAAAAATTTAAAACTGGGATGATGTAGCCCAGAGGTCATCAACTTAAGTGCTTCAGTGACAAGGCAGGTTCTGTCTAAGTGAATTGTGACGATTCTCCCATCTCAGACTCCTGAGTAGCTCGGACCACAGGCACATACCCCCATGCCTGGCTAATTTTTTTTATTTTTTGTAGAGAGGGGTCTCCCTATGTTGCCCAGGCTGGTCTTGACTTTGGCGTCAATCAGTCCTCCTACCTCAGCTTCTCAAATTCTGCAATTACATATGTGAGCCACGAACCCAGCCCACTTTTTTTTTTGATGTGAATGTCTTTCCATGTCTTCAGAGGACAGAGAGAAAAAGAAGAAAGATCTTGTAAACATTGCCTGAGAAACATAGACCATCAGAGATTATAATAACAGCTAACAGGGGCCGAGTACTTACTAACTGCCAGGTGTCTTAGTTCATTTGTGCTGCTATAACAGAACACCACAGAATGGGTAATTTTTGAAGAACAAAAGTTTAATTTTGAAGTTCAGGAAGTTCAAGATCAAGGTGTTGGCAGGTGCAGTTGTCTGGTGAGGGCTGCTTTCTGTTTCCAAGATGGCACCTTGTTGCCATATCCTTCAGAGGAGCACCATGTCCTCACATAGTATGAGGTGAAAGGACAAGCAAACTTCAAAAGACAAGAAAACACTGTGTGAAGCCTCCCTTAAAAGAGCCTAATTGCATTCAGGAGGGAGAAGCCCTTGTGACATAATCACCCTTTAAAGGCCCTACCTCTTAATACGATGACATTGCTCATTAAGTTTCAACACCTGAAATTTTCAGGGGACAAATTCAAACTATAATACCAGGAGTATGGTTAAGCACATTTGCTCCAGGACCAGAACATGGGTTAAGTGTGTAGCTTCCAGAGGCAGATTGTCAGGGTTGTAACCACAGTTTAGCCAGTTACAAACTTGAAACCTTGGACAAGTTACTAAACCTGTCTGTGCCACAGCTTTTTTATCTGTAAAACTAAGATAATAACATAGACTGGTGTGGCAGCGCACATCTGTAGTCCAATTACTGGGGGGACTGAGGCAGGAGGATCATTTGAGCCAAGCAGTTTGATATGGTTTGACTGTGTCCCCACTCAAATCTCATCTTGAATTCCCATGTGCTGTGGGAGGAACCCAGTGGGAGTTGATTGAATCATGGGAGCAGGTCTTTTCTGTGCTGTTCTCCTGATAGTGAATAAGTCTCATGAAATCTGATGCTTTTAAAAATGAGTTTCCCTGCACAAGCTCTCTCTCCACCTGCCACCATCCAGGGAAGATGGGACTTGCTCCTCCTTGCCTTCTGCCATGATTGTGACGGCTCCCCAGCCATGTGGAACTGTAAGTCCGTTAAACCTTTTTTGCTGTATAAATTACCCAGTCTTTGGTATGTCTTTATCAGCAGTGTGAAAATGAACTAATACAGTAAATTGGTACGAGTAGAGTGGTGTGCTGCTGAAAAGATACCCAAAAATGTGGAAGCTATTTTGGAACTGGGTAACAGGCAGAGGTTGAAACAGTTTGGAGGGCTCAGAAGACAGGAAAACATGGGAAAGTTTGGAACTTCTTAGAGACTAGTTGAATGGCTTTGTCCAAAATGCTGATAGAATATGGACAATAAAGTCCAGGCTGAGGTAGTCTCAGATGGAGATGAGGAACTTGTTGGGAACTGGAGCAAAAGTGACTCGTTATGTTTTAGCAAAAAGGCTGGTGGCATTTTGCCCCTGCCCTAGAGATTTGTGGAACTTTTAACTTGAAAGAAATGATTTAGGGTATCTGGCAGAAGAAATTTCTAAGCAGCAAAGCATTCCAGAGGTGACTTGGGTGCTGTTAAAGGTATTCAGTTTTATAAGGGAAGCAGAGCATAAAAGTCTGGAAAATTTGCAGTCCGACAATGTGATAGAAAAGAAAATTCCATTTTCTGAGGAGAAATTCAAGCTGGCTGCAGAAATGTGCATAAGTAACAAGGAGCTGAATATTAATCCCCAAGACAATGGGGAAAACATCTCCAAGGCATGTCAGAGGTCTTCACGGCAGCCCCTCCCATCATAAACCCAAAGGCCTAGGAGGAAAAAGTGGTTTTGTGGGCCAGGCCCAGGGTCCTTGTGCTGTGTGCAGCTTAGGGACTTGGTGCCCTGCATCCCAGCTGCTCCAGCCATGGCTGAAAGGGGCCAACATAGAGCTCGGGCTGTGGCTTCAGAAGGTGCAAGCCCCAAGCCTTGGCAGCTTCCATGTGGTGTTGAGCCTGCAAGTGCACAGAAGTCACAAATTGGGGTTTGGGAACCTCCACCTAGATTGCAGATGATGTATGGAAATGCCCGGATGACCAGGCAGAAGTTTGCTGCAGGGGCAGGGCCTTCATGGAGAACCTCTGCTAGGGCAGTGCAGAAGAAAAATGTAGGGTCAGAGCCCACACACAGAGTACCCACTAGAGCACTGCCTAGTGGAGCTGTGAGAAGAAGGCCACCATCCTCCAGACTCCAGAATGGTAGGTCCACCAACAGCTTGCACTGTGTACCTGGAAAAGCCACAGGCACTCATTGCCAGCCTGTGAAAGCAGCCAGGAGGGAGGCTATCCCCTGCAAAGTCACAGGGGCGAAGCTGTCCAAGACCTTGGGAACCTACCTCTTGCCTCAGCGTGACCCGGATGTGAGACATGGAGTCAAAGGAGATCATTTTGGAGCTTTAAGATTTGACTGCCCTGCTGGATTTCAGACTGCATGGGGCCTGTAGCCCCTTTGCTTTGGCCAATTTCTCCCATTTGGAACAGCTGTATTTACCCCATGCCTGTACCCCGATTGTACCTAGGAAGTAACTAACTTGCTTTTGATTTTACAGGCTTATAGGCAGAAGAGACTTGCTTTGTCTCAGATGAGACTTTGAACTCTGGACTTTTGAGTTAATACTGAAATGACTTAAGACTTTGGGGGACT
Source organism: Homo sapiens (assembly GCF_000001405.40). Lineage (NCBI taxonomy): Eukaryota > Metazoa > Chordata > Mammalia > Primates > Hominidae > Homo > Homo sapiens. Next base: position 91,347,197 of record NC_000005.10, on the reverse strand, counting down.
ATTGGGAAGACATGATTGGTTTTGAAATATGAGGAAAAGAGATTTGGGAGGGGCCAGGGGTGGAATGATCTGGTTTAGCTGTGTTCCCACCTAAATCTCATCTTGAATTCCCATGTGTTGTGGGAGGAACCCAGTGGGAGGTGATTGAATCATAGGGACAGGTCTTTCCGGTGCTGTTCTTATGATAGTGAATAAGTCTCATGAGATCCGATGGTTTTAAACATGGGAGTTTCCCTGCAAAAGCTCTCTCTTTGCCTGCTGCCATCCACGAAAGCTGTGATTTGCTCCTTCTCGCCTTCTACCGTGATTGGGAGGCCTCCTCAGCCATGTGGAACTGTCAGTTCATTAAACCCTTTTTCCTGGCTGGGCGCGGTGGCTCACGCCTGTAACCCCAGCACTTTGGGAGGCTGAGGTGGGCGAATCACAAGGTCAGGAGATCAAGACCATCCTGGCCAACATGGTGAAACCCCGTCTCTACTAAAAATACAAAAAAATCAGGTGGGTGTGGTGGCGCGTGCCTGTAATCCCGGCTACTGGGGAGGCTGAGGCAGGAGAATCACTTGAACCCAGGAGGTGGAGATTGCAGTGAGCCGAGATCGCACCACTGCACTCCAGCCTGGTGACAGAGCAAGACTCCCTCTCAAAACAAACAAACAAATAAACTAAACTTTTTCTTGTATAAATTACTCAGTCTCAGTTATATCTTCATCAGCAGCATGAAAACGGACTGATACAGAGTTCAAAGCTTCAATGCCCTATGATTGTGCCTGTGAGTAACCACTGCACTGCAGCCTGGGCAACATAGTGAGACCTCATCTCTAAAAAAGAAAAACAACAACAATAATACACACACAGTCAATGGGGCTTTTGTAAGGATTTCAGTACATGTAAAGCTGTATGTGTAAAGGACAATGTATTGCACACAGCAAGTGCCATGATCATCATTACTAAGTATTTCACAGGAGTTATAGCATTTAGTTTTCTAATAATCCTATAAGATAGTATAGCAAAATGATTGCGTGGCCCAGTTTACAATTATCACTTATATGCTGACAGAATTTCTATTTTATTCAATGCATCCGTCCCTCAAAGGTGACTTGAATCCTGGTTAAACAGGCAACCAAGGCCGGGCACAGTGGCTCCCGCCTGAAATCCCAGCACTTTGGGAGGCTGATGCGGGTGGATGACGAGGTCAAGAGATCGAGACCATCCTGGCCGACATGGTGAAACCCCCCATCTCTACTAAAAATACAAAAATTAGCTGGGCACTGTGGCGTGTGCCTGTAGTCCCAGCTACTTGGGAGGCTGAGGCAGGAGAACTGCTTGAACCTAGGAGGCGGAGGTTGCAGTGAGCCGAGATTGTGCCACTGCACCACTCCACCCTGGTGACAAAGACTCTGTCTCAAAAAAAAAAAAAAAAAAAAGAAAAAGAAAAAGGAAAAAAGGGCAATCAAATAAACCCTCTCCCCTTGCCAGTGACTGCTTAAGGAAGAGGACATGAATCGGTTCTGGCCAGTGAACCATGAGACATCTGGGAAATGTTCCCTCTCGCTTAAAGTAAAATGAAAGAAACAGCATATCTTCTTGCACTGGATGTTGTTCTGTCTGCATGTGATGCCAGAAATGGTAGCACACATTTGAAAACCATGAGGGAGGCCAGTAGAGAACAAAGTGAAAGGCATGCTCATGGATGCGGGTAAGTATGGTTATCATCTTCACTACAGATGGGAAGGTAAGGCCTAAACAAGCATAGGAAATTTCCAAAAGTCACACTCAGGGAGTTGCCTATTCTTTATCCACTATACTATGATAGCTACATTTTTATTTATTTATTATTTATTTATTTGAAATGGAGTCTTGCTCTGTCACCCAGGCTGGAGTGCAGCGGTGCGATCTCGGTTCTTTGCAACCTCGGCCTCCCGGGTTCAAGTGATTCTCCTTCCTCAGCCTCCTGAGTAAGGGGGATTACAGGTGCCTGCCACCACGCCTGGCTAATTTTCTTTTTTTTTTTTTGTATCTTTAGTAGAGATGGGATTTCACCATGTTGGCCAGGCTGGTCTCAAACTCCTGATCTCAAGTGGTCCACCTGCCTTAGCCTCCCAAAGTGTAGGGATTACAGGCATGAGCCACCATGCCCGACTAATAGCCACATTTTTAAAGAACACATAGTCACCTTCTAAAATGCCCTGAGGATATGAAGTAATGGATATGGAAAACATTCCAGGATCAGTTGTCCATCTCAAGACCTTTAAGGCCAGTAAAAATAGTTATTTATTGGAGGTAGACAGGTTGTGGACCTGTTAGCACGTACAGCATTTATGTATTTAATTTGTGCTGACTGGGCACGGTGTCTCACACTTGTAATCCCAGCACTTTGGGAGGCCAAGGTGGGTGGATCCCCTGAGGTTGGGAGTTCGAGACCAGCCTGGCCAACATAGCAAAACCCCATCTGTACTAAAAATACAAAAATTAGCTGGGCATGGTGGTGGGTACCTGTAATCCCAGCTACTCAGGAGGCTTAGGCAGGGAGAATTGCTTGAACCAGGGAGGCCGAAGTTGCAGTGAGCTGAGATCCCACTACTGCCCTCTAGCCTGGGCGACAGAGCAAGATTCCATCTCAAAAAAAAGAAAAAGAAAAAAAAGGTCCTACAAGAAAAGTCTGAAACAATATAGAAAATCCTGTGTTCCCACGCTGAAGTGCTTAGAGTCGAAGAAAGAAGCCTATCAAAGATTATACTTATACATTCAGAATGCAGTGCATTCTCACCAGGTGCAGTGGCTCACACCTGTAATCCCAATACTTTAGGATGTCGAGGTGGGAGGATCGCTTGAGGCCAGGAGCTCAAAGCTGCAGTCAGCTATGATGGCACCACTGCACTCCAGCCTGGGCAACAAAGCAAGACTCTGTCTCCACACCTACAAAAATTTTTTTGGACTACAGTGCTTTAAATTGAAAACAATAAATATTTTAAACTCCACTGATCTGCAAATAATGACTTGGAAACTAAATCACAGATCGTTCAGATGAACATGTCTATAGAAGGGAAAGGATAAAATCCAAGAGAACTTTTCCTGCCATGAGGCCTTTGAGAATGGCTGCCAGACTGACAGTTTATGGGTTGTACTGACTGTCGGTTGGGAAGAGAGCTGGGGCTTAGGGATGAAAGCAGAGGGGCAGGGACAAGAAAAAGTTTTACATTCTATAACAATACTAGCAGATCTGCTTCCAGTAAGACCAAAGATACTAAAATCCTTACACTGATTTAATTTTCCCCTTTTTAAAACAAGTTATGACTATTTAAAAAAACTAATTTAGGGTCAGATTTCTTTCCCAATGTGATCTCAGCAGCTAGTCAAATTTAGAGATTTTCAGATGGTAATTTATTCAACACAATTTTTTGCCAGTTTTAAGTAATGAAGTCTTAAATGGAGCCTCTAATACCCTTAAACCTAAATTATTTTTTGTGTGATTCTGAAATATTCAGACCCTATGATCAAGAAGAGGAAAAAACAACTATCAGCCAAAACTCTTCTAAGTTACCCTCTGCATCTGCTTTTGCAATGTGCCTGATTTCTCTTAAGGAAATATTATGTAAATAATCAGGAGTACATCTCGGTCATTCTGGGATATCATGCCAGAGTTGAAAGAAGAAGACCTTGAGAAATATCTTCTTATAAATGTTGAGGCCAAAATGGGGTTTATTTTGGTATTTTTTTTCCTGTAATAACGTAAGGCTTGTAGAACACCTAGTTTGACGTAATGAAACATAAGATTAAATAAACGGCACTCAGTGCTCAATGTTGCCCAGGCTGGAATGCAGTGGCGTGATCTCAGATCGCTACAACCTCCACCTCCCAGCCGCCTGCCTTGGCCTCCCAAAGTGCCCAGATTGCAGCCTCTGCCCGGCCGCCACCGCATATAGGAAGTGAGGAGCGTCTCTGCCTGGCCACCCATCATCTGGGATGTGGGGAGCGCCTCTGCCCCGCCGCCCCGTCTGAGATGTGAAGAGTGCCTCTGCCCGGCTGCGACCCCGTCTGGGAACTGAGGAGTGTCTCTGCCCCACCGCCACCCTGTCTGGGAGGTGAGGAGCGTCTCTGACCGGCCGCCCCGTCTGGGAAGTGAGGAGCGTCTCCGCCCGGCAGCCGCCCCGTCCGGGAGGTGGGGGGCGCCTCTGCCCGGCCGCCGCCCCGTCTGGGAGGTGTACCCAAACAGCTCATTGAGAAGGGGCCATGATGACAATGGCGGTTTTGTCGAATAGAAAAGGGGGAAATGTAGGGAAAAGAAAGAGAGAAAATAAATAAATAAATAAATGGACAAAACCCCCTTTTCAATTCAGCTTCTTTTTTCCTTATTACCCATATAAACCTTAATTTTATTATAGAATGCTTCCAAAAACATTCTTGTTGTCTTAATTTTCATCTCAATTATTTTCAGAGAAGCCATTCTAGAAATTTTAATTGTTAACATTTATCTAATTTTTTTTTTTAAGAGGAAAAAAAATCTCTCTTGGCCGGACATGGTGGCTCACACCTATAATCTCAGCACTTTGGGAGGCCAAGGCGGGCGGATCACTTGAGGTCAGGAGTTCAAGACCAGCTTGGGCAACATGGTGAAACCCCGTTTCTACGAACAAATACAAATATTAGCCAGGTATGGTGGCACATGCCTGTATTCCCAGCTACCTGGGAGGCTCAGGCAGGAGAATCTGGTAGTTAGACGTTGCAGTAAGCCAAGATCATGCAACTGCACTCCAGCCTGGGTGACAGAGTGAGACCTTGTCTCAAATAAATAAATAAATACATATTAGCCAGGCATGGTGGTAACCATCTGTAATCACAGCTACTTGTGGTGGGAGAATCACTTGAGCCCGGGAGGTGGAGGCTGTAGTGAGCTGAGATCAGGCCACTGCACTCCAGCCTGGGTGACAGAGCGAGACTCTGTCTTAGAAAGAGAGAGGGAGAGAGAGAGAGAGAGAGAGATCGTTTCTCGCTCTGTCATCCAGGTTGAAGTTCAGTGGTGTGTTCATAGCTCATTGTAACTTGGCAGTCCTGGCTGAAGCTATCTTCCTGCCTAAGCCTCCCTATTAGCTGAGACCATAGACACATGCCACCATGCCTGGCTAATTTTTTTAACATATTTTGTAGAGACGGCATCTCACCCTGGTGCCCAGGCTGGTTTCTAACTCCCAGGCAAGTGATCCTCTCACCTCAGCCTCCTAAAGTGCTAGGATAACAGACGTGAGCCACCACACCCAGCTGTCTCAGATAATTTCGAACAAATGAATATCTATGTTCCTATAGAATGGTGATTCTCAAAAGGGGCAATTTTGCCCTCTTCACTGTCTACTTCCAGGCCCAGGGAACATTTTGTAATGTCTGGAACACATTTTTGGTTGTCATATTGTGGGTGGGAGCTGCTATGGACACCCGAGGGTAGAGATCAGGGAAGCTGCTAAACATCCTACAATGCACAGCACAGCAAAGATATATCCCGTCCAAAATGTCAATAGTGCCAAGGCTGAGAAACCTTGATGTAGAAATAGTTTTGTTTCTTTTTTTTGAAATATGCAATGTGCCCCAGGGACCTGGGACATAATGTAGTGCACAGGGAGAGAAAATAATTCAGCACAAACCCTTTCTGCCATGTGCACTGCCGGAACCCTCAACTGTGCTGCCATAAATTCTTACCTGGACTTCTCCAATAGCCTCTCCACTGGCCTCCCTGTTTCTACTTCTGCCTTCTCTAGTCCCTTCTCTCCTAGAGCAGCCAGAGTAGGGGTTTCCCATTGCTAGCCTAGATCATGATAAGCTTCCTATCTTATGAGACTCTGCAGGATTGCACGCCTGCCTCTCTCTGCAGCCTCACACCAAGTACCCTGGAGCCATACTGGCTTTCTTTAAGTTACTCAATAGCTTTGTCTGACTCCTCTTTATCTTCTTTGTTTGTTTTGTTTTTGTTTTTGAGACCAAGTTTGGCTCTTGTCACCCAGGCTAGAGTGCAGTGGCATGATCGCAGCTCACTGCAACCTCCACCTCCCAGGTTTAGGTAATTCTGGTGCCTCAGCTTCCCCAGTAGCTGGGATTACAGGCACCCACCATCATGTCCGGCCAATTTTTGTATTTTTAGTAGAGACTGGTTTTCACCATATTGGCCAGGGTGGTCTCAAACTCCTGACCTCAAGTGATCCACCCGCCTCAGCCTCCCAAAGTTCTGAGATTACAGGCATGAGCCACCATGCCCGGCCTCCTCTTTATTTTCTTATCATTCACATCTATCTTAATTCCAGTAAGCCTTCCTTAACTCATCATCACTAGATGAGGCCAGTCTGCTCTAAGCTCTCTTATCTCTGTGCTTTTCTTTTTAAAAAATTTATTTTATTTATGTTTTTAGAGATGGGGTCTTGCTACATTGCCCAGGCTGGAGTGCAGTTGCTATTCACGGTGACATTTATTGGAGTAAATGTCACTTACATTTATCAATATACCTTAATGAATCGTTTGCTATTAAAGACGAGAAACTGAAAAGCATAGGTAGGAAAAGTTTAAACTGGTAAACTGCTTTGAATAATAAAATAAGAATTAGAAGGCTTGGGAATGGGAGGTGGCTGGGGAGGAGAGACCTGCAGCAAAAATATAACTGGAAGTGATCTGTTAAGGAGATATAGAAATTCTCTATGACGGGGACTAATTAGTAGACTTTAGTAGAGTCACAGTAATGATTTTGAACTTTTTTCCAGTACTGTGTAGCTCTGCAACCCTTTACAGTTAATACAAATTCCAGTAAAACTTACACCCTTGACCTTGTATTAGTGGTGCTTTGTGAAATGGGAGTAATTTAGGTTGTGTCCAATGTTGGGTACAGGAGGCCTGGTGCGGTGGCTCATGCTGTCTCTACTAAAAATAAAAAAAGTAGCCAGGCATGGTGGTGCATGCCTGTGGTTCCAGCTACTTGGGAGGCTGAGGCACAAGAATCGCTTGAACCTGGGAGGCGGAGATTGCAGTGAGCTGAGGTAGCGCCACTACACTCCAGCCTGGGTGACAGAGCGAGATTCTGTCTCTAAATAAATAAATAAATGTTGGGAACAGGATGGAAAAAAGGCATCAGAGAGGGCAGAGCCAGAGATGCCAACAAATAACAGCAAATTGGAGTAGAATGACTAAAATGTTAGCCACTCGAGGATTACTGGGATAGACTCTGAGTTTTCACTGTGTTGTAAAAAGGGCACGAGTTATTTAAATATTAGAAGTCTAATTGCCTCCAAACAGGTGACAGGCACTGGTATCCAGATTACATAACAATGTAAAATGAATAAAGAAAGGATTGAGTCACATGATATCTAAGTTCTCTTTGTTTTTGAAATTTGCTTTCTTCATTCTAACATCATTAACACCATTAAGCATAAATCTGAGAATAATTGCTTTTAATTTTTAATGTTGAATGTGTATACATTTCCTCTCATATGTCCAAGTGTTTTTCTTCTTTTGTTTTCATTTTATTTTATTTATTTAATTACTTTTTTGAGACAGTTTTGCTCTGTCGCCTGGGCTGAGTGCAGTGGCACCATCTTGGCTATCTTTAACATTCATCTGACAGACAAAAGAAAATAATACTTACCTTTTATCTAAAGTTCCCAGAAATGTTTGCAACTCCCTAATTAAAAGTCACCAAGTGACTCATTCTGGAAAGAAAAGGGGAAAACCAACTCTAATGGAATACGGGAAAAAAATTAGCAATCTCTTCTCATCTACTATTTTAATCGTACTGTTAGCTGAAATATATTCCAGGTTCTGTTTTTAAGTGCTTTCATATATCAATTCCCTGAACATTATCAGCTCCACAAGGTAGTACTGTTATTATCCCCATTTCACAGGGAAGGAATCTGAGGCTCAGAGAAGTTAAGTAACTTGCTCAAATTTAAGAGGTTAAGTAACACAGCTAGCAGGCAGTGAGCCAGGATTAGAAAACAGGCAATTTGCCTATGAAAGCTACCCATTCCAAAGGCTAAGCAATGTGCATTCATGCCTCAGTGTAATTAAGTTCATGCTGACTGGTTGGCTTTTGAATACAGTACAGTGTTAGCTAAAACAAAGGATGACAATCTCAGTGAATGCCACATCTGTACTTGGTTTGCTCAGTCCAAAGAAGCATCTTTGAATTCTATCATTCTCTTACATCCCATATCCAACTTGTCAGGAAACTTAAATTGCTCTGCTTTCAAGATATACCCAGACTCCAACCATTTCTCACCATCTTCACAACTACCATCCTGGTCTTTGTCACTGTCACCTTGACATTGCATTATTGCACTGACCTCCAGACATTATCTCTGCTTTCACCCTTGCCCCTTTAACAATTTATTCTCGGCCGGGCGCGGTGGCTCACGCCTGTAATCTCAGCACTTTGGGAGGCTGAGGTGGGCGGATCACAAGGTCAGGAGATCGAGACCATCCTGGCTAACACGGTGAAACCCCATCTCTACTAAAAATACAAAAAATTAGCCGGGCCTGGTGGCGGGTGCCTGTAGTCCCAGCTACTCGGGAGGCTGAGGCAGGAGAATGGCGTGAACCCGGGAGGCGGAGCTGGCAGTGAGCCGAGATGGTGCCACTGCACTCCAGCCTGGGTGACAGAGCAAGACTCCATCTCAAAAACAACAACAACAACAAAAAAAAAACAATTTATTCTCAACACAGTAGTCAGAGATATCCCTTAAAATGAAAAGCCAGGGCCAGGTGCAGTGGCTCACATCTGTAATCCCAGCACTTTGGAAGGCCAAGGCGGGAGGATCACTTGAGGTCAGGAGTTCGAGACCAGCCTGGCCAACATGGTGAAACCCCATCTCTACTAAAAATATAAAAATCAGCCGGGCGTGGTGGTGCATGCCTATAGTCCCAGTTACTCAGGAGGCTAAGGCAGGAGAATCGCATGAACCCAGGAGACGGAGGTTGCAGTGAGCCAAGATCGTGCCACTGTACTCAGCCTAGGCGACAGAGCAAAACTCTGTCTAAAAAAAATAAGTAAATAAATAAACAAAATAAAATGAAAAGCCGCATCAAGTCATGTGTCTTCTGACAATAGTGGCTCCCTATTTTTTTCAGAGTGAAAGCCAAATTTGTTACAATGGTATATGAGGCCCTCTGCTCTCTGCACTTTCTCCCTCATCACCACCACTGTGGTGACCTCCTCCCTGCACATAGCATTCTAACTACACCTGACTACTGGCAGTTTTTCAAATATTCCATGCAGGTTTGCTGCCTTAGAGCTTTTGCACTGGCCATTTCCTCTGCTTGGAATTTTGCATACCCAGTCTCCTCACTCTCTACGAGTCTTTATTCAAATGATAGGCCTACCCTAAAAACTCTATTTTAAATTTTGGGCTGCACGAGGTGGCTCACACCTGTAATCCCAGCACTTTGGGAGGCCAAGGCGGGCAGATCACTTGAGGTCAGGAGTTTGAGTCCAGTCTGGCCAACATGGTGAAACCCCGTCTCTACTAAAAATACAAAAATTAGCTGGCATGGTGGCAAGTGCCTGTAATCCCAGCTATTAGGGAGGCTGAGTCAGGAGAATCACTTGAACCTGGGAAGCGGAGGATGCAGTGAGCCGAGATCATGTCACTGCACTCCAGCCTGGGTGACAGAGTGAGATATTGTCTCAAAAAAAATTATATATATATATATATATATATATAAAAACTGGTACTGCACCAGTCTTTACTGAACCTCGTTTCTTTCTTCTTTCTCTCTACTTGAATATTTTCCCATAGCATTAACACTTTATAGCAAGTAATTTATTCTACTTCTCATTCATTATATTTATTTTCTGTCTTCTCTATTAGTATTCAAGTTTGTGAACACTAAGTTATCTCAAGTGCCATATATATTTGTGTTGTTTTTTTAATTTTATTTATTTATGTATTTATTTTTATTTTTGAGACGGAGTCTTGCTCTGTTGCCTAGGCTGGAGTGCCGTGGCTCCATCTTGGCTCACTGCAACCCCTGCCTCCCAGGTTTAAGCGATTCTCCTGCCTCAGCCTCCCAAGTAGCTGAGATTACAGGTGTGTGCCACCACACCCAGCTAATTTTTGTATTTTTAGTAGAGACAGGGTTTCGCCACGTTGACCAGGGTGGTCTTGAACTCCTGACTACTCAGGTGATCCGCCCGCCTCAGCCTCCCAAAGTTCTGGGATTATAGGCATGAGCCACCACACTGGGCTGATACATATTTGTTGAAGGAATGAATGAAAAAGTGGTCACAGTGACCCCGAAAAATGAATGCAGCTGGCTTTTAAAGTCAGAAAATCCTCCACAAAAGCATATGAAATGTATTGCTATTGGGCAAATTTATTCTTTGGCATGCAGATATTTGGAATGCTAATGAATCACTAACATGAAAATATAAATTTAGAAACAATGATTATCACCACTTTAATTGTGAAAGGCCCCATTCCAACACAATACCAACATACCCTCTTTTTATTTTCTTCAGAAAATAGTGGCTCTAGGCTCCCAACAGGACAGGAACAGTTATGGGAAAATGTATACACGGACAAATTTTGTTTTCAGGACCTGTCATACTTCCAGATTGCTCAGCACATCCTTGCAAGTTTTCTTCTCCCAGAGTCACTCCATCTATGCATTATGTCCTCAGAACACAGCATAGACCTGCATCACAGTGAGTGGCAGGAAGGACTATCAGCAGGTGTCCCAGCTCCTGGAAGCTGGCTGCCCACCCCATCAGCGCCTCAAAGTGTGGTCTAGGACAATCTACATCAGGGTTTCTGGGGCACTTGTGAAAAATACATATTTCTGGGACTCCAGCTATTCTTACTGAGTGAGAATCTCTGGAGGTGGGACTGGGCATTTGCATTTTAGTTCGATTCTAGCATGAATTTTTTTTTTTTAAAGAGTCTCACTCTGTTGCCAGGCTAGAGTGCAGTGGCGCAATCTCAGCTCACTGCAATCTCCGCCTCCCAGGTTCAAGAGATTCTCCTGCCTCAGCCTCCTGAGTAGCTGGGATTACAGGCGCGCACCACCACACCCAGATAACTTTTTTTTTTTTAGTAGAGACGGGGTTTCACCATGTTGGCCAGGATGGTCTCGATCTCCTAACCTCATGATCCACCCACCTCGGCCTCCCGAAGTGCTGGGATTACAGGTGTGAGCCACCTCGCCAGGCCTATGATTCTTAAATGTCTTCCATATTTAAGAACTACTGCTCTGGTCTAGATTTTTTCCTGACCTTTCTCCCAAATCAAAATTCACCTAATTCTTAGGTAAGAAAACACACAAACACACACACACACACTATATATATAAAATATATATATATATACACACACACACACACACATACACATATATATATATGAAAAAAAAATTCACCTAATTGTGTAGAGATGAAGTTTCACCACGTTTGCCCAAGCTGGTCTTGAACTCCTGAGCTCAAGCAATCCACCTGCCTCGGCCTCTCAAAGTGCTGGGATTATAGGCATGAGCCACCACACAAAGCCAATTATCACATGCTCGTACCCAATTATCTGCCAAAGTTAATCATATGAGAGATGTTCAGGCAATAATTATTGATGTTTTTATCTGTTTGCTCCCAAGATCTCCTCTCCGTAATTGCATTCGACACTTTTACACAAACTAGTAACCAGTGGCAAGGACTATCCATATACCTGCAGGTTCATGGGGAGAGCATTTGTGACAACCTCTCTCCCTTTAAGGCAATTCTTCTTTAATGTCTTGTCCTGGATGTGAGTTCGACTGAGAGAAAGAATGCTTCTCTCTTTAAAGAAAAAAAAATCTTTTTTCCAAAATATCTTCTAAGTCATGTATTTGGAAATAAATCTATGCTTTTGTATAGTATGTTTACATTTGATTTCACCACATACCAGGTTGACCTAAACAAAACCAGAAAAACCCTAGTTAGAGTGGCATAAATTAGATTTGTCCTTGGATCTATATTAGCATTTGCTGGCTTACAGGTCAAATATAGACATAGGTAGGTACTTCTGGTATTAATAAGAATAAAGTAACTAACCTGCACAATGTGCACATGTACCCTAAAACTTAAAGTATAATAAAAAAAAAACAAAAACAAAACAAAAAAAAAAAGAATAAAGTGACTCTGAGTATCCCAATGTTCTTGTTTGTATGGAATTACACTAAGGAAGCCAGCCATGGTGGTGTATGCCTGTAGTCCTAACTATTTGGGAGGTTGAGGTGGGAGGATCACTTGAGCCCGGGAGCTGGAGAACACAGCCTAGGCAACATAGTGAGACCCTGGCTCAAAAAACAAAACAAAAAAAAAAAAACGCTGGGTTTTGGTGGCTCAGGCCTGTAATCCCAGCACTTTGGGAGGCTAAGGCAGGCGGATCACATGAGGCCAGGAGTTTGAGACCAGCCTGGCCAACATGGTGAAACCCCATCTCTACTAAAAATACAAAAATTAGCTGGCATGGTGGTGCACATCTGTAATCCCAGCTACTCAGGAGGCTGAGGCAGGAGAATCACTGGAACCCAAGAGGCGGAGATTGCAGCGAGCCTAGATCATGTCACTGCACTCCAGCCTGGGTGACAGAGTGAGACTCCATCTCAAAAAAAAAATCAACTAAAGCGCAAGTGGGTTGGTTTTGTTTTTCTGTTTTTTTTGAGACAGGGTCTCACTCTGTCACCCAGGCTGGAGTGCAGTGGTGCAATTACTGCTCACTGTAACCTCCTCCTCCCAGACTCAAGCCATCTGATTCTCCCACCTCAGCGTCCCAAGTACCTGGGACTATAGGTGTGCACCACCATACCCAGCTAAATTTTGTATTTTTTGTAGAGACCAGGTTCCACCATGTTGCCCAGATTGGTTTTGAACTCCTGAGCTCAAGCGATTTACCTGCCTCGGCCTCCCAAAGCGCTAGGATTGCAGGTGTGAGCCACCATGCCTGGCCTCTTGCAAGTGTTTTTAAAGCAAGTCTCCGGTGAGTTGATTCTCATTATTTGTGGCAGTTATGTTCTGTAAAGTCTCCACAAACACTGAATTAGTGAATACTGACGCATTGCTCCTAGGGAAAATACAAGATTAGGTTCCGACAGCCCTTGGTGACAATGTTTTTTCAACTGATCAATACATAACCTTGTTTTATGTGTTTTTCTGTTTAAAGATCTGAACCCAAAAGCATCTGAGCCAGGTCTCAATCAATTTGGAAAGTTTATGTTGCCAAGGTTAAGGACGCATTCATCACACAGCCTCAGGAGGTTCTGACATGTGCCCAGGGTTATTGGGGTACGGCTTGCTTTTATACATTTTAGGGACACATAAAACATCAATCAATAAATGTAAGATTTACTTTAGTTGGGTCTGTAAGGGCGGGAAAACTCAAAGGGAGGAGGGGCTTCCAGGTCATAGGAAGATTATAAAATGTTCTGATTGGCAATTGATTGAAAGAGTTATTATCACTAGAAAGGAATGTCTGGGTCAAGATAAGGGGTTGTGGAGACTAATGTTTTATCATGCAGATGAAGCCTCCATGTAGCAGGCTTCAGAGAGAATAGATTGTAAATGTATCTTATCAAACTGAAGGACTGTATTGATGTTGATGCTGGAGGAGTAAAATGAGATATATCTAATCCCTGCTTCCATCATGGCCTGAACTGTATCTTCAGGTTAACTCTGGAATGCCCTTGGCTGAGAGGAGAGGTCCGTTCAGATGCTTGGGGGGCCTTAGAATTTTATTTTTGGTTTACAATTACTTGGCCAGGCACGGTAGCTCATGCCTGCAATCCCAGCTCTTTGGGAAGCCAAGGTGGGCAGATTGCCTGAGCTCAGGAGTTCGAAGCCAGCCTGGACAACACGGTGAAACCCTGTCTTTACTAAAATAGAAAAAATTAGCCAGGTTTAGTGGCACGCGCCTGTAGTCCCAGATTCTTGGGAGGCTCAGGCTCAAGAATTGCTTGAACCCAGGAGATGGAGGTTGCAGTGAGCTGGATTGTACCACTGCACTGCAGCCTGGGCAACAGAGCAAGACTCTGTCTCCAAAGAAAAGGAAAGAGAAAAAAGAAAGACAATTACTTAATATACTTATGGCCACAGCACTGTAATTTATGCTTGAATGAAGCTTATCTAATACAAGGATTTATCTGTAAGACACATCACACATGTCTAGTGCTTAGGAACACTAAACAGCACCTTGCCACTACACTGGGAACCATTTTGTTTCATTTTATTTTCCAGACGGAGTTTCGCTCTTATTGCCCACATACTACATGGCATCATAATTATATGCTCACATGTCTTACTGTCCAAACGCAATTATGAGCACCTCAAGGGCTAAGATCTTACTTTATCTACTTTTGCATTGTCTAGCACAGTACCTGACTCATAATGGGGATTCAGTAAAAGTTGTTGAATGAATTTGTAAACGGATGCATAGATGGATGATAAATAGATGCATGGATGTTTCTAATTTCCACTTTGTTTGTGAATTTAACACATTTCTTGAGCACTTGCTATGTGCGAGGCACTGTACTAGACACAGGAGATAAAGCAGTGCAAGCAATTTTTAAAAGGGTCCTTGTTCTATGAAATATGTGAGCAGTGACTGGGTTGGAGGTGAGAGGGATCCTTGAGTGGCATTTGAACCAAGACCTGAATGATAACGGGAAATGAGTCATGAAAATACCAAACGGGCCACAACCTCAGCTCAGAAGTGACATCTCTTACTTAGGCTCACATTTCATTGTTTAGCACTGACCACGTGGCCTTAACTGACCACATGGTCAGTTAAGAAGTAGAGTCTCCTGTATGCCTAAGAAGGAAGGGAAAACAGAGCATGATCAACCAGCCAACAGCTCCCCAATGGCTCAGAGAAAAAGGGAATGACAAAAACAATAACTTGGCTGTTTGAAAATGCTATCTGTATTAGAATATCAATACATTTAGTGTGGATGAAAAGATAAAGACCAGAGGCAATTGTCCCCGGCAGAAGGAGAAGCAAGTGTTTGGCACATCAAAGAAACAGGAAAAAGACCAATGTATAGCTTGTGAATGAGAAACAGTGAGGGGTTGGGCACAGTGGCTCACACCTGTACTCTTAGCACTTTGGGAGGTGGGACAGGAGGATCTCTTGAGGCCAGGAGTTGGAGACCAGCCTGGGCAAAATAGTAAGACCCTATTTCTACAAAACAAAGTTTTTTTTTTTTTTAATTAGCTGGATGAAGTGGCATGTGCCTGTAGTCCTAGCTACTAGGGAAGCTGAGGCAGGAGGATTGCTTGAGCTCAGGAATTCAAGGTTATGGTGAGCTGTGATCATGCCACTGCACTTCAGCCTGGGCAGCAGAGTGTGACCCTGTCTCAGAAAACAAAAACAAAACAAAACAAAAGAACTAGGGTGGAAGAACAAGAGGAGCCAGGGTATGTAGTGCAATGTGGTCCATGCCAAGGGGTATGAATTTTACTCTCAGTGCAAAGAGACGCCTTTGTGAGAAAGCAGCCAGATAATTTAGTTTACATTTTTAAATACCTCTTTGGCTGTTGCATGCAGAATAAATTAACAGGGGCAACAGTAAAGGTGAGAAGACAGTCAGGAAGTTCTGCACTAGTCCAGGTGAGCGAGAATGATAACGAGGTCTGGCGGATGGTAACAAGAAAAGTGAGAGTTAGATCTTTAATGTAGAATAGGCAGGACTTCATGGTATATTGTGAGGGGGTGAAAATAGAGAATTCATTCACCCATAAATTTTTCGGTACACTTGTTTTTCTTTCTGGTCCTCATTTTCACCTATAAACTTGAGGATACCAGAACATATGTTAAACTGTGTTCTTCACTGCAAAATTTTTATGAACTGGATTCATAAAGTCAATGAGATATAATGAAGGCAGTAGCAAACCTCTTAAACTCTAAAAACTCTAAAAGTGAAATAGGCTGTAATCTGGGAGGCTGAGGTGGGAGGATGGCTTGTGTCCAGGAGTTCAAGACCCGCCTGGGCAGAATAGCAAGACCTCAGTCTCTAAAAAAATAAAAAATAAGCCGGTGCTATGGCGTGCACCTGTAGTCCCAGCTACTCAGGAGGCTGAGGTGGGAGGATGGTTCGAGCCCAGGAGGTCGAGGCTGCAGTAAGCAACAGAGTGAGACCCTGTCTCATAAATAAATAAATAAATAAATAAATGTGAAATAGACTTAGTGGTTCTGGCCCACCTCATTTTCATCATTAAAAAATTGATGGCTGGCCTCAGTGGCTCAGGCCTGTAATCCCAGCACTTTGGTAGGCTGTAGTGGGTGGATCATCTGAGGTCAGGAGTTCGACACCAGCCTGGCCAACATGGTGAAACCCTATCCCTACTAAAAATACAAAAGTTAGCAGGGCATGGTGGTGGGTGCCTGTAATCTCCGCTACTCAGGCAGCTGAGGCAGGAGAATTGCTTGAACCTGGGAGGCAGAGGTTGCAGTGAGCTGAGATCCTGCCACTGCACTGCAGCTGGGTGACAAAGCAAGACTCCGTCTCAAAATAAATAAAGAAATAAACAAACAAATAAATAAATTGAGACTATTCCTGAGCTTATTTAAAATATACCTTATGATTGAGATTCAGGGTGCACAAGTGCAGAACATGAGTGTGTATTGGAAGTTTTCTAGAGGTTGGCTTATGACTGGCTGATGAGGTCCAAGTATAAGAATAGCAATTGAATTTTATAAACCTTTGCATTTATTGTCAATACCAATTACATGCTGCAAGTGCAATTTCCTAACTTACTACAATTATTTGTAGCTTTTAATTACATGGTAAACTAAATATTTCAACTTTAGTTTTAAAAGTGCAATCTTCTGGCCAGGTGCAGTGGCTCGCGACTGTAATCCCAGCACTTTGGGAGGCTGAGGCGGGAGGATCACCTGAGGTCAGGAGTTCGGGACCAGCCCGACCAACATGGAGAAACCTTGTCTCTACTAAAATTACAAAATTAGCCAGGCGTGGTGGCGCATGCTTGTAATCCCAGCTACTTGGGAGGCTGAGGCAGGAGAATTACTTGAACCCGGGAGGTGGAGGTTGCAGTGAGCTGAGATGGTGCCACTGCACTCCAGCCTGGGCGACAAGAGCAAAACTCCATCTCAAAAGAAAAAAAAAAGGAAATGCAATCTTCAATTCTTTTACGTTCTGTGTAGAAACATAAAGATTATTTTTACATAATTATAGAAAACATTATAGGTTATAACGAATGGAGATATAGGAAAAAATGAAATATAAGCATTAGTTCTTCAGATACATTGAGGTTTACATTTGTGTTACATTCTAGGCAAAGCTGAAGCACCACAAAGTGGGCTAGTTGATGTATGAACCACAAATATACAAGACAACTGAAATAGAGATATGGAAATTATTTATTTTACTGTGTAACGTGACCAGATGTGTTTAAAATGCAGCAGAGTAGTCATTCTACTGGGAATACAAAACAACAAATATTTTAAAAAATAAAATGCAACAGAAGCTTAGTTGTGTCTTTCATGAGGCTGGGCACCTGTGAGGAGCAGCTGTATCTTGTGATCACAATACATGGTTCCTTGCGATTTTTTTCTGTGTTAATCCACATTTTAAACAGGGAGTCCTCCAGCTCCAGCTCTATATACATTTTTCTGAAGCATATTATGCACTTCTTATCACATGTGGAAACTGTTCTAGGAAGATAGAGCAGGTCTCAGACTGATCCATAGACCTGATAACATTTTTTTGTGGCTTGCTTGTGAAAACCAGGCTGATTCTTTGAGCTAGAGAGACTCATTCTGTTACAGGAAGAAGTTACTCCCATGGCTGCCTAGATCTTACAGGTGAGACTAGACTGGTTTCAGTAACATAGCCTAAGGAAGAAACTTTTTTTTTTTTTTTTAATCTAAGGGGATGTACCAACATGAAAGATACAATGGAAAGGAGATGAAATTCCAACACTGAAGAGGAAAGGAAAACTAGTGAACGAGGACATTCCGAGTTTTGGGGGTTTTGTTTATTTGTTTGCTTTTTTGGTTTTTTTTGAAAAGTGATTTTTGAGGAAAATTTTTTATCTTTCCCTTTTTTAGATTTGGGATGTATCACCTTTCTGTAAAGTAAGAAGGAGTTATTATAAATGTATATGTGTATTTCTCCCTTTTCTGCTAAGAAAATTACCATTAAACATGCTGCTGCTGCTGCTGCTGCTCCTCTATCTTGCACCAAGTGAATGTTTAAATAGTTTAAATAAACACGTTTCAGCTGACTGCTAGGGGAGATTCATTACAGCCAGGAGGAACTCAGTGAAACTGTTCAAGGAGATCTGGTTAATATCCCCATGATTTTTGCTTGCGGTAGAAATTGCACTAATATTTACACGAAGGGCATGGTTTGGGGGCAATAGCAAAGCTCTATTGAAGTGGGAATTTGCAGTCAGTGCCCACTAATGAAAATAGCTACAGTTCAGCGCCCTTTCCAAAAGTATAATTAGGCCCTTCAAATGACATGTGATTTTCACATTTTTACTCTCAAGGTGCAAATTTTTCTTGCCATCCAGTGCCTGGATTGAAACTATCACTGTGCAAAAATAATTAAGCAAGATAACACTAGGCTCCTGAGTAACTTCTGAAAAATGTATGTTGGTTTTTCTTTTATAAATGTTATAAATTAAAAACAAAAATTATAATTTTTTGATAGTTATACTTAAAAAATTAATCATCTATGTGAGTTATCTTTACAGTCTTTGAATAACATTATAGAACTAGGCCGGGTGTGGTGGCTCATGCCTGTAATCCCAGCACTTTGGGAGGCTGAGGCGGGCAGATCATGGGGTCAGGAATTGGAGACCAGCCTGGACAACATGGTGAAACCCCCGTCTCTATTAAAAATACAAAAATTAGCCGGGTGTGGTGGCATGTGCCTGTAATCCCAGTTACTGGGGAGGCTGAGGCAGGAGAACCGCTTGAACCAAGGAGGTGGAGGTAGCTGTGAGCTGAGATCATGTCACTGCACTCCAGCCTGGACAACAGAGCGAGACTCCATCTCAAAAAATAAAATAAAATAAAATTATAGAACTATACTTCCTGGCAATCCACATATTTGATTGAGTTCCATTTGGGTGGAGAAGAAACTTCAGACCAAAGTTACACTGCAAATACAGTTCTGCTAAAATTCTCGTGGGCTTCCTCATTGAAGTGGAGAGGGAGCCGGTGGGAAATCTCTAACACTGAGTTTGCCAGGTTTTTACTTTTTATTTTTGCTTTCCTAGTTCAATGGCTATTTAACTTGTTCAGGAAGCAGAATATCCTGAAATTAAAGGTGCTCCTTGTGTTATGATAAAATATGGATGATTTATTTCAATCCCAAAAACTCTGATTTAGTACCAAATAAATGTATCTACATATCTAAATCTAAATGGAGATACCTAGACAGATAAACAAATATTTATGCATTTATTTAATTTCTTTTTCAAGAATATTCAGTGTTGGTGTTGTAAATCACATTCCCTTGATCTTATATTTATAAATAAACCATGGCTGCTTTCTGATTTCCAACTAGGGCTCTTTCCATCTTTTCCTGTTAGTATTTGCTACTTATTCACTCATTCTTGTACCCAGCAGATAAGATGTAGTAGTTGATGTTTTAAGAAAAATACATGGGAGAAACACCTAAAATTTAGAAAATCATATTCACTTGTTTGATGTTTTCTGAGAGTTGAGAAAAATCCCATTATTTGATTTTAGAACTAAAGACATTAGTCCGGTTCAGAGTCTAGCAATTATACATTTGATAGATCTGAGCATAGCTTGAGAACTGTTCTTCAAATTTTAAGTTGAGAACCCATTACAATATCAAATTACTGTTCAGAACATAAAGAGAGAGGGTATTGATACAGCCCAAAGTTAACCAGAAGTTCTGTTTTTTCTTAATCTGTATTGAGCTCTGACTATGTGCCATGGACTGGTTTAAGCCCTTTACATGACTATTTTTAATCTTCAAAATAATTCTAAGAAACGGATAACATTATTTCATTTATTCATTCATTTATGCTAAGTGCTAGGCATTATTCCATGCCCTGAGGGTAGAACATGAACAAAACCATGTCTTTGCTCTGTTCCTGTTTGTAATTCTCATCAAGGATACAATCTGACTATGTTTAAATATCTGCTCCACCCCTTACTAGCTCTGTGACCTTGGGCAGATTTTGTAATCTCTCTGTGCCTCAGTTTCTTTATCTAGAAAGTACAGACGATAACAGTTCTTATCTTAGAAGGTTGATATGAGGTGATATGATATAATATTAAATGAGGTAATCATTGTAAAACATTTAGAACTTTGTCTGGCTAACAAATAAGCATGATACAAGTATATGTGCATCTTCACAGTCATTGTCAACAGAGCAAGCAGATCAAGTGTTTCCCCTGTGCTAGACAAGGAGGAACATGGAACACATATATGTCTATGTGGTGGTGATAAGTGATATGAAGAAAAATGAAACTGGGGGCCAGGCGTGGTGGCTCACGCCTGTAATCCCAGCACTTTGGGAGGCTGAGGTGGGCGGATCACGAGGTCAGGAGATCGAGACCATCCTGGCTAACACGGTGAAGCCCCATCTCTACTAAAAATAAAATAAAAATAAAAATAAAAAGATTAGCCAGGCGTGGTGGCAGGCACCTGTAGTCCCAGCTACTCGGGAGGCTGAGGCAGGAGAATCGCTTGAACCAGGGAGGCGGAGGTTGAAGTGAGCTGAGATCACACCACTGTATTCCAGCCTGGGCGAAAGAGTGAGACTCCGCCCTAAAAAAAAAAAAAAGAAAGAAAGAAAGAAAAGAAAAAAGAAATTGGGGAAGGGAAATAGACAAAGACAGAGATGGGTTCATTTTCTGTAGGTGGACGGGAAAATCCTCTCTGTGAAGGTAAACCTGACAGAAGCGAGGGACCAGATCATGTGGCTATGTAGAGGAAGAGCCATCCAGGCAGACGGAACAGCATGTGCAAAGGACAGGGGAGAGAGTATGCCTGGTGTGACCAAACAACAGCATGAAGGCCAACACTACCAGAAAGGGAGTGGGAGCGAGGCCGGAGATGCGGACAGAAGGCGCAGGGATCATACCAGGAAGAGCTTTGTAGGCTATGAGAAGTACTTTTTATTTTATTTTATTATTTTCTTTGTTTCTTTACTTATTTTTGAGACAGGGTCTGGCTCTGTCGCCCAGGCTGGAGTGCAGTGGTGGGATCTCCGCTAACTGCAAACTTCCAGCTCCCGGGTTCAAGCGATTCTCGTGGCTCAGCCTCCTGAGTAGCTGGGACCAAAGGGTAGCGCCACCACGCCCGGCCAGAACTTTGTATTTTAATGAGCACATTGCTCTGAATAAAGTTGAAGGCAGCCAAGGCGCGGTGGCTCACGCCTGTAATCCCAGCACTTTGGGAAGGCTGAGGCGGACGGATCGCTTGAGCTAAGGAGTTTGAGACCAGCCTGGGCAACATGGTGAAACCCCGTCACTACCAGAAACACAAAAAATTAGCCAGGCTTGGTGGCGGGCGCCTGTTGTCACAGTTTCTCTGGCAGCTGAGGCACGAGGATCGCTTGAACCTGGGAGGCGGAGGTTGCAGTAAGCCGAGATCGCGTCATTGCACTCCGTCCTGGCGACAGAGCGAGACTCCATCTCAAAAATAAATGAGAAAAAAGTTGAAGGTCTCATAAGAGATCCCGCAATAAATTGTGTCCTTGTTCTCCACGTAGGTTTTAAATAAGTAGTACAACAAAGCAAGAGATTTTTGTCTGTTTTTCTTTTTCTCCCCTAGCAGCAGAACAGTATCTGGCACAAAGCAGGCTCTCAAAAAAGCACTTGGTGAGTGAGTGAATGAAGTTCCTTTTCAAAGTAAAGATGAAAACCAGCAGATCAACTTTATTACAGATAAAGGTCCAGTTGCTAGATGCTGCTTTAGGCTGTTAAGTAAGGGGACTTCCTAATCCTACACCCCCAATATTAGACAGAAAGAACCTGAGGAAGGCTTACCTGACAACAGAGCAAAACAGAATGTTTGCTTTCTGCTAGCTGACTCCTTCCCAGGGGGGTCAAGAGCCAGGCCTGGTGTTCCATTCCACATGTATCAATCAGTAAGTCAGTCATCTTTCTGGAAGCGGAGTCTTTCTGCAGACAGAAAGAACAGGAGGTGCTTAGGAATAATCTCTCTTTAAGAAAACCAGGCCGGGAGCGGTGGCTCACGCCTGTAATCCCAGCACTTTGGGAGGCCGAGGCGGGCGGATCACCTGAGGGCGGGAGTTCGAGACCAGACTGACCAACATGGAGAGAAACCCTGTCTCTACTAAAAATACAAAAATTAGCCGGGCGTGGTGGCACATGCCTGTAGTCCCAGCTACTCGGGGGGCTGAGGCAGGAGGATCGCTTGAACCCGGGAGGCGGAGGTTGCTGTGAGCCGAGATTGTGCCACTGCACTCCAGCCTGGGCAACAAGAGCAAGACTCCGTCTCAAAAGAAAAAAGAAAACCATGGGAAGAAAAAAGGTATATCCCTCTAAACACTGAGATGGGCATACATTAGGGGATTCAGAAAAGGGAATAAAAATCTCTGATTTACATTTTAAAAGAGTTTCTTCTATTTGCCCCTCCAGATCCACTCTTTTTTCTCCTCCACTTGCCCTGTGCCAGGGGTGAGGGGAAGAGGGGTTGGACTGTCAGAAGGAAATCAAAGAGCTCTGATCCAAGGCCTGGCTATTTCTCTGTCCACATTCCCTGTAACCACTTCCTGCGCTCTGGGATACTGCTCTATTCCTTTTTTATTTCCCTCAAACCTATCCTTACCTTTGTAAATTGTTCCTTTATTAAACTGTCTTGAAATTAGCCAGTTTGCGTGAGCATCTCTTTCCTGTCTATACCCTAACTGATAAATAGATATAGTTGCTCTTGATGTTTTGTGAGGACAAGATTACTGAGGGGAGAAGGACGTGTGGGGCCTGGGGTGAGGGGTGGAGAGAGGAGGCAAGTACAAAAGCAGGCCAATTAGAATCTGGCTGCGGTGCGGCCAGATTCTCAAAAAAAAAAAAAAAAATTCATTGCAATAATCTTCAGAATATGTGGGAAAGGGCAATAAAAATAGAAATAAATTATTTTAAAAAAATCTAAAAATAAACAAAATGGGCCGGGCGCAGTGGCTCACACCTGTAATCCCAGCACTTTGGGAGGTTGAGGTGGGCAGATCACAAGATCAGGAGTTCAAGACCAGCCTGGCCAAAATGGTGAAACCCCCGTCTCTACTAAAAATACAAAAATTAGCCAGGCATGGTGGCGGGCACCTGTAGTCCCAGCTAATTGGGAGGCTGAGGCAGGAGAATGGCAGGAACCTGGGAGGTGGAGCTTGCAGTGAGCCAAGATCGCACCACTGCACTCCAGCCTGGGTGACAGAGGGAGACTCCATCTCGGAAAAAGAAAGAAAGAAAGAAAAAAATAAACAAAATGTTAATCTATTAATAAAAATTTTTTTTTTAAAGAAGCTATTGCAGTAATCAGGTGACAAAGGTGCTGGGCACCCTGGTGGTAACCACGGAAGTGGTGAGAGGTAGTTGGAGTTGGGCTTTAAATTGAAGGTAGAGCCAGCAGGACTTGCTGATGCATTGGGATAAGGACTACACAAGAGAAAAAGCTCAGAAAAGACTCCTAGTTTTGCAAATCTGCGGAACAGAAAGGCGCTATTTAGAGGTCTGACAGAGACAGAATTGACTGTGGCTTTTTTTTTCCTTTTTTTCCAGAGGTGGCAGGATATCCTCCAAGAATTTGCAAGACTGCTTTGACAAGTTTTTTTTTTTTTTTTTTGCTACTGTAGTGTTCATCTCAACACTATTAATGCCTAGTCCCTATCCTGTGGTCTTCTGTGGTTTCTCCAGTGATATCTAAAATGTTGCACGTATTTTCACCCAAGGGAATACATTTTAACCCACTTATTAAAAAAAACAAATCTGGCCTGGCCTGGTGGCTCATGCCTGTAACCCCAACACTTTGGGAGGCAGAGGTAGGCGGATCACCTGAGGTCAGGCATTTGAGACCAGCCTGGCCAACATGGTGAAACACCCTTCTCTACCAAAAATACAAAAATTAGCCAGGCGTGGTTGCATGTGCCTGTAGTCCCAGCTACTTGGGAGGCTGAGGGAGAATTGCTTGGACCCGGGAGGTGGAGGTTGCAGTGAGCACTAAGATTGTGCCACTGCACTCCAGCCTGGGTGACAGAGCAAGACTACATAACAAAAAACAAAAAACAAAAAAGCCATATATATCCCACTCTGCCTCTTTAGGAGAAGGAGGAAAGTGAATATTTTAAACCGAATTACAGAGGACTATTGCAATTGTAACAATTTCAGCCCACATATTAGCCCATAAAACAAAACCTTAAGTTTCCAAGCACAGAGCCTCCTCACTAGATCCACTGGTCAGAAAAATTGATGATGGCTACTATGGTGTGCCTATGCTGAGCATATGCACAGTATGTTCAATAGTATCTTTTTTTTTTTTTTTTGAGATGGGGTCTCACTCTGTCACCCAGACTGGAGTGCAGTGCCATGATCTCAGCTCACTAAAGCACCCGCCTTCTGGGATCAAGCTATCCTGCCACCTCAGCTTCACAAGAAGGTGGGACCACAGGCACCTGCCACCAAGCCAGGTTAATTTTTTGTGTTTTTAGTAGAGATGGGGTCTTGGCCAGGCACGGTGGCTCACACCTGTAATCCCATCACTTTGGGGAGCCAAGATGGGCAGATCACCTGAGGTCAGGCATTCAAGACCATGGCCAGGTCAGGCCTGGCCACCATGGCAAAACCCAATCTCTACTAAATATTACAAAAATTAGCTGGGCGTGGTGGCACGTGCCTGTAGTCTCAGCTACCTGGGAGGCTGAGGCAGGAGAATCACTTGAACTTGGGAGGTGGAGGTTGCAGTGAGCCGAGATTGAGCCACTGCACTCCAGCATGGGCGACAGAGCAAGACTCCATCTTAAAAAAAAAAAAGAGAGAGAGATAGGGTCTCACTATGTTGCCCAGGCTGGTCTCAAACTCCTGGGGTCAAGCGATATACCCACCTCAGCCTCCCTTTCAAAGTGCTGGGATTACAGGTATGAGCCATTGCACCTGGCCCAGTAGTATTCTAAGAATATATCGATATGTGTATAGGAAAACAAAAACTGAACACATTAAAAGATAAAAGAAACCAAATTGCTAGGGTTAAATATAAGTTAATTAGGTAACTTTTATTTCCTCTATACACTTGTCCACATTCAAACGTTTCTGAAATAAA